>NC_000020.11:44799567-45102597 GCF_000001405.40 Homo sapiens | reverse complement strand
CAAAAGCCTTAAGAATAAGTTAGATATGTCGTGAATGCCTAAGATATATGTAGATACTATTTATGTGTCAATCGACTGTTTATATTATTGGTAAGGTTTCTGGCGAACAGTAAGTTATTACTAGTTAAGTTTCAGGGGAGTCAAAAGTTATATTCTAATTTTCTAGGCATGGAGGAGTGGTTTCCCTAACCCCCACTGTTTAAGGGGTAACTGTAATTTCGCCTGTTTTTTACTTCTTTAAAATGTTGCAATCAGAAATGTAAAAGGACATATGTGGGCCGGACGCGGTGGCTCATGCCTGTAATCTCAGCATTTTGTGAGGCCAAGGCAGGTGGATCATTTGAGGCCAGGAGTTCAAGACCAGCCTGGCCAACATGGTGAAACCCCTTCTGTACTAAAAATACAAAAATTAGCTGGGCATGGTGGTGCATGCCTGTAATCCCAGCTACTCAGGAGGCTGAGGCAGGAGAATCGCTTGAACCCAGGAGGCGGAGGTTGCAGTGAGCCAAGATTGTGCCACTGCACTCCAGCCTGCAACAGAGTGAGTGAGACTCTATCTCAAAAAATCAAAAATAAAATAAAATAAAATTATATATGTGGCTCACATTATAGGTGTTGGACTGTGCTGGCCTAGAGGACTCAGAAGTCAGCCATGGGACCTCCGGCAAGTCACCACACCTCTCAAAGCAGTTCTTATCTGTGAGATAGGAATAATAGTAGCACTTACCCCACAGATAAATTTGCAGTTTGAGTGAGATTGAGGTCTGTGCTTGACCCAAGGTAAGTACTCAATAAACGTTGGTAATTATCATTATTATTAATAACAATATGTGCAAAGGCTCATATCCAGGCCCTAGTCTCCAGGAGCCTCTCCCCAACCAGGCACACAGCAGCCACACAACAGGTACATGTGTGGGGATTTCACAACCTCTACAAAGCTCTTTGGCACATGTTCTCTGCCCTCACAACCCACTTGGCAGGTGGGAATCAGGAACCCGTGGGCAGGTAAGGACACTGCGCCTCAGGGGTAAAATGATCGTTTCAAGCTTCACAACTCACCTAGGAAGAACCTGGGGCTCCAAGGGAGATGAGGCCACCTTCTACAGCTCCCTAACTCAGATGCCCACGGTCTGAGAAAATGACTGGAGCTCACCCCTAAAATGGGCGACATAAGATCCTGGCCCTGTCAAGTGTGTGTGCCAGGAATAACTGAGATCAATCACTTGCAGCAGCTGAAGTACCCTGGCACATACTAAACACTCAATTAAGTAAATCATGATTACTGTTGTTCCTTTGCCAGAGAAGCTTCTGCTGAAATCCCTCTCTACGGGGAATCCTCACGCCCTAAATGACCCCTCCTTCCCGGCCCGTAACTCCGGAGGATGCCCCTGCAGGTAGGCCCAGTCTCCAGACACCACCACCCCCCAGCCGAGTCAGGAATAGAAACCGCCGCCTCCGGCCGCCAGCGGCCTCACTCCCTCCTCCGGCAGCGATCGATGCGGCCTTCAGCCGCGGGGGACTAGGCAAGGAAGAAGGAAGGAGAGGGCAGCGGGGCCGCCTGCAGCAGGAGGCTCGGCGGGGCCGGCGGGGCAGAGGCGAGACCGAGTATAGCCAGCGGCTCCCAGCCTCGGTGGCTTTGGGACAGACACGCGAGGCGCCCGGGAGGTGCCACCACAGGTAAGGGGCCTCCTTTGGGGAGGGACGTGGCTCCGGGACGGTCCCGGGCAGCCAGAGTGGGAGGCGGGGCTGCCTGGGGCTCCTGGTGCTCTTACCCCCTCTAAGAGACCCCCCACCCCCCGCCAAGGAGGAAGCAGTGTGGGGTGGCCGCGCTTTGGAGACCCTGGCTGGTACAGTTTGCTCATCTGTAAAATGGGATTAGAAAACCTCCCTGGCAGGGTTGGTGTAGGGATTAAACCGAGTGAGGTGTGCATGGAGCCCAGAGGAGTGACTAGCAGATAGGAGGTGCTCAAAATAAGTGTGTGGAGAGAGAATGAAATAAAAAAACCTGGTCTCCAACCTTAGCTGTGCCATGGACTAGCTGGGTGATTTTGAACAAGTCACTTGGTCTTTCTTACTGATATTCAGGTTCTTGTCAGAAAATGTTTGTTGAATTAATTATCCTGTTTCATAGAGCAGGAAAGTGAGCTCCTGATGGATGAAGGGATTTGCCCAATATTATGCTTCTAATGGGTGATGGAACTGGATTAGAAATTTCATTTTTTGATGCCAAATGCAGGTGGAGATCCAAGTGGAGGTGGGAGCGGAGCTACATCACACGTTTATTGTGCATTGATTATGTGCCAGGGACCATGCTGCCGATAAACACCTTGCATCATTTAATTCTCTGAGCCTCTCCTGGAAAGTATGATGCTACCCGGTTCCACAGACAGGGAAACAAGCCCAGAGAGGGCGACGAATGCACTCAAGGACAGCAGCTAGTAAGTGGTAGACTCAGGTCTGACCACAGGGAAGTACACAGGATTAACATTTATTGAGCATCTACTGTTTTCCCAGGGCTTTGACATATACCACAATAATGATGCATCCAAAGCAACATTATCCCCATTCTAGAGGTAAAAGAGCTAAAGCCCAGAGTGGGAAGGAGACTGGCCTGAGGTCACACAAGTGATAGAGCTAAGGGTGGAACCCCAAATCCATTTAATGCCAAGCCCAGGTGCTTTACACACACTTAATCCCTAGTCTAGGCATTACTGAACCCACAGTGCAAATGAGATTGCCAGTGGTGAGGAGGTGTCACTAGCCCCCAATTCCAGCAGAGTCAGGAGTCAGTGGGTAGTGGAAGAACCTAAATCCTTCCTGAGTATCCACTAAGGCTGAGCACTTTCTATAATCTACCTTAATCCTCCAGTCATCCCTGGAGGTAGGTGCTATTATCTACGTTGTGCAGGAAATTGAGACCTGGAGGACAAATAGCTTCCTCAAGGCCCCAGGTGCGTCAGGGGTGGAGATAAACCCAGGTTTGCCTGACTCCAGAAGATAGTGACACCAGTGAATAATTTATTAAATTCCTTCTGTGAGCCAAGCCCAAGAAAGACACTAGGTCATTTAATCTTCATAACCACACTTTGAGGTGAATATTTTTATTTCCATTTCACAGAGGCTCAGAGAGGTGATGTTACTTGCCTAAGGTGACACAAGAGAGTCAAGATTCAAGGTCAGGTCTGGCTGACTCTACAGATGCTTTACATAATCTAAAGCAGGAGCTCTCAAACTTGACTATGTAGCCGAATCACTTTCCAATCTTGTTAGAACACAAAGTGCTAGACCCCACCCTTAGAGTTCCCGATTCAGTAAATCGATGGCAGGCTGAGAATTTGCATCTTTGACAAATTCCCAGGTGATGCTGATGCTGCTGGTCCGGGGAACACACTATGAGAACCTCCGGTCTAAAGTGGTGCTGCCAACACCCCTAGGAGGTAAGTGTTACTATCCTCATTTTGCAGAAGAAACAGGTTCAGAGGGCTGGCGGGCCCAAGATCCCACAGTAGACCTTTGGTGTAAATAAATCCAAGTTTGTCCTGGAAAAGGAGACATCCTATGTGAGCACCCACTAGGTGCCAGGACATCCTGCGATTCCATCGCTTTCATATCCTTCCAGGTAGATCTCAGCATTTACTTTCCAAAGGAGAAAAATGAAATGGGGGTGGGGTGGGTCAGTGATTTGGCCAAAGTCAAATGATGGGGATGAAGGATAGTCAAAGCCAGGCCTGACTCTGAGTCCAGAGGGCACCTGACATCTACTGAGCGCCTCCTGCATACCAGATGCTTCACACACAGCCTCCAACACCCCTTGGCTGGTTGGATGGAGGAGGGGATTTTAACCTGGTCTTCCAGGAAGGGAAGCCCGGGAACTCCTCAGCGCGCCCTTCTGGTGTCCGCAGGGAGGAGCACTGAAACCTTTGTGAGCGAGTTCCCGGGCCCCGACACCGGGATCCGCTGGCGGCGAAGCGACGAGGCGCTGCGCGTGAACGTGGGTGGCGTGCGGCGGCAGCTGAGCGCGCGCGCCCTGGCGCGCTTCCCGGGCACGCGGCTGGGCCGCCTGCAGGCCGCGGCGTCGGAGGAGCAGGCGCGGCGCCTGTGCGACGACTACGACGAGGCGGCGCGCGAATTCTACTTCGACCGGCACCCGGGCTTCTTCCTGAGCCTGCTGCACTTCTACCGCACTGGCCACCTGCACGTGCTCGACGAGCTGTGCGTCTTCGCCTTTGGCCAGGAGGCCGACTACTGGGGCCTAGGCGAGAACGCGCTTGCCGCGTGCTGCCGCGCGCGCTACCTGGAGAGGCGGCTGACCCAGCCGCACGCCTGGGACGAGGACAGCGACACGCCGAGCAGCGTGGACCCGTGCCCCGACGAGATCTCCGACGTGCAGCGAGAACTGGCGCGCTATGGCGCGGCGCGCTGTGGCCGCCTGCGCCGCCGCCTCTGGCTGACCATGGAGAACCCGGGCTACTCGCTGCCGAGCAAGCTCTTCAGCTGCGTCTCCATCAGCGTGGTGCTCGCCTCCATCGCCGCCATGTGCATCCACAGCCTGCCCGAGTACCAGGCCCGCGAGGCGGCGGCCGCCGTGGCTGCGGTGGCCGCGGGCCGCAGCCCGGAAGGCGTGCGCGACGACCCGGTGCTGCGACGCCTCGAGTACTTCTGCATCGCCTGGTTCAGCTTCGAGGTGTCGTCGCGCCTCCTGCTGGCGCCCAGTACGCGCAACTTCTTCTGCCACCCGCTCAACCTCATCGACATTGTGTCTGTGCTGCCCTTCTATCTCACGCTGCTGGCTGGTGTGGCACTGGGCGACCAGGGCGGCAAGGAGTTCGGCCACCTGGGCAAGGTGGTGCAGGTGTTCCGCCTCATGCGCATCTTCCGCGTACTCAAGTTGGCGCGCCATTCCACCGGGCTGCGCTCGCTGGGAGCCACGCTCAAGGTACGGCCTCTGAGGCCAGGTTGGAGCTGGGGTGGGCGGGTGTAGCCATCCGGCAGGTTAGCAGGTGAACTTACAAGCCTGCCGAGTCCAGGCTTAACGTTCAACTGAGATGCCGTCCTTTGTGCCAGGCACAGGGCTGCACACCAGGTGTACGTTTCACATGCAGTGTGACTATCCCAACAGCCCTGTGAAGAAGGGCTTACCGTTATCTCTTTTTCCTGGGGAGAAAACTGGGGCATAGCTTTGCTTGTCTTTCTTTTTCAAAACGAAGAAAAAAGACAAAGATCACTTTTGATATATCTATCAAACATCAAATTATATATATCACAAAGATGCGCAAAGCAGGATGCTAACTGGCTTTCTGCTAGAGCCTTTCTTCTGGCACTATCAGGGGGCTCTGATAACCATAGGTCACTCTTAATAGGTAAAGTCTAGGAATAGCCCCAGGAGCTAACACTTACTGAGCACTAAATCTGTGCCAATTTCACATCCATTATCAATTTAGTCCTTAGGAGAACTTCCTCAGGAAGATGCTATTATTTATTCTCTTCCCGTAGATGAAGAAGCTGAGGTTGAAGGGTTGGCTCTGTAAAGCCTGGTTGCAGTTTACTGAGCATCCTCCTTGTGCCAGGTGCTGCATTGTGGGTGAATCACTGCCCTGGCAAGCTTGCACTCAAGGGGGGTGAAATTAGCATGGTTTGAAGAGGGAGGCAAGGCGAACGGCGTGTGCCGAGGCCTGGAGAGAGAACAGGATGAATGCTGGGAGGAGGACATGGAGGGAAGGAGATTCCCAGAGATGAAATTGAAGAGTCGAGCGGGGCAGGGCACCGAAGGGTCATGAAGTCTTGGCACATGATTTTGGACTTGGTCCCGAGGGTATAGGAGAGCTCGTGAGAGGTTTAAACAGAGGTAAGGGTTATTGTCACTGCTTTGCAGAGGTGGAAACTGAGGCTCCCAGAGGTGACAGTGCTTGTTGGAGGTTCCTCAATAAGCAGTAGAACCCAGAGAAGAACCCACCTGTGCCTGGCTCCAGCACCTCATGTTCTTTCTCCTAAAGCTCCATGCGACCCTACTGATAATCCCCAGACAATGCTAAAAGAAAGATCCCTTCCACCCATGGCTTAGTAAAGCCTCTTGTATGCCCTCAGGATACTGGGTGCTGGCAGATGACCTAGGCAGAATCCTAGGGCAGTGGGCAGGTATAAGGAATTACATTCAGCAGACCCCCTGAGCTCAGCATCTCCCCAGGGAAGATCCCTGTGCCCCAGAACGCTGCCCTGTCCCCTCCATGCAGAGAGCCAGGGCCTGACACTACTAGCTTTGTCTTCAGTAGGGGAGAAGAGTATTACTAATCAGAGCTGCCAGGGTCTAAGATGCAGGTGTAATATACTCCAGATGAGAGCCTTGCTACTCAAAGTGAGGCCCCTGACCACCAGCAGCTTTCTCATCACTTGGAAGCTTTCTAGACATGTAGATTCTCTGGCTCTACCCAAGACTATGCGATTGCGTTCTGCCAAGACCCCTGCATGATTCCTGCACGCATTAAAGTTGGAGAGACTCTGCTTTAGACTAGGGGTTCTCAGCCTCGCATTACTGACATTTGGGACCAGGTAATTCTTTGATGTGGGAGCTGCCCTGTACATTTTAGGATGTTTAGCAGTATCCCTGGCCTTTACCCACTAGAGGGCAGTAGCACACCTGTCCCAGTTGCAACAACCAAAAATGTCTCTAGACGTTCCCAAATGTCCCTTGCGGGGTGGAGGCGGGGAGGTGGTGGGCAAAACCACCCTGTTTGAGAATCACTGCCCTAGAGCTTGGCCTCAGGGACAAAGCAAACATACACAGCCATAGGAAAGTGAATTCTGTGGGTGGTCCAGGGGACTTATGTCCTCTCAGCTTCCTGGAGGAGCAAAAAATATTTTTATACTTTTCAGACCAGTCAAAAGTACATGAAACCAACTCTTTGCATTGTGGAATATAAACTATGGTTCTCTTGGTTCTGCAACAGTGTAAAAATCACAAGCTCTTCATTCCCTGGCTGTGGTGCCACCAGTAACCCCGGAGTTGGAAAAAACAGCTGTAGCCTAGCAGATACCTTGGACAATAGAACTTAGGCCTGTGCGCAATACCAGGGGGTTTTGCTGCCAACTGTAGTTGAAAGGTCTTAGTTTAAAGTCAGGGGACCTGGGCCTTAGCACCAGCTCTATCTTGCTGACTTTGGACCTGTCCTTTATACTCTCTGGGCCTCAGTTTCCCCATATGCCTAATACCAGGACTGTAAGCCCATCCACTCTGACTTGGCTTTCTACATTCTCTTTCAGCACAGCTACCGTGAGGTGGGCATCTTGCTGCTGTACCTGGCTGTGGGTGTGTCAGTGTTCTCTGGTGTGGCCTACACAGCTGAAAAGGAGGAGGACGTGGGCTTTAACACCATCCCAGCCTGCTGGTGGTGGGGCACAGTGAGCATGACCACCGTGGGCTATGGGGATGTGGTGCCAGTGACGGTGGCTGGCAAGCTGGCAGCCTCAGGCTGCATCCTAGGGGGCATCCTGGTGGTAGCACTCCCCATCACCATCATCTTCAACAAGTTCTCCCACTTCTACCGGCGCCAGAAGGCTCTGGAGGCAGCCGTGCGCAACAGCAACCACCAAGAGTTTGAGGACTTGCTGAGCAGCATTGATGGGGTGTCGGAGGCATCTCTGGAGACATCCCGAGAAACCTCTCAGGAGGGACAGTCTGCAGATCTAGAGAGCCAGGCCCCCAGTGAGCCTCCACACCCTCAGATGTATTAAAACCAGGGATCCGTGACCCCCTGCCATGCCCCTACAGTAGAGATTCCTCCCCTGCTAAAGTTCTTCATGGTAGTGAGCCTCCCAGGATCACTCATGCTGTCCTGAGAAATGAGATTCAAAAGCTGCATTCCTTCCTCCAAAGGCCCAGGACAGGACAGTGCTACCCTAGATTCTGTGAGATTCTGCAAGCAACTCAGAAAGCTTTATAAACCTGCCTCCAAGCCATTCATGAAGCAGGCATGAGCCAGAGGGAGGAAGTTGAAAGGATACTAATGATTCCTGAGCACCTCCTGTACATGAACCAGGTCATGTTTGGCCTTGTGTTGGAGAAAGAGAATTATCCCCACTTCACAGATGAGGAAACCAAGGCTAAGAGATGAGCGATGCCTCTCCCAGATGTCACAATTAGAAGTGGCAGAGTCAGGTTTGGAATCTGGGCTTGTTGGTGTGCCTGGAGCAATGCTCCATCAACTCCATCTTTCTTCTGCCCTCATGAAGTTTGCGTGTGTTTTTTGGTGATTCATGGATCCCCAGAGTTGATCCACAAGATAAGAAATCCCTTTCAGAGCCAGGGAAGGGTCCAGACAGGAGATTTGGATATAGGAGCTCTGGATCTCAGCTGTGGTTCCTTTCTAGGAGCATCCAACAGGAGTCAGCAATCAAAGATGAGTCCTGGAGGGAAGGAGGATGAGTCCTGGGAGGAAGTACCATAGCATTGTACTTGCCTCTTTAGCTGGTATGCAAGATTTGCTAAGCAATAATCTTCCGACCTTCCTCCCAGGGCTGATGTGAGAGAAAGAAAATCTGAAGGGCCCCTGGCCTGAGATCTAGACAACCTAGCTGCGCCAAGACCTGCTGTGTAAAGTGGTCCAATCCCTGCCCCCAAGTCCAGATTCCAGCCCCTCTGTCAAATGGTCAGAATCTGTGACCCAGAGGGCAATGAAAGCCAAGGAGAGCAGAGGGGTCTCTAACTTAAAGCCAGCTCAGCTCTGAAATGTTCAGAGGGCTGACATATATGAATACTGGCTTCTAAGACCCTCCCCCAACAGTCTGACCTTGGCAGTTCCTTTCTGCCCATCACACAGACGTCCAGCCCTACATTGTCCAGCCCTACCTAGAGTACCCATCCAGGCCCATGTGTGAGAGTCCTCTCCCTTCTGGCCAGCTCCAGCCCCCTCACCCTTGCTGGGGGCATATCTCTCATACCCACCTGCTGAATCTTCTCTTCACTTGCTGAGAAAGTCAGAGGAGGGGATCCAGTAGCCCTTTCCACATACTGTGGCTACAGCACCCAGCACTGTGCTGTTGTTGTCTGACTGTGGCTATCTCTGTCCCATCACCCTGAGCCTCAAGATGGAAGACATTGTCTGCTTGAACTCTGGGCTTGGTGCAGAGTAGGTATTTGGTAAATGTTGAATAGATCAACCAATTCCTACAGCCCACTGGGTGCCAAGCTCAGAGGGGGAAAAAAAGATAGCCAGAGAGAGACCTGGCCCTCAAAAAGGTGTGAACAAGACTGAAAAGGAGGTCCGTTCAGCTCCGCCTGCCCTGTCCCTGCTTGGTTCTTGAAGTTTTTACAATATATTCCTTGTAGGTTCTTCACTCACTCACTCAACAAATACCCGTTGGAAGAGTCTTAAACTGGGGCTTCATGTGTGGCCTGCAGTCATGTTTCGGCTTAGTCCAACAGTGTTTTTATTATATTTTAAGAATCTGAATGCCTTTGCGTGAGGCATGCACTCTCAGGTTCCCCATAGTGTCTCCCCCGCTGCCACCCACAAACAGACACACATGCCGTTGTGTTATGCCCAGCCACTCTGATATACTGGCTTCTGACTTATGGGCTGCTTACTAGTCTCAAGAGATACAGTGGTGGAAAAATATATCCCTATACTCATGAAGCTTACCGACTAGTAGGGAAGATAGACTCTAATGCAATAATCACATAAATATAGCGAGCTCTACTAAGTACAGGTGTGTATAATGTATCAGGGACCATGGCCCGAGAAAGTGAGAAGGCTTTCCTGAGCAAGTGACAATCTAACCTGCCATCCAAATGATAAATTGCTAATTAAGCAAATGAGGTTCCAGGGGGGAGTACTCCAAGCAGAGAGAATGGCATGTGTGAAGGTGTGTGTCATACACAGGGCCTAGTACATAGTGGGCCCCCTACATACGCATGGATTCTGGGTCTCCAGATTGGAACAGAGGATGGAGCTAAGCAGCAAAGGGCCTCCCTTGAATTCACCACACACATACCAGCCCTTCTGCACACTCTGCTCCTTACATCTAGGCCCAGCTGAACCCAGGTTAGGGGCAGATCAGAAGGGCTGCGTGTAGCACCCTTATGGTCTTGCAGAACACACCAAGAAACCCGACGGCTTCCATATTTTCTGACCCTACAAACAGGTCCCTAATACTGATGTGGAGAAAGCTCAAGAGGGAATCATCTGGCCTGAGCCTACCATGAGGCTGTTTGTGGTCCTGGCAGAAAAGCAACAACTCGCTCCCCTTCCCATGTATCAGTGAAAACCATTATGCAAATAAAGAGCTGGGCCCCAGGACGTGTTTCTGCTTGTATGGAGATGGCTCCCTGACATGCTGTCTGAGTGATTGGAGAGGGTGGGCAATATGTGGAATGACTTGGAATCCACATTCTCAGGCTCCAGTCCTGGATTTGGCACAAACTTTGTGGTTGTGCCAGCCAGAACAGGTTGCAAGTGACAGGAATTCAGTTGGAACAAACTTGGTCAAAAAGGGTAATTTATAAAATAATTAAAGTGATGAATGACTGTTAACAATTAGAGTTTGAGGGTATAAGCAACAAACTGACATCAAGCAAAAAATGAATTTATTGGAAGATATATTAGTTTCCAGCAGCTGCTGTAACAAATTCAAACAAACTTGATGGCTTAAAACAGTAGAAGTGTATTCTCTGACAGTTCTGGAGGCCAGAAATCCAAAATCAAGATGTCAGCAGGGCCACCCTCCCTCTGGAGACTCCAGGGGGAAACCCTCTCCTTTTCTCTTCTAGTTTGTGGTGGCTGCCACCATTCTTGGCTTTCCTTGGCTGTGGCTGCATCACTCAAGTCTCTGCCTCTGATCTCACTTCAGTGTCTGTGTATGTCAAGTCTTCCAGTGCCTCTGTCTTACAAGGACACTTTTGATGACATTTAGGCCCACCAGGATAATCCAAGATGACCTCATCTCAGGATCCTTAACTTAACCACATTTGCAAAAAGACCCTTTCCCAAATAAGGTAATAGTTACGGGTTCCAGAGATTAAAATATGGACAGGTGTTTGGGGCCACCATCTGGCCCACTACAGAAGGGTATCTGTGAAATTCACCCGACCAAAGGAAGAGCTGACTGACGAGGCCTCAGGAAATACAGGAATGAGGGGAGCTCTAGGGACCTCAGTAGCAAGACTCATGAACCTTCTGTTTAAGACACTGCTACCCACATGATCTGCCTCCAGTCAACTTCCTTCCCTGTATCATCCTGCTCACAGTTCCAATCCCAGGAGAGAGTCTGATTTCACTTGAGTCATATGCCTCTCTCTTGGGAGGGATGGAGGGCAAGGTACCGTATTAGTATTTGCGGCAGTTGGAGGAAAGGTACTTACCCAAATAAAAGACCACCTATTGTCACCAAAAGAAAGGCAAAAGTTATTGATAAGCAAAAATAGCATACCATACACTCCCATCCTTTTCCCATACACACGATTTATGCATGTTTCTAACATAAGGAAACTCTCTTATATATAACCAACATATACCGATCTCCCCAAAGGAAAGACACCCTATGGGGCATATCCTGTTCATGAATCCAGCTATAAGTTCATTCTTCCACTGGTACCACTAATTCTGTCTCAATATCCTGTAATATAAGGAATAAATGGTAAATGTAACTGCCACCAGCATACCCTATATGATACTAGAGGAAAGGAAAAGAAAAACACAGCAAGGAGGAAAAGAGGCCATTGCTATGTCTTCATTTCTGTAATGGTCATAAGGCTGCTGCTGGCATTTATAACATCCCTTCTCTGTGAGCCATGTCATGCCCCCTGCCTTTGGCCAGCACTTTAGTTGGTTGGGATTCTTTTTTTGATGGGGTAACCTAAACCTTTATTCCTAGCGAATCTGAGCACTTGTTAGTCCTGCTGGCATGTGAAGATTCCCCAAGGAATTCCATGGAGTTACTTGCATTCCTTTCTGCCTACTTTGTGTAGCAGTAACCATATTTCCCCTTGACAGGGTGGTTGATTACCCTAATCAAGACTGTAACTCCCTTTATACACACATAGGGAAAAGAAAAGCTCCGAAAGTCCAGGTGACAGGCTCAGTCTCCGATTCAGGGTATTCTTCCTTGAGTACCAAAGAAGTATTCTTCCCTTGGGTACCAAAATCTCTTAAGTCAGCAGAGCTCAGAGTCATAGGATAGGAAGCAATAGATTTGCAAGTGGGTCATTGGGTTTAATCAGAAAACATGCAACTTGATTGAAAGCAAACTTCTCATGCAATCAACTTACATCATTAGGGTCTACGTGAGCCAAATCCCATGTACCCATGGATACACTTGATGATGGAGTCCTTACTAGGCATGCTTGACTTTCTATCTGGATGGATGATATCGTAGTTTGTCACGTTGGGTCATCAGATTACCTGATATCCCATAGTTAGGCCTTCATTCACCATCAAAGCCCAGTAGCAAGCCAGGATCTGATAGCGGTAGAAGCAACAAAATCCAAATTAACACTGTACTTCTTTTGTGGTGATAGAAGTACTACACATATGTCCAGGGTACTGGACACTCTAAGAAACTTCACTGAGATGCACTGGATTTATCTCCCACCTTGTAAAAGGTGTGTCTTACCTACAGAGCTGAAGTGTCTGCTCCTTTGTGCTCTCCAGGCCCTGTTAATGTGATTTAGTCAACTGATTTAGTCAAAATTAGTTTGCTGTCTTTTAGAATAGGGATATTCGGGGAATCAAGGCCTTCCTGTTACAGAGCTGGAGAACAGAGGTATGCCTGAGTTAGAACAGTAAATGAAAACTCTTATCCCTTCTAGGTAATAGCAAAATGCTTCCAGTGGTTTCTGTTCCTCAGAGTAGAGAGTGAAACTAGTAGATGCATGACTCCAGGGACTGTAATGATGAGCATATATCTAACACAACAGTTAAAAATGGAATTATCACCTGACTAAAGTAATCCACTGTCATTTTCCAAGACCCATCTAATTTTGCACCTACCAGAGGAAATTAATGGTGTTTTGATTGGAGTCATCAGCCTGCAAGGTCTTTGGTAGAAACACTAATCTCTGCAGCCTCCCCTAAAGATATGTTACTATCGTTGACTTTTCTATTTTGAAACAGTTGTTCAGTTGTATTCTATTGGCCTTTTATATCACAATGGCCCTCACTTCATGGGTCAGAGAGCCAATATGGGGATCTTTTCCAACTATCTCTCCGAAACTGCTGATATAGAATAGTTTTGGAATTCCATTAGGCCTCCAGTGGCATGGACAAAAGCCAAAACACTTTTTCACATGATAGATGGACCTACAGTGGTACTCTTGAACCCAAGAAACTGGTATTAGCTCGAAGTCTTCATCAAGGTTCCCTGAATGGTGTATTTCCCTTTCCCCAGTATCCATTTACCTTGGGAAATGGCCACAGATCCTTTTGGAGAAGGCAAGAGAAATATTCACATTACACTCATGCAATATAGCAGAGTCCTTCCTCAAAGGTGAGTAGCATATCCTTCAATCAAAGGGCTTTAGATCAATAAACGCAAGCCCAGTGTTACACAGTGGCTCAAGTCGTGACTTTTTTTTTTTTTGCCAGAACTAGAGGGTGTTTTTGGTTTCCATTTTGCTTTGTTTCTTATGTTTTGCTGGTTAAACAAATCAAGTAAGACTTTAGTGGGTTGCCTTTAACTTTTTAGGGCCCTACACTGTGGCAGTGTGCCACGGTTACTACTTGAGACCATCATTACGACAGCTTACTACTGTTACTGCCTGAGACCGTCATTACAAGACTGAATGAAGGGACGAACATAGAAATGAAAACTTAAGACAAAAGAAACTATTTTAAAGGAAGGGGCCGGGGAAGAAGAAGAGAGCTCCCCGCTTCTAGTGAGCAAAGGCAGCCCCCAAGCTTCCACAGTCCTTCCTATTTATTGGGTAACAAGAGCAGGGAGGAGGAGGTAATGATTGGTCAGCTGCTTAACTGATCACAGGTTCATATTGTTACTAACAGGCTTCAGATGTACCTAATCACAAGAAACACTATGCTTGGGACGTGACTGCCCTCAGCATTCCTGCCGGGTGGCAGATGCAGTTCGTCGGTTTGCCAACATTCTGCATTTATGAGAAACAGTTTGCTGCTTACTCATATAGCCTCCAGTAGTATATGGAGTTGATCACGACCCTCATCATTTCGGCCTGTAACACTACACCATGAGTTCTTGCCTCATACAGAGCCTACTGAATATTCCAGTGATCACTCCCACTTCATTTCTGAGGATGAAGTGCCAACGCCTGGCCTCCCACATCTCTGCATTCTTCTTCCCCTCTGAATCAGGCAACCTATTTCAAATTGCAGCCCCTCCACCCAGCATTCTTGACTTTCCTCAAAGCAAGGGTAAAGTGTGAGGGCTACAGTTAGAGGTATTTGTGGGAAGGAGGCACAAAATAGATCCAATCCAGCCTCCTGTCTTTCAGAAATCTTTGAATCTCTTCTTCTACATGATGCCAAGGGATTTGGGGCCCTTAAGTTCCATTTCACGTGGGCCAGCATTTGTTTTAAGTTTGCATTAGCCAACTCATCACATTGTTAGAGCCTTGCCAGCTCCTGGAGCTAGCACAGAGAATGCCAAATAATCCCTGGCAAGTGAAACCATATCAAGAAGATCAGCCTGAGCCAAGATTACATTCCCCCTTCCTTGATAAAGCACCACAAAAATCCATTTCCACAGATACTTCCCCAAATTTTTGATGGTGTCAGTTAACAAGTTTCTTCAATTCTGTATGGGTCCAGGATTTTTACCTACTGTGTCTACTTGTCATGCTCTAGGCCAAACTGATCCCCACCTTCCAGCTAAGTAGCCTTGAGGGATGGGGCAAGCAGAAAATTGTGAGCTTTCTCCTCTAAGAAAAGGTGTGAATTGTTTGCACCCAGTGTTTTAGAGAGCTTTCAGTTTTCTCCCACATCCTCTCATATGATCATTCCACTTGTCATAATCCCACTGCCTATTAATGCCTAACTTCACAAAGTGCAGCAGGGCTGTGAATTCAGCAGCCTGCATCATCAATTGCCAACTTTGGTATTTGGAGAACTAGGCCCTACTGCAAGTCATAAGAGAGTCTTTTACCGTAGTCATAGAAATGCTGTCCGTTCATTCTGTTTATGAATTTTTTTTATGTTAAAAAAAAAGGCATTGGGGCTTCCTTTGTTGACTCTCCCTTTATATTAATCTATGTGGTTAGAAACAAAATACTCTATCACACAGCCTGAACACTCCTCACTTCCTTAAAATTAACTGTGACACGTGTTATCCCTTCTCTGAGAGCCTCCTCAGTGGTCAGATGCTATGAAGTAATGTAAGACATAGGTCTTTACCATTGCAGACCATTGCTGGCTTCCCAGACTAGAGCATGAGCAACAACCTCATTGTATTTTGCCCCATCACAGTCTTAGGAAATATCCCACATTTCCTAGAGGATATGGTGTCTACAACTCAACTCTAGTTCCAATTTCTGTATCAGTTAGGAATTTTTGGTTGCAAACAACAGAATCCAACTCTGGAAAACTTAAGCCAAAAAAGGACTGCATTGGAAAGGTACTGGATAGGATCAAAGTCAAATTAAACAACAAGGCTTTGAGAAAGACAGCAATTCGAGCAACATAGGGATTGAGGTAGGTAAAACTCATAAATCACCTCTTTGGGGCACTACAATTAAAATAGCTTAGTGACAACTGCCTCCATTGTATAAATCACTCTGCTCAAGCTAAAAAATTCTCTGAAGATTGAGTCTAACTAGACTGGTTTGGGTCATATGCTCATCACATGATTTCGGGGTGAGATGGGAGGAACTATCACAGACAGTCCCACCAGGACATAGATGGCAGAGGGGTAGCTCCCTGAAGGAAGATGAGGGTCCTTTCATTAAAATGAGGGGAAAGGATCCAGGGGAGACAAAACCAACACATATCTTTTACAATACCACTGAGTGAGAATGGCAGCCAGGCAGCTTGGTTTCAGCAACGACGAAATCAAGAATGAGAGAGAGAGACAGAGAAACAGATAGACAGACGGAGAAATTGGTTTCTGCATCACATGGTAGATAACAGGGTTACCAACATCTCCCAGTTTGGTATCTTGTAGCGCCTCCACTAGAGAACTTCCCATTTCCAGTTTGAAAAATCTGATTGGCCCAGAGATTGGTCACCTTGGGTGAGATGACTGGATCACTCAACTGTGGCGAAGGGGTTGGATCATGTGAACCTATGGCTGGGGTAGGAGTCAAGCAGTTCCCAGAAGAGGGAGTACAGGACGGATCTCATAGTAATCCCTTGCAGTCTTGCTCTCTTGGTCTTCAGTTTCAACTTCTGTAAAATGGAAGGATAATGTCCAGAGATGTTAGGGAGCAACTGGGGGCATGTGGGACAGCTCAGCACATCTGGGCTCTGAGATGTGATGTGCTTGTTGTTAATGATAAACAAACTGAGTTTCCCCCTCTTTGCAGTGACCTCAAGGTGGCGACTTCCCTTGTGAGTGAGACATAATATTCCTTAGGGATTATCAGATTGAAGATCTGCCCCCTCTCCAGCCCCATTTTACAGATCAGAAAAGAGAGACCCAGAAGTCCAAGGTCAGACAAGAAGCAAATCCCATTCCTCAATCCCTTTGAGTAAGAAGAGCTGTTCAGCTCAAATAAGGGCCAAGCAGGGTGTTTACACTGGGACATCAGAGTGGAAGACTCCAGTTGACTTATATGGTACTCTTTGAAGCCCCCAAGAGTGAAGATAGCCTAGCAAATAATAGTCATCCTCCACATATCCTTGTCACTGTAATTTGCAAAGTGGTTTCACATACATTATCTCATATACTTCTCACAACAACTCCACAAGACAACAGCAACAACAATAAAATAGTAGTATCACCACTGAACAGATGAAAAAACCAAGATCCATGGTCAGACAGTTAAAAAGTAGCAGATCAGGGATTCAAACTCAGGCTTTTTAATACCAGATTGTACTCACTCAGCACCACTTCCCACTATTATCACTTTGTCTGGTAAACTTAACTCCCCAGGCACCACTGAAGGAAGTGGCTTTGAAGTGTGCGTCCTATAATGAGTTTCTTCTATCTGAAGGCTCTGGAAACAGCCCTGAGGTGCTGGCTGGGATGGTCCTCAATACCAGACCTCATACTTCAGGCCAGTCCGGCCCTGCCTGTGTGGAAAGAATTCTCCAGGAAGTTAGTAAGTTGAGAAGATAATCTTCTAAGACAGGAGTCTTTGAGAAGGAAGGGGAGGGGGTGGCACAGGGAATGTCTTTCAGAATCCTGTCTGCTAGAAAGGAAGAAAAGGACAAGGGCAGTTGTAGACTGGTATTTAACCTTGCTCAGAAGGGTAGAGTTCAGAACCCTCAAGAAATTCATTCATTCAAGAGGAAGAATTGCACACACCTTGGTTTTTGAAGTCACATCTGGGTTCAAATATTGGCCCTGCCACTCATCAGTGTGTGACCCTAGATTGGACCTGTTGACCTCTAAGGGGTATTATTATCAGGACCAACCCCCAACTGGTATCCAACCCCCACCCCACCTCCCTGCCATCTTTTCCTACATACCTAGATCAATAAGGAATCTTTCAGGTACAAGTGAAAGAGACCCAACAAAGTGACTTAAGTACAGGTGGATCCAGAGGTTCCACTGAAGTCATCTTGTCATTTTTCCCTGCTTCTCTCTCTGCTCTGTGTTTCTGTGTTGGCTTCAGACAGTGAGTTATTTACAATATTTGAATAAAATGGGAGAATATGAGGGATGCCATGCGATGCAGAGGAAAGAATGTGGTTAAGTCCAGCAAGTTGGGCTTGAATCTGCTTCTTATGAGGTGTGTGATCTTGGTTGGGTTTCTTTGTCTCTCTGAGCCTGTTTCTTCACTTATCTTGGTTTAATAACACCTACACCTCAGAGCGTTATGGGCAAGTTCAAGTAAGATAATATGTATGAAAATGCCTGGCACAAGGTTAAATATTAAAGAAGCCCAAAAAATGCAAAGCAAGGAAATAGAGCTCAGCAGCCTCTACCAGGGCTCTTGTTTTCCTCTGGAGGGCAAAGCAACTCCAAGCAGAGGGCACTGGGAAAGGAAGGGGTTTGCTTATCTAGAGATCACAACCTGGACTCACACTTGAGGCCATAGTTGGGGTCCTGGAGTGAACACTGGAGTCAAGAAGCCTAAGTTTGAATCCAGACTTGACACTGCCAAGTCTTGGGCCTCTGTTGGATCATTCATCAGAACAAGATGTGGCTGGGATAAATGCTCATGGGCTAAGAGTAACCACCCCTTACATCTGCAGAGGCCTAGGTAGTTTCCAAGGGGCCTTCCCATCCATGGTCTTGGAAGCTTCTAAAAGAGCCCAGTGGAGTAGAAGGCAAAAAGTCTTGTTTATTCAAGTATAAAATACATATGGGAAAAAAAAGCACAGATCCTAAGAGTTCACATTGATAAATTTTCTCATCATGAACACACTTGTGTAACAAGCACTCAAAGAATTAGAACCTGAGTAGCACTGTAGTCCCTCCTCATACTCACATCCAGTCACTACCCCACAACCAACAAAGGCAATCGTTGCCCTGACTTTTAACATCATAGAGTAGGTTTCCTTGGTTCTGAACTGTATATAAAAAGAATTGCACAGTATGTACTAGTTTGTATCTGGATTTTTTATTGTGGCAAAATACATATAGAATTTACCATTTCAACCATTTTTAAGTGTAAAGTTCTGTGGCATTAAGTACACTCACATTGTTGTAAGAACATCTGTCTCCAGAGCTTTTTCATCTTCCTCAACTGAAACTCTGGGCCCATTAAACACTAACTCCCCATCCCTCTCTCCCTCCCTCTGCCAACCACCATTCTACTTTGTCTCTATGAAGAGACCTTGCTACTCTAGGTACCTTATGTAAGTCCAATCATGTATTTGTCCTTTTGTGACTGGTTTATTTCACTTAGCATAATGTCCTCAAGGTTCATCCATGTTGCAGCATGTGTCAGAATTTCCTCCTCCTGAAGGCTGAATAATATTTCATTGTATGTGTAGGCCCTATTTTGTTTATTCATTCATCCATCGATGGATGTGTCTAGCTTCATTTAAATGTTTGAGAGATACAGCCATATTGTTGCATGTAGTGAGAGACTGAATGTACAAATGGACAATCCCAGAATATATATATAAATAGAACTTTGACCCACAACCTGCAGTAACCTGCCCAGGAAACCAACCCCATATCTACAATAAATAGCCCAGGTTGCCAGCCTGCTATAAGTCAGACTTGCAGGAAGACAGATTGCTATCTCCAGTGGCAATCCAGGAAGCTAAACAATAACTTCTGTAACAATCAAGCCAAAATGGTCAGGACTTGATTAATAACTGACAGCTTCCCCAATTTTTGTCCCCACTTCCAACTTAGGATCAAACAGAGAAACCAAATATGCACCCCTAAATCAATCACATAGGATGTCCTGCTTCAAGTTAGCCCACCTACAGCTTTCCCATGCCAACAGCTTCCAACAGGGCATCCCTGAAGCCTTCCTTTTTTTTCTACTTTCCCATTCCTTTGCCTGCCTTTGAGTCTCTGCCAAAATGCAAGTAACAGTGGCTGACTTCTTTGCTGTAGCAAGCTCACAATACCCTTTTGCTTATTTCCACAGTAGCTATAGGTAGCTCATTCTCGTTGTATAGTATTCCACTATGCGAATCTACGTAATTTATTTATGCTGCCACTGGGCATCCAGATGGTTTCCAGTTTGGCAAAATTATAAATAATGCCATTATGAATGTTCTAGTATATGTCTTGTGGTAAAAAGGCATACACACTTCTGTTGAGAAAATACCTAGGGAAGGAATGCTAGGTCATGGGTATATTCACCAGTACTCGAGTTCCAGTTGCTCCATATCGTCACCAATACCTAGCATTTCTATTTCTTCCATTTTAGTTATTATGGTGGGTACACGGTAGTAATGCATTAAGGTTTTAATCTGTGCAGTTGTCCCTTGGTATCTGTGGTGAATTGGTTCCAGGAACTCTGATGGATACCAAAATCTGCATGCAGATGCTCAAGTCCTTGATATGAAATGTCCTAGTATTTGCATATAACCTATGCACATCCTCCTGTATAATTTAAATCATTTCTAGATTACTTATACCTAATACAATGCTACACAAAATGCCTAATGTAAATGCTATGCAAATTACTGTTATACTGTATTGTTTAAGGAAGAAAGACAGACACAATTTTTTTTTCTTTTCTGAGATGGAGTCTCGCTCTGTCACCCAGGCTGGAGTGCAGTGGCACAATCTCGGCTCACTGCAACTGCTGCTTCTTGGGTCCAAGCGATTCTCCTGCCTCGGCCTCCCGAGTAGCTGGGATTACAGGCCTGCCACCATGCCCAGCTAATTTTTGTATTTTTAGTAGAGACAGGGTCTCACCATGTTGGCCAAGCTGGCCTTGAACTCCTGACCTCAAATGAGTTCTTGGCCTCCCAAAGTGAGATTACAGGCGTGAGCCACTGTGCTGGGCCATTTTTTTTTTCTAATATTTTTGATCCATGGTTGGTTGATGTAGAACCCATGGATACGGAGGGCTGACTGTATTTTCCTGATGACTAAAGTTGAGCACTATTTCATGAAGGCATAGTTTCAAAATGCATAAATCTATCATGCCAGTTCCTTGCTTAAAACCCTTTGACGGCTCTCCATCTCATCAGGAATAACACCCAAACCCCTTCCCATGGACCACAAGGCCCTGAACATTCTTGCCTTCACCCACCTTGTACACACTGTTCCAGCCATGGAAGAATCCTTCCATTCTTCCAACAAGCCAAACTTTTGTTTTTATCTCAGGGTCTTTGTTCTTGCTGTCCCCTCAGCCTGGCTGGTTCCTTCTTGTCATGCAGTTCTCATTATAAACATCGTTTCTCCAGAAGCATCGTTTATCATTCTATATAAAGCCATCTCTCCCTACACATACACAGATGTGCATGCACACACATGCACACGTTACTCTCAATCCCATTACCCTGTTCTTTTCTTTTTGCTGTACTTCATCATTCTCTGAAATTACCATGTGTTTACATGTTACATAGACTTTCTGTGAAAACAACAGCTACAGATCTAAACCAATCTTGAGTGAGTGACTCAAAAATCACAAGCATCGCTGTCACTGATGATGTGGTTTTCTGAAATGGAGAACAACTCTTAGTAAAGGTCCAAACAAAACAAACTACAAGTGTCTCTCCATTCTTCATAGTTCATTCTTAAAAAAAACAAAACAGTAAAACCATATAAAAAGTACTTTGTGTTTACATGTAAATGAACTTTGGTTTAGTATCACGTTTATAAACAAAATTTTCACCAAAATTAATAACCAGTGGAACATCTGAATGTTGTGTTGGACACCGGACAGATGTTTGTTATGCAGGACTGTCCCAGAATGCACTGCAGAGCATCTAGCAAACCTGCCCCTGCCCATTAAATGCTGGTAAGGCTCCTCAATCACTATCACCACAAAAACACTCTCATACATTTCCAAAACACCCCCTGGTGGGCAGTACTGCACACTGTAAAAGTCCATATGTCTATAGAAAGGGTACACTATCATTTACCTAAGAGTGTGTGTGAGAAGACAAATGAAGTCATCTAAACGGCTCTGCATTGTGCCTGGCAGATAATAAGTGCTTAATAAATATAAACTTACTTCATCCTTCCTTCTTTCCTTCATCTGGCCATAGGTTCTCAGTGTGATCAATAAGGAACATCTGTCATCAACCCTGGCTACAGGAAGGAAGGTACACTAAATATTTCAAGGAGTGAGGTGAGTAAGTTAGGGAACAATAAACGCACTTATCACCCCACTCCAAGAAAGGCCCACAGAATAACATGACAGTTATATACACAGACTGTGGAACTATTCTATTAAATACTGTAGAGCAATTTCACTCAAGAGAACTACACTTACTTTTCAATGTAACTCTATTCCCTCTCTGCCGTGGGGTCAACTTTTAAGGCTGAAAAAAAAACCTAGGGTCAGGCTGGAGAACTATTCCTGGATAAGAATGGGCCACACCAGGGCAGGAACCTGCTGTTCCACCTCTGAATGCTGGGCCACGTCTGGCCTGGCTTCGTGCAGCAGCAGATGAGGATGAAGGATTCCAAGGTGATCATCTCACACTAGAGGCTTTATACAGGCGGGCTCTTCTGTCCAGGATGTCTTCTCTCCCTCACTTCCTACTCTTTATTAATCTAGCCATCTCTTCTTCATTTTTAAAGTTTCAAGGTATATTGTCTCCTCTAGAAGAGTTTCCTTGGACATCCCAGCAGAACCGTCACTCCCTCTTCTGTGTATCCACAGGCCCTGTACCTTCTTCTACCATGGTATGTTCAATGTTGTGTGTTTTTGTGCTTGGCTAACTCCCCAAATGCCCTGCAAAAACTGTATCTGGTTCATCTTTATTATATTCCTGATAACTAGCTCAGTACCCTGGCACATAATAGAAGCCCAACAAAAGTTTACCAACCTCTCCCCAGCTTTGGATCTTAGAATAAACACACCACTGAGTCAATGTCACAAAGATTGTTCACAACACCATTATCCAGGCTATATATTGAGGTTCTCGTTAATAAGGGTTTGTGGTCCAAAGGACAGTTTATTTAAAACAAACGTGATGAGGTATAGGAAGAAGAAAAGAAGGAGAACAACAATTCTAACATAAAAACACAGGAAGCATCTCAAACTTAAAAAAGAAAAAAGGAGTGGGGGCAATGGAGGAAGCTATGTCTCATACAAACTGCTGACCTCAATTGATTACTTACATCCAAACCTTACAAAATAGCATTTCAAGTCAGCACTTAAGCCAGTGTTATTAGATTTTCTTACAAAAAGTTAAAGCTACAAACTTCACATTTTTAAACTGTACATAGCAAAAACATTTAAGCTTTTTTTTTTCCAAGTTGGTCCGAGTGCAAGCTGGTAAAAGAGATTTTTTTTCCAAACACAAACAAGAACATGTATTCCAAAGACAATGAATATAATACTGATAAAAACACAAACATAGTGCTTAAGAAAAGATGGGGTGAGGTGGAGATGTAGATTGGGCAGGAACAATTTTCTAGTAAATAAGGAGCTGCAATCTTTAGAGGCAACATGGTATGCTAGAAAGGACACTGGAATAAGAATCAGAAGACCTGGATCTGAATCATGGCTCTGCCATATTCTAGCCACATGACCTTGAGCAATAGACTTTACTTCTCTGAGCCTCAATTTTCACATCTGTAAAATGAGGATAATAATACCTATATCTCCCAGCACTATTAAGTTTCTATAGATATAGGGCTATTCAGATTATCTACTTCTTCTTTTTTTTTGAGACGGGGTCTCATTCTGTCACCCAGGCTAGAGTGCAGTGGTGAGACCATGGCTCACTGCATCCTTGACCTCCCTGGGCTCAGGTGATCCTCCCACTTCAGCCTCCTGACAAGCTGGGATTACAGGTGTGCACCACCATGCCCGACTAATTTTTTTTTTTTTTGATGTTTTGTAGAGATGGGATTTTGCCATGTTGCTCAGGCTGGTATCTATTTCTTCTTGAATGAATTTTGGTACTTTTTATTTTTCAAGGAATTTGTTTATGATGTTGAAGTTGTTAAATTTATTAGCATAAAATTATTCATAATATTCTATTGGCTTTTTAATACCCATAGGATGTATCATGATGTCGCTTCTCTCCTTCCTGATATTTAAAAGACTTACTGAGTTTTAAATGGTATAAATTTCTGGCATCTGGCAGGTGCTAAATAAATGTTTCCTGGATCGAAATCTACAGTCTCAAGGAGTCAAGGCTACAATTCTTAAGTTGCTTCAGATGACTGGTTCTATCTATTTATCAATACATCCATCGATCCACTCATCCACTCATCCATGCATCCTCCTACCCTTCCTCTTCCCCGTCAAACATTCATCCATCCAATTGGTGGCTTGGGGAAAGGGACAAAAAGGGGAAAAAAAAAAAAAAAGGAAAGTGCTTCAAAATTACTGATGGAGCAATTAAAACAGTCTTAAAGAATTCTGAGATTTTTGGCCAGGCAAGGTGGCTCACGCCTGTAATCCCAGCACTTTGGGAGGCCGAGGCGGGTGGATCACAAGGTCAGGAGTTCAAGACCCACCTGGCTAATATGGTGAAACCCTGTCTCTACTAAAAATACAAAAATTAGCCGGGCGTGGTGGTGCAGCACCTGTAGTGGCAGCTACCTGGGAGGCTGAGGCAGGAGAATTGCTTGAACCTGGGAGGCGGAGGTTGCAGTGAGCCGAGATGGCGCCACTGCACTCCAGCCTGGGCAACAGAGTGAGACTCTGTCTCAAAAAAAAAAAAAAACACAAACAAAAAAAGAATTCTGAGATTTTTTTTTTTAAAGACAGAATCAGGTCATTGTTTCTTGAAGGCAGAGAACAAGCGAGGACCTCAAATTTCTCTGGAAGCTCGAGTTCCAAATGCTCAAGCAATAACAGAAGCCCAAGGCTCATTGAAAGCAAGCTGACATATCTTAAATTTAGTATTCAACAACAACAACAACAACTAGGACTTGTTCCTTTGCCTTTCTGTCACTAGAAAACAAATATACCTTGTCAGGAAATTTCTCTGATCCAAAACAAATTGACTTCTGGCCAAAAGGCTTCATCAAGCTAGACTGGTAAGCAATAGACTTTGTTGGATCAGCAAGCTGGGTGCACACATTCCTGAAACAAAACAAACTCCAGATCAAAGTTCATGACCCAAGAATAGTTATGGGGGAAAACTGAACTTTCTTTTATTTGGATCTAGCTTAGGAAGGGAGAAAATGGGCTTTCTCCTCCTCTCTGGCCAAGTGCAAAGTTCTTTGTTTAAAAAAGAAAGAGAGGCCAGGAGCGGTGGCTCATGCCTGTAATCCCAGCAGTGTGGGAGGCTGAGGCGGGTGGATCACCTGAGGTCAGGAGTTCAAGACCAGCCTGACTGACATGGTGAAACCCCGTCTCTACTACAAATACAAAAAAATAATCTGGGCATGGTGGCATATGCTGTAATCCCAGCAGAAGAATCGCTTGAACCCGGGAGGCGGAGGTTGCAGTGAGCCAAGATCGTGCCATTGTACTCCAGCCTGGGCGACAAGAGCGAAAATCCATCTCAAAGAATAAAAAGAAAAAAGAAAGAGAGAGAGAGACA
Organism: Homo sapiens; assembly: GCF_000001405.40. NCBI lineage: Eukaryota > Metazoa > Chordata > Mammalia > Primates > Hominidae > Homo > Homo sapiens. The sequence continues at coordinate 45,077,383 of NC_000020.11, read as the reverse complement.
GAACTATTAATTCGCACAGCAAATGGTGCAGGGGTGTGCATCCTGGATGCTTTGGTTTTTAAAACTTACTTGGCTATCAGACTTAACTACTAATTCAGCTGTCTTTCCAACCTAAAAATGCCAGTTCGAGTTATTTAGTCTATGCAAGAAAAGGTGGTCACTTCATTTTAAACAGGCTTGTGACTTTCCTTTTTTGTGTAAATATTGACCCCCTATAGTGATGCTATGAATCCTGATTCTATCATTTACTAGCTGCATGACCTTGGGAAGGAATCTTTCTCTCTGAACTTATTTCTTCAACTACAAAATGGAGATAAAGTAGTTAAGTCACAGGGTTATTGTGAAGTTTAGAGCCTACCCAGCTCAGTGCCTGATATATAATAGGTGCTCAACAAATGGTAGCTGTCATTTATTATTCCAGCAAGATCCTCAAATTGTCCTCTGTTTTCCGTATCCGCCACATAGCTATTTCAGTTGCCAAGCCCTGAAGACTAACAACTGCCTCTTGCATTTTTTAAAAACTTGCTTTAATTGCAAATAACAGAATCTGGCCACAGAAGAGGCACATTCCCTGCCTTTCCATTGATTCCCAGGTTTCAGGAGCAAAAGCAATTATGGAGTCAAATTACAGTATCCTGAGGTGCAACCCAGTCATGGCTCCCCATCTGAGGGAAAGAGGTAAAGTTGCAGGAAGATGGCTCTATGCTGTCTTTTGCAAAGCCCTCTGATCTGCTTCAGGCCCGAAACCTGCCTCCATGGGTGCTTGTCTGCTATATCTGGTAGATGTTGTGGAGCTCAAGGACTCGCTGAAACTGAATGATCTGGCTCGTCCAGGGAATCTCTTTACAGCCAGGTCATCTACTGAAGAGCCAAGGCAAGAGCAAGTTTCTGTTAGCAAGGTTCCCTGGAACAATTAACCAAGACTGACACAGGTCTCTTCCCCCAAAGAAGGGGCTGCATGGTTCGGTGGCCTGGGAGTGAGGACCCTGAATTCTAGTCTCAGCTCTTAACGCTAACTTGCTTTGTGATTTTGGCCATTCCCCTCTCTACACCTCAGTTTTGCGATCATCCGTACAAGAGGATCAGATCAGATGATCTCTATAGTCCCTTCCAGCTCTGACATTCTGTGTGTTCAGATTGAGCCTCCTGGAAAACAAATCTTAGTCTAATATTCATTTATCCTTTCCAGGCTGCTTAGCAGTAAAAGAGAAAAGAAAACAGTCACATATTTGAACGTGGGTCACAAAAGCAATCCCCTCTACCCCTGTGTGTAAGGAATGTGGAGCAACATGCCACGTGTATGATTTTTACATGAACAATGAGAGCTTCAAAAACGCTTTTCCTTTGTGGACTGAACACAGTCCCGTGTTTGCTGAGAGTCCCTGGTAGAGATCATGTCTCCTCTTAAGGCACTGGGCAGTATCTGTGCTGTGACTTTAGGCAGTTGAGAGAGTGGAGATGGATGAAAGGCATTGAAAGAGCAAAGGCCAATTTGCAAAGAGGGTGCCAGGCTTCTCCTGGGACTCAAAGAGTAAACATAAACTCTCAAAGCTTTCCCTTGGACATCACCAATAGCTCCAGAAGCCAGTGATGACCACACAAGGCTGAAACCACGGTACAAGAACTGTCCCAAACCTAATTTTTAAATGCAGCCCTGCAAAGGGGGAGGTTGGCTCCTGGGATTCAGTGACCCCCTAACAGCCTCCCGGTGTCCTCTGCCCTCATGTTCCACAGTACCATAATCTTACAGAAAAGAGGCAAACCGTTTAAAACTGTACCTGTACAGAGATGCCACCACACTGCGTGGGGAATCTATTTATAATTTATATATATATATGCATATTTATATTTTTTTAAAAGTCTTCCAGAAAGAACAATTGAAAGCTATTGGGAGAAGAAAAACAGACAATGTAAAACTTTCCCAGCTATCACTCAACTAGGAGTCTCTGTTCCTGGGGTTTAAAACTCTGAGTTAAAAGCGCCAATATAAATCCTTTGAGATAATATACCTGACCAATGTACATACACACATCAAGATGGCACGCTGACTGTCAAGAGAGCCCTTCCCACTGGCGCACATTCCTGAGTTCACAAAGGTGCTGTGGAGAGACGACAGAGCAGAAGTGCTGGCTAACAAACATGAGGCAAGCCATCCAGAATTCACCCAAAGCCTGGGTGGAGCTGGGGCCCTCACAGCCTGGCCTTGCTCAGAAGTTTTGTTGCCGTCTCTTCTTAGCCTCTATGGCATCCAGGATGGGCTGCCGCTTGGACTGGTACTTCTGCCGGATCTCTTCAATCTCCTGCTCCATCATGGGGTCCAGGGCCAAGAGCCTCTTCTGAAGGTCCTCCACTGTCCAACTCTTAAGCTAGAAGAGAAGTGGAAGGTATAGTCACGACAAAGCTTAAGTCAGTGGCAGAACAGTGCAGAAGCCCAGCCTTCCCAGGCACCCAGAGGGAAGGGAGACAGGAGGAAGACACTGTGGTCAGATCACAGGTTGAGTGGTGGTGGTTGGAAAGTGACAATTCATTCCAAAGCATGGCATACCTTGAAGCTTGTCTGAGATAATTTATCCCTGGAAGAGATCTAAGTGCTAACCGCTTTGATTTAATGTGCCTTGACCAAGAACTTAGTGAATAATACTCTCACCTCCCCTATCTTTTAAGTTAATTAAATATAGATTCATTGTTAGGGCATTAAAATAACAGTAACTTGCTGTATGTGAAATAATGGTTGCCTCCCCGTTCTTGTTCTGTCTACGAGATAAGCGTCTATCTGGACAGCGCCTTTCCCACTTTCAGGATACGACACCATGGAGGATCGATGCTGATGAGGCGCAGATGCCATCCCCTAACCCTGCCTTCCCACACCCCCAATGTCTTGGCACTGCCCTATTATCATCACCAGCATTTACTTGAGGCTACTATATACCAGGTAACAGTCTAAGCCCCTTGGGAATACAGACGCAACCCTTGGCAGGGGTTGGGGTAAGGGTGGGTAGTTAGAAAAACCTCAAACTTCTGAGATTAAGTTTCTATCATCCAAAGAAAAACAATGAGTTGATATATAAATTAATAATAATGGCTGGCATTTAGTGTTTTCTATGCACCAGACACTGAGTGCTTTACATATATGGATTCCTTTAATCCTCAGAGCAACCCATGCTACAAGGACATTATTATCCCTATGTTACAGATGAACAGCCCAAGGAGGAGGGTAGCTAAGTAACCTGCCCAATGTCTCCCAACTAGTAAGTGGCAGAATCAAGACTCAAACCCAGGCAGCATGGCTCTAGAGTCTATGCTCTTAACCAGTGTTGCAGAACAGAAGACTAGCAAAGCACAGGTTTTAGAAGTAACTCAACCTTTGTTTAAAATGTGGTTCTGCCTGTTGCAGATGCCATGAGACTCTGTCAAGTTACCAATCTCTCCAGGCCTTCCCCATCTACAGAAGTCAGACAGCAGTGTCTCATCACATGTATTGTAAGAATTAAATAAGATCACGGCTGTAAAGTTCTCAGCACAGTACCTGCTGCACTGTGTGTGTAAAGATGGCAATGGGTGTTATAAGCCTCTCTCTTCATAAAAGCCCAGGGATACACCAGTGTTCAACCTGTGTCTGCAGCTATGGGGCAAGGGACTCTGCTGCCATGTGTGTTCAGTGATTCCAAGCCTGGCCAATATTGGCTGTCAGGGGTGGGAATGAATGCTGACATTATCCACAGTGGGTGGTGATACTTTATTCTGTGTGCTCACAACCAGTTTAATAGGTACAGTGTTTCAAGAACTCAAAGTCTTACAAGAGGTCTGTTGTGCCCACATTTAGAAAATCATGATCCTCGGCCCTTTCCTGAGGTCTCCACAGGAAAGTAGTATAGGAGCTGGGTAAAGGGCCCTCTGTCTGTCTACCCTTCCTTGAGTGGGTGGGGTGAGAGCAAGTGTGAAGTGCTACAGTGGCCTCCCTAGAAATGGCCTGTCACCACAGGAATTTTCCTTGGCCTGCTTCAGGGAGGGTGTCTGAGAAGTGAGAAAACCCTAATAGTTCAAGACGAAAGGTTCTTTGTAATGTGAGAATGGAAGACTTGAGAGTGTGGGTAAATGCTGGAAAGTCGGGCTGAAAAAAAAAATGCATCTTTCCAGCCTGTGGTTTTATACTACCTTAGAGGTTGGTGTTCTTGGCCCAAGGACACCCCTAATAGCAATGCTTGCCTAGTCTTTGGCATTTTCAATTCCTTCTGCAAAGAGAGAATTCCCCAAGCCTACTACTGAATGTAACTGGTAGTTAAGAATGTAATCTTTGGGATCACAGGTCCTAAATCTGTACTGGCTATGTAACCTTAAACAGTAATTTCACCTCTTGAGCCTCGGTTTCCTCCTTTGGAAAACAGACAATACTATTTTGTTCCTCCACCCTGGGGCGGTACTAAGACTTACATGAGATAATGGTCTGATGGTCTTAGCTCAGAACTTCATATAGTATGTGTTGGGCAGATAGTAAATATTCCACAAATGGATGTTATCACTGTTGTTATTGTTGCTATTGTTATTCTTATTATTATTGTACATATGATTGGTAAGTCTCTAATTAATCTTCCATAAATAAGCTGTTTCTGTAACCTCTAATTCAAGCTAGAATCAAACATGTGAAAAAGAAAATATTCTACTCTATTTCATGCTAATGCCTAAGGGCTGGTACATAATACCTGTTAACTTATGTACAGTTTAACAAAATATTTTTCACCCATCCATTTATAAATACTCATTGAACACCTACTATGGGTCAGGTGCTATTCGAGGCACATAGGCTACTTTAATGAAAACAAACAAACAAACAAAAAGCAGTGCCCTTGTGAAGCTTACATTTTAATGAAGCAAGGAAAATAGCAATAAACACAGTAAATTAGTAAATTATTTTTATATTAGAAGGTGCTCTGGAAAAAAGAAAATAAAAAATAGTGTGAAAGAAGGGGAGCTGGGAATTAGGAGGGTAGACTTGCTTTTCATCTAGCCACTAGGATGAAGAATAAATTGCAAAATGAAGACATATAAGTTAGTGGAGCTGCACTGACTTTGCAACTTATTCTGCAACTTTGGGCAAGCCCGTTCTCCTCCTCAGACCTTAATTTCCCCATTTGTAAGACAGGGCTGACTAGATGATCTCAGAAGTCTTTCCAGACTCAATGTTTCTCAGTGTATGACCTATGGATCACCTGTATCAGAATCACTTGCTAAAAACACAGATTCCTGAGCCCCAGTCCAAAGCTACTTAATAAGACTCCCTGGGAGGTGAGGTACAGGATTTTGCATTTTGAAGAAGGTATTCACGCTGGGCATGGTAGCTCATGCCTGAATCCCAGCACTCTGGGAGACCAAGGTGGGAGGATTGCTTGAGCCCAGGAACTCCAGACCAGCCTGGGCAAATAGTGAAATCCCATCTCTACGGGGGAAAAAAAATTAGCCAGGTGTGGTGGTGCACACCTATAGTCCCAGATACTTAGGATGCTGAGATGGGAGGATCGCTTGAGCCCACTCCAAGGCTGCAGTGAGCTGTGACTGAGCCACTGCACTCCAGCCTGGGCAACAGAGCAAGACCTTGTCTCAAAAATAAATAAATAATAATAAAAATAAACTAAAATAAAGAAGCTATACAGGTATTTCTTATAAATCCTCAAGTTTGATAAACATGATTCTGTATCTTCCTTATTTTTCTGTTAGTAAAATTCTCACAAAGTATTGCTGCCTGTCTCTAGCCTAAAGCTTCTCCTGGGTTTCCAATTTCTAGGCAGTTTTGTTGCCCTTGATTCTAATCTGGAGGCAACAAGCACCCTTGCCTTATCTCAGCCACCTTCAGACTAATTTATGGCTGTCCTAAGAACTTTGGGGCTTAAGTTACATCTGACCTATTACAACACAGCCAGCCAGGCACTGCTGATGACTCAGTCATATCATCCAGATATGGATTTTTCCGAAAAACAAGCTCAGACAATAGTTTCATGGCGCCAAGTGTAGCATTTCACCTTCCTGGTCCTTGGTGGCATAAATACATTTCAAATGAATATCTTGCAGTAAAATAACTGTGATTCTACAGTTTTGCTACAGCCAGAATCTTGAAGCAGCAAATTCTCAATCCAGCCATGTAAGTAGCTTGAGCTGTTTTCACGAGGTATGGGAAATATCACCCATTCAGTACCTCATCTATCCCATAGGATGTGAATATCCTCTCTATTCTGTGATACCCATACTCCATACTCGCACATCCAGATCAGCTCCCACTGGATATTTCAGTCCCTGATTATCTCGTGAAAAATCTGTGATATGGTTTGGCTGTGTCCCCACCCAAATCTCATCTTGAATGGTAGCTCCCACAATTCCAACATGTTATGGGACGGATCCAGTGGAAAGTAATTAAATCTTGGTAATTAAATAGCATGGTCAGGTCTTTCCCATGCTATTCTAATGATAGTAAGCCTGATGAGATCTGATTTTTTTTTTTTTTTTTTTGAGACGGAGTCTGGCTCTGTCCCCCAGGCAAGTGCAGCAGCAAGATCTCAGCTCACTGCAACCTCTGCCTCCTGGGTTCAAGCGATTCTCCTGCCTCAGCCTCCCAAGTAGCTGGGATTACAGGCGCCTGCCACCTGCGCTCGGCTAGATTTTTGTATTTTTAGTAGAGACAGGGTTTCGCCATGTTGGCCAGGCTGGTCTCAAACTCCTGACCTCAGGTGATCTGCCCACCTTGGCCTCCCAAAGTGCTGGGATTACAGGTGTGAGCCACCACGCTAATAGAATCTGCAGCTTAACACATCCAAAGCAAAACTCTTGAGTCACATCCCTTCCTCATCCCCAAATCTTGTCTCCTTACTCCCCAGTCTTCCCCATCTCAGGAATGGTATCATCATTCTTCCATTTGCTCAAAATCATCCCTGATCCTTCCTTTTCCCTCACCCCCGCCTCCTGCCAACATCCAATCCTTTAGCAGTCCTATCAATTTTGTCCCTGAAATATTGGTATAACTCAAACCCAACCACTTTTTTCCATCTCCATCTACCTTGGTCCAGGCTGCCATCATCTCACAGCAACAAACATAATTAAAAACACAGAAATGAATCCAATCACCTCACCCTTAGGTTTCTTTCCTATTGCACTGAGAATAAAATCCAACTCATGAGTGGCTACATGGGCCTCATATGGCTGGCCCCTGCCTCCCCTCCAACTTCATAATCTATTACTCCCTCTTTTGCTCAGGACCCTACAGCTACACTTTATTTCAGATCCTCAAACAGGCCATACTTTTTCCAGCCTCAGTGGCCTACAGAGTTAATGAATCTTCTGCCTGCATGGTTCATGCCCTGTTCTTCCTTAACCTACAGGTTTTAGTTTAGATGTCAACTCCTCAGAGGATGCAGGCAAGCCTTTTCTGACCATCTTATCTAGAAAGACTGCCTCCTCTCCATTATCCTCTATCTCAGACTCTTGTTTTCTTCAAAACAATTATGTACCTTGTAATTATTTTTATTTATTTTCTTTTACTTGTCTCTCTTACTAGGATATAAGTTCTGTAAGGGATTGACCTTGTCTTGTTTACTATGCTAAACGTAATACTGGTTGAAGAAATGAATAAATTATCCTTCATTTCTAGTCAACTAAGAACAAAAGCCACTGAAACCAATGAAGCAAGCTTACATGGGGCATCATCATATGCAACAAGGTTCTGGATGGGTGCTAAGAAGAGTCAGTGTAGAATAAGAAGTGCGTTCTGCCCTCAAGGAGCTTTTAAACTTAAAAGTAATTCCCCTTAACATTCTTTTGAAATCAAAGGAAATCTCTGTTCACTTAATGAGAATGTCTGTGTTTTGTAATGTCTGATAAGAAGCAGGGCTCCAGTCCTGGCTAAGTTATCTCTAAAGGCATGTCCATTTAAACTGTTTATTCAAACAAAAAAGAACTTCTGTTATAAGAAATACACTTTGGAAAGAATGAGATCATCAAAAGAATAAGAGACACCATCCTGCTGGACAAGACAAAATAAGGGCCAACCCTAGAGCCACAGGCTTGCTACTGAAGGTGGGTTTTGCTGAAGAGATCAGACCAAGTATAAGGATTTCTGAGTCTCTTTCTGGGAGAGATCACAGTGGAAGGAGAAACTAAAATAAGCCTCTTAATCATGGTTATTTAGAATTTCCTTGCCATCATAAGGCTAAGCAACACATCAGTCTTGGGTAAAGGAAGAGGACGGGCTCCGAGCCTGACAGTACTAATGTCTTATGGGAACTCACTCACTATTGTCTAACACCTAGAATTCCCTCACCATCGCCTTTACCCAGTCTGATGAGGTCTGATGTCTGCCAAAGGATGTCTGAATAAGTAAAAGCAACAACATTTGTGCAGATGAGATTTCTCTTAAAAGATGTGATCTCTGGAAATGTGTTGTATCTTAAAGTAGACATATTTTTAGTTTAAAGTTCAGCCTCACTCTGTTAGCAGGATACAAATGCTGTGTTACTGTTGGATTCTACACATAGATATGGAAGAAGTATGTTAATTACTTCACCATTTGCATCTGTTAAATGCTGAACTCAACATTTTGTCTGCACTATTTTATTTAATCCATCTGTAAGGTAGGTATCATCATTATCCTCCTTTTAGAGATGAGGTCACTGAGGATAAGAGTGGGAAAATAATTTAAGTGATACAACAAGGAATTAGAAGAGACAACAAGCAACTGGAAGAAACATGAAGGGTTTCTGGAAATGGGAGTGTGTTTGTGAAAAATGTGGAAGACTGGAAGAATTATGAATTTAGCTGATATTAGATACATCAGATGGCCCTCACATTCAGAAATGCCACTAGTGGTAACGGGTGACTTTAGGCAAGTTACTTGTCCTCTCTGAGATTCCGTTTTCTCATCTGTAAAATGGGTATGCTATCTACTTTGCTGCTTTTGTGCCTTTTGTAGTAGGCACCAAGTGCCTACTACACACATGGTGCTGCTGCTGACGTGCAGTGACTCCAGGGTGCTGAATATGATTCAAATCAAATCAATCAATTTTATTGGCAGCTACGCTAGGCCAGGAACACTGCTGGGCAACATGAATATAAAGGGCAATACACCTGTCAGAGAAGCAGCTCAGGTTAGGGGCAAGAGCACTGGTGTTAAGTCAGATGGACCGGGTTCTATACGAGTTCTGCCCTTGGTAGTTGGATGCCTTTGCATAAATCATCTAATATGTGCCTCAATTTTCTCATTTTTCAATGGAGGACATTATTCGTTCTACAACAGCGGTTGTGAGGTTTGGAGGTATTGGTAAGGTATATAACATAATGTCATGCATCCACCAGAAAGAAAGTGGGTAAGTGAAGGCTACCACCTTATATCCTTTTTTGGGAAATGGAGGAAGTATGTAATGTAAATAATAGCTGCTGTTGCTCTAAGATGAGCTCACAACACGGTACAGGACACATACCACATACACAGAGGCACCTCTATTGAACTCTATGTGAGAAACCCTAAATCATACCCACCTGGTTTATTTCCTCTGGGCCAGGTCACTGCAAAGTCCTGATTCCCAGCATCTCTATGAATAATGAAGGCTGATGGGAACTGATTTCTTCATAAATCACCTTAGCAACTCTGACATTCTGAATCATACCATTTTTCAAAGTCGGCTGCATAATTGGCCCAGAGTGCCACTGGCAAGCTCCAGCTGATACTTCATCACAGAGATAATTCAAAGGAATTACACTGACAATTAGCCCATCTTGAATCAGCAGAGTTAAGCTACACTAAACACATGAGAATGTATAGTAGAGCTTCCTCTTCCCTTGTCAACCAGCCCCATAGGGAACACAAATGGGTCTGGCCCATATCCAAAGTACAGGGTTTAGGCCTATTTCAAAGTTCTGCTCCTCTGCCACTACAAACTCTCACCTCAAAAGTCTATTGTCCCTAAAAACCATCAAAGAGAGACCTGCCAGAGCTTTTAAGGACAAGTTTCAATTCCATATGTATCATATATGAACAGTCACAATTCTTCCTCCAGTGTCACAAACAGGATTTCTCAAACACATCATCCCTTCTGGTTGGGCGAGTCAGACTGATCCCGTCTCAGGTGATGTTTTGTTGTGACCAAGAATGAGGAAAGAACACACCTTTGGAATTTAGCAAGATGACAGGGAAGCTCGATAGAAGCTAAAAAGTTGAATGAAGCCACCATCATACCATCCCATACCTCAACACTGGCCACTAGAAAGTCCGGAAAAGTGCAACAAAAAAAATGTACAAAGGCATCTAGAGCACTAATTTAGTACCGAGGATACTTACTCTTTCTTGATGCGAGTATGTTACTATTTAGGAATGGATTCTAGTTTAGGTAGAGGTGACTCTAATAAGATGAGATTCTCAGGTAATGCAGTAATCTCTCATCAGATGACAGAAAGCCAAGCAGAAAAATCAAAGAAGATGACAATCAAATCATAACTTGTGTGGATTAAGTAAGTACCACACCATTAGTTTCAAAAGATCTTGCTCCTTAAATAAGCCTTGTGGGAATTTTAATAAGAGACTTTCTCTGACTCAAATTATGGTCATGCCAAATTATTTTTCCATCAGTCCCCTATAAAGTCTTCCTAATTCTTCTCCAATAAGGAGGGAAAGCAGCAAAACCACGACGAGTTAACAATTGCCTCAATCCCATTTTAGGTTTATAATTAATCAACACTTGCAGTTCTCATTATCAAAATTCCAAACAAAGAGAACTTGACCACATATATAAAAAATATTTACCAAGAAGACTGGAATGAAATGCAGATCATAAGCCTGGGTGAATCAAAGAAATCTGGCTTCAAGCAGGCATGGTGATGTAATGACAAGACCTCTGACACGGATCTCTTAGAAGACTGCGTTCAAATAACCCAAAGACTTTGTCCACAGAGCCTAGAGAGGAGACTCAGTACATCGTGCGTGTACACACGTGTATGTATAAAGAATATGATTTAATAAATGGCAAACACAAAAAACAAGTTTTCTTCTTTAAATAACATTTTATAAAATATGAAGTACTTGCATACTGTTAGTTTTTTGTGATTACAGTAGTCCCCCCTATCCACAAGGGATACATTCCAGTGGATGTCCAAAACCACAGATGTATATATTTTGGTACTATCTAGCTAGATATCTGTGTGTGTGTGTGTGTGTGTGTGTGTGTGTGTAGATATATAATGTGTATATACATATGTATATAATGTGTGTATATATATACACATACACAATTTTTTCCTATACATATATACCTATGATAAAGTTTAATTTTTAAATTAGGCACAGTAAGAGATAAACAAGGAAGCATTTTACAGCTTCTCTTTGGCAAATCCAAATTGCCAGCATCACAACTCTTATGCTTTGGGGCCATTATTAAGTAAAATAAGGGTTACTCATATAAACTAGAGGAACTAGAGAAAGAAAAGCAAACCAACCCCAAAGCTAACAAAAATAAATAACCAAAATCAAAGCTGAACTGAAGGAAACTGAGATGTGAAAAAACATGCAAAAGACCAATGAATCCAGGAATTGGTTTTCTGAAAAAAAATAAATAAATAAATAATAAGATAGATGGACCACTAGCTAGACTAATAAAAAAAGAGAGAAGAGCCAAATAAACAAAATCAGAAATGACAAAGAGGACATTACCACTGACCTCACAGAAATACAAAAAATTCCCAGAACCTATTATGAACACCTCTATACTCACAAGCTACAAAATGTAGAACCAGGACCAGGACCAGATGGATTCACAGCTGAATTCTATCAGATGTATAAGGAAGAGTTGGTACCAATCCTACTGAAACTATTCCAGAAAATTGAGGAGGAGGGACTCCTCCCTAACCTATTCTATGAGGTGTCCATCTATGTCTATCATCCAGACACCAAAACCTGACAGAGATACAACAACAACAACCACCAAAAAACAAAAACAAAAACAAAAAAACTTCAGGCCATTTTTCTCGAGGAACATGGATGTGAAAATCCTCAACAAAATACTAGCAAATCGAATCCAGCGGCACATAAAAAGGTTAATCCACCACTATCAAGTAGTCTTTATCCCTGAGATGCAAGATTGGTTCAACATACACAAATCAATAAATGTGATTCATCATATAAACAGAACTAAAAACAAAAACCACATGATTACTTCAGATGCAGAAAAGGCTTTTGATGCAATTCAACATCCCTTCATGTTAAAAAAAAAAAACCTCAACAAACTAGTAACTGAAGAAACTACTTCAAAATAGTAATACCCATTTACTAAAAACCCACAGCAAACATCATACTAAATGGGCAAAAGTTGGAAGCATTCCCTCTGAAAACCAGAACAAGTCAAGGATGCCCTTTCTCACCACTCCTATTCAACAGTACTGGAAGTCCTCCCAGAGCAATGAGACAAGAGAAAGAAATACAAGACATCCAAACAGGAAGAAGGGAAGTCAAACTATCTGTTTGCAGACAATATAATTCTATACATAGAAAACCCTATAGACTTTGCCCAAAAGCTCCTTGATCTGATAAACCACTTCAGCAAAGTTTCAGTATATAAAATCAATGTACAAAAATATAATAAGTAGCATTGTTATATACCAATGTCCAAACTGAGAACCAAATCAATAACTCAGTCCCATTCACAATAGCCACAAAAAAATAAAATACCAGGGAAATAAAAGATATGTGAATAGAATACAGCTAACCAGGGAAGTGAAAGATCTCTACTTAAAGAATTATAAAACAGTGCTCAAAGAAATCAAAGATGACACCAACAAATGAAAAAACATTCCATGTTCATAGATGGGAAGAATCATTGTTAACATGGCTATACTGCCCAAAGCAATTTACAGATTCAATGCTATTCCTATCAAATTACTAATGACATTCTTCACAGAATTAGAAAAAAACAGTTTAAAAATTCATACAGAATTTTTTAAAAGCCCAAAACACCAAGGCAATGCTAAGCAAAAAAAAAACAAAGCTGCAGGTTTGAAGTTGGTTTAACCAAATTCAAACTAGGCTACAAGGCTACAGTAACCAAACCAGCATGGCACTGGTACAAAAACAGACATACAGATCAGTGGGACAGAACAGAAAGCCTAGAAATAAGGCTGTATACCTACAACCAAGTGATCGTCGACAAAGCTGACAAAAACAAGCAATGGGGAAAGGAATCCCTATTCAATAAATGGTCCTGGGATAATTGGCTAGCCATATGCAGAAGATTAAAACTGGACCCCCCCCCTTGGCCGGGCGCAGTGGCTCACGCCTGTAATCCCAGCACTTTGGGAGGCTGAGGTGGGCAGATCACGAGGTCAAGAGATCGAGACCATCCTGGCTAACACAGTGAAACCCCGTCTCTCCTAAAACATACAAAAAATTAGCCGGGCATAGTGGCGGGCGCCTGTATTCCCAGCTACTCGGGAGGCTGAGGCAGAAGAATGGCGTGAACCCGGGAGGTGGAGCTTGCAGTGAGCCGAGATCACACCACTGCACTCCAGCCTGGGTGACAGAGCGAGACTCCGTCTCAAAAATAAATAAATAAATAAATAAAAACACTGGACCCCCCCCTTCCTTATATCATACACAAAAATCAAGTTGAGATAAATTAAAGACTTAAAAGTAAAATCTAAAACTATAAAAACCATGGAAGATAACCTAGGAAATACCACTCTGGACATAGGACCTGGCAAAGATTTCATGACGAAGACACCAAAAGCAACTGCAACAAAAACAAAAATCAACAAATGAAACCAAATTAAACTAAAGAGCTTCTGCACAGCAAGAGGTAAACTATCAAGGGAGTAAACAGACAACTTACAGAATGGGAGGAAATATTTGCAAACTATGCATCCAACAAAGATCTAATATCCAGAATCCACAAGGAACTTAAACGAATTTATAAGCAAAAAACAAACCTTCCTGTTAAAAAGTGGGCAGAGGACATGAACAGACACTTTTCAAAAGAAAATGTACATGTGGCCAACAAGCATATTCAAAGTGCTCAACATCATTAATCATTAGAGAAATGCAAATGAAAACCACAATGAGGCCAGGTGCAGTGGCTCACACCTGTAATCACACTTTGGGAGGCTGAGGTGGGCGGATCACTTGAGCCTAGTAGTTTGAGACCAGCCTGGGAAACATGGTGAAACCCCATCTCTACAAAAAAATACAAAAACAATTAGCCAGGTGTAGTGGCACATCCCTGTAGTCCCAGCTACTCAGGAGGCTGAGATGGGTGGATCAACTGAGCCCAGGAGGTCGAGGCTGCAGTGAGCCATGATCACACCACCGCACTCCAGCCTGAGTGACACAGGCAAGACCCTGTGTCCAAAAAAAAAAAAAAAAAAAAAAAAAAAAAAGGCCGGGTGCGGTGGCTCACACCTGTAATCCCAGCACTTTGGGAGGCCGAGGCGGGCGGATCACGAGGTCAGGAGATTGAGACCGTTCTGGCTAACATGGTGAAACCCTGTCTCTACTAAAAATACAAAAAAAAAAAAAAAAAAAATAGCCGGGCGTGGTGGTGGGCGCCTGTAGTCCCAGCTACTTGGGAGGCTGAGGCCGGGGAATGGCGTGAACCCGGGAGGCGGAGCTTGCAGTGAGCCAAGATCGCGCTCCAGCCTGGGCGACAAAGCTGGGCACTCCAGCCTGGGCGACAAAGCGAGACTCCGTCTCAAAACAAAACAAAAAAAAACCCCACAGTAAGATTATCGTCTCACATCAGTCAGAATTTTTTGCTATTACTAAAAAGTCAAAAAATAACAGATGCTGGCGAGGTTGTGGAGAAAAGAGAATGCTTACACACTGCTGGTGGGAATGTAAATTAGTTCAGCTATTGCAGAAAGCAGCGTGGTGATTCCTCAAAGAACTTAAAACAGCATTACCATTTGGCCCAGCAATCCCATTGCTGGGTATATGCCTAAAGGAATATAAATCATGAAGACACATGCACAATAATGTTCATCACAGCACTATTCACAATAGCAAAGACATGGCATTAACCTAAATGCTCATCAACGGTAGACTGGATAAAGAAAATATGGTCCATATACACCATGGAATGCTGTGTAGCCATAAAAAAGAACAAGATCATGTCCTCTGCAGCAACATGGATGGAGTTGGAGGCCATTATCTTAAGCAAACTAACACAGGAACAGAAAAACAAATACTGAGGCCAGGCACGGTGGCTCACACCTGTAATCCCAGCACTTTGGGAAGCCAAGGTGGGAGGATCATTTGAGGTCAGGAATTTCAGACCAGGGTGGCCAACATGATGAAACCCTGTTTCTACTAAAAATACAAAAATTAGCTGGGTGTGGTGGCACATGCCTGTAATCCCAGCTACTTAGGAGGCTGAAGCAGGAGAATTGCTTGAACTCAAGAGACGGGGGTTGCAGTGAGCTGAGATCGCCCCACTGCACTCCAGCGTGGGCGACAGACAGAGCAAGACTCCATCTCAAAAAAAAAAAAAAAAAAAAAGAAGAAGAAGAAGAAAAGAAAAGAAAAACAAATACTGCATGTTCTCACTTATCTAAACAACAAAAACATGAGTACATACAGGTGAACAATAGACACTGAGGATTACTGGAGGGTGGAGAGTGGGAGAAGGGAAAAGATCAATAAATCACCTATTGGGTACTATGCTAATTACTTGGTGATGAAATAATCTACATCAAACCTCAGAGACATGCAGTTTACCTATGTAAAAAACTGCACATGTACCCCTGAACCTAAAAGTAAAAAAAAAAAAAAAAATTTCCATACTAAAATAAAACAAAAGGGTTAAACAGAAGCACTGTAATACCAATACCACAACAGTCTTTATGATAACCAAGATGCCTACTAAGTGACTAATGGGTGCAACCGAGTGGATATGCTGAACAGAGCAATGATTCATGTCCCAGGCAGGATGGAGCAGGATGGCACAAGGTTTCCTCATACTACTCAGGATGACGCATAATTTAAAATTCATGAATTGTTTATTTCTGGAATTTTCTATTTAATATTCGGTGGTTGTGGGTAACTGAAGCCATGGAAAGCAAAACCATAGTTAAGGTTTGGGAGCTACCGTAATTAAAAAACATTCTCAAATTTACAGGACAAAATTCTTAAAGTAGTATTTTGCATGCTTAGAATTTATTCCAACTCTATTCTGGCATGAGCCTTTACGACTTGCTATGGAATTCACAAAGCACCTGTTTTGTTTTGTTTTGTTTTTGTTCTGTGAGTTTTAGAACAGCCTTTGACCAAAGGTAATACAGTTTTGACCAAACACAGATTTTTTTCCCTATCATTTTGACCTTGATTCTCCACAGCAAGAACCCATCAGAAACTTTCCTATCCCCCAAGGTTTACTTGCTGATATCTAGCATTACATCTTTTTAAAAATGTAGCCAGTACCCACTCTGTGTCAGAACCCATGTAAGGATCGAGGAGTATGGGTGAGTAAGAGTGGGTATGGGACAAAAAAAGTATATGGCATGCTCCCTTCACGCTAGTTGTGGAGAGAAAAGAGGTAGGGAAGTCATGAAAACAAGCTACAGTCTAGGGTATTAGTGAGGGCTAATGATCACTAACATTAATTAGAGATACTTTTAATTGAGTTCTATGTGCTGGACATTGTGCTCAGCACCTTACATGCATTATCTCGAGTAATCCTCACAACAGTCCAAGAAATAAGTGCTCTTACCCCTCATCTTACAGACGCAGACACTGGAGGCTTAGAGAGATATAGGCATTTGCCTCTGGTCCCAGAGGTTGTAAGTGGTTGAATTAGGATAGGAACCTTAGCGTGTCTGACTGTAAAGCCTGGCCAACTGTGTGTCAAGGCAACATGTGCTATAGGAATTGACAGATGGAAGAATCCCTGTGGTCAGAGTCTATGGGAAAAAAAACTTTATCTCGTCACACATTTATAGTGCAGAGAAGAGGGGGTCATTCTAAATCAGGGAAAGGTCTGAATTTTAACTTTTAAAAATGAAATGCAAGTTTGGTTATATCAAGTAACACATTTGAGATACAGAGAACTAATCAAATTAGGTTAAATAAACGAAAAGACTTATGAGCTCATTAGTCAGAAATACTAACAACAACTCCCAATTCCTTCAGGTGCCATGCTTTTTTACACCTCCAAGCTTCTGCTGGATCTAATTCTGTCTTCTGCTTAGGGGGCTGCCCATTCAACCTTCCAGCTCAGCACAAGCTCCAACTCCTCTCTCAATCCTGTATCTTTTTCTTTTACTAAAGTAGGACCTATTTGAGATTAAAGACTATATCTAATATATTTTCAGAGAGCAGGCCAGCAAAAAATAATTCTTAATAAATATTTAATAAAGAAATAGATCCTTAATCTTTAAGCCTTTGTTTGAAAATGATACTGACTTTTTACTGGGTTCTCTCAAGCATTTCAGCTTTGAAAGTATGTAATCAATACATAAGCCTAAGAGGATAATTTAAGTTCATTAAATAAAGTTGTATCAATTACTCAAAATTGATCCATGCATACCAAAATCAAAATAAGCAACTAATTCAGTATCCTACTTGCAATAAAATTACAAGGAAAAAAATGAAAAAAATTCTCTAGTCCTGGTTGCTTATGATTGCTCTTTAAGAAAAATTCTATTTTAAGAGTATATTATATTCCCCCTTATCTGTAGTTTCAGTTACCCACAGTCAACCAAAGTCTGAAAATATTAAATGGAAACTTCCAGAAATAATCAATTCCTAAGTTTTAACTGTGTGCCATTCTGAGACGCATGATGAAATCCTGCGCTGTCCTGCTCTATCCCGCTTGGGATGTGAATCATCCCTTTGTCCAGCATAACCATGCTATACACACTATCCACCCCTCAGTCACTCAGTAGTCACCCTGGTTATCAAATGGACTGTTGCAGAATTGGTATCACAGTATTTGTGTTCAGGGAACCCTTATTTCACTTAATAATAGACCCAAAATGCAAGAGTAGTGATGCTGGCAATTCACATATGCCGAAGAGAAACCATGATGTGCTTCCTTTAAGTGAAAAGATGAACATTGTTGGCTAACAACAAAAAATCATACACTAAGGCTGCTAAGATTACAGTAAGAATGAATCTTCTACCCATGATACTGTGAAGAAGGAAAAAGAAATACATGCTAGTTTTGCTGTCATACCTCAAGGAGCAAAAGTTTCAACCACAGTTGTGTGATAAGCGCTTGGTTAAGATAGAAAAGGGATTAAATTTGTGGGTGAAAGACATGAACAGAAACGTTCTGACTGATGGCAATGGGGTTCAGTACTATCTACAGTTTCAGGTGTCCAGTGGGGGGTCTTGGAACATATTCCCCCATTGACAAGGGGGACACTGTAGTTTTAAATTGGTGTATAAATTTCACACTTAAGGAAGCCAATCTGTGAGAGAAACACTTTCAGGAAGTTAGTAAACACCCATTACACCTCCTAGAATAATTGTAAATGTCTACAGAAGGTAGAGTACAAGAATGCGAGGCTCTTGATGTTTGAAAGCACTAAAGGGAGGCATCAAAAATAACCTCATTCTTGTAGGAATATTAATCTTTCAGAAGGTATGAAAACCTAAAACACCAACTGCACCGAGCTACTGTTTTAATGCAGCTTAATAATTCAGGAAAAGAGCTAGCTAATCACATAAGAAACCCTGCGAGCTATGTCTCTGTATGCTTTCTTGGGCTGGAAATTTCCGAGATAGCAAAAAGGCCAAGCTGCTTCTCTCTCTTCCTGCCAAATAAAAAAAGCCCAAAGAATCCCCAGCAAAATTTGAAAGCTAAAATGCAAATTGATCTCACTTTATTTAATAGATGCAGTCTTAAAAGGCATCTTCAGACTAAATAGGATCCAATTTTAAACACATAAAAGAAAAAAGAATGCTTACAGAAAACTTGTCAAGAATACAAATAGAAATTCCCTAAGTAAGCTACTTTGCAGGTTGAAGTTTTAAAATTGGGGATTTCTTAGCGTGGAAAAGATTGCAAGTACATAGCACTCAGTTTCTGGAAAGTATATAACACTCTGTAAGCCTTACTGCTGGGTACTCCCATGTAATGAAGGGTGAGATTCACAACCTAAATACCCAAAAAAGAAATACCCTCTCAAGCAATCCTTTGAAAGAAAAAAAAAAATCTGCAACAAAAGCAGACAAGAATTCCACAAAGCATGTCAGAATCTTTTTATAATGGCCATAAAGTCTTAGGACTTGAACTCTCTACAGTGTCAAAAACATAAAATAGGTCTAGATAGGGGTAGGGGTGTGTGTGTGTGTGTGTGTGTGTGTGTGTGTGTGACCTTCAAACTGCTAAATATAAGTTTTTATCATTTGTTCATTTTTCTGGTTGAAGACTCTAAAAAAGATAGGTTTGTTTAATCCTTATTCTGTAAAAGCATTAGTATGTATATAGCCTAAATATTTTAGGATAGTCTTTTATTCTTTTCGGCAACTGTTTAATTGGTATAATCAAATGTGAATTAATTTATGCCATGGTAATACTTCTCAAATGTGTATAAATTCCTAAACCAGAAAAAAATTTTGTAAAGACCATGTGTCCTAGTTTTTCATTTTGAAAGGTTTAAACACTATACTCCTAGCAGTAAGCTCATCTAGGCTCAGAGTTAAAAACACTTAGCTTCTCTGGTATAAAACCGTTCTTTAAAATGTGCTTCCTAAATGTTTTCTATAATGAGCAAACATCTTGAACAAAGAAAGTGCTTCCAATCTGGGGTCTGACTTACAACTTGGAATCTATGATTCCAATGACTGGGAGAGGGGAGAATAGGGACAATATCATGATTAGTATATAACACAGGTCCCATGGGAAGGTATAGTTCTATTTGTCTATAAACATATCTTTGTTACTTAAAACTACGTAAGTTCTAATTTTCATAAACTCTTTTCCCCTCATGAAGGGTCTGATTGTTAATAACACAAGCATATAGTTATTACTGCTCTTGACTTGATAGCACTTCTTTTTAAAAGAATAGGGATAGTGTGTTACCTCTAAGATCCAAGTGCACCCTTCTAGATGCATTCTGTGATAATCATTTCTCTGAAGAACGTGTGCTGTGAAGTTTTCTCAGTAGAGCACTGGGAGGAAGAGGCTGTCCTAAGTGTCCAGCATGGGAGATGGCAATGTGGGTGTGAGGACCATCGACACTGTGGCCCAGCGACAGCCTAGAACGTGGTCTTTCTGTGACCTTGCAGACTCAGCCTATCCTAACGTTTTGGGAGCTCAGCTGACATGGCCACTAAAGCCTCCACATGGCTCTTGTGTTCTAAAGGCCTCCTGGCCCAGCCAGGGCCCACACCCTGCTACCCACCGGATGGCCAGTAACCCACTGGATGGCCTGCTCTCTGCCAGCACTCCAGAAGGTAAACGACGGCTTGCCCAGAGACTTTGGATCAGCTCCAGTCTTGTCAAACCAGCAAACTCCTCTGTGATTCCATGGGCTGAACCACATCTTCTCCAATGAAGTCTGAAGCCCTGGCAGTTTGTCCTTCCTTGGATATACGCCCTCAGCCTTAGGGAACGCTACAGAGTTTCTTCATATCTGATAGTTACTCTTTTATCATAGGTAATACTTATTATATTAAATTTCCCCTCTTTAATCTACTGTGTGGTTTCTATCTCCTCTCTGAACCCAGACTGCTACAGGAGGAAGCGTGCAAGTGAATACACATGAGCTCATGTTTGCCCACTAATGGAAGAACTTTCAAAATGATAAAACCTAAATAAATATTTGTATTTGAAAAATGCCAAGATACTTTCCAATCCAGAAGAGTCTGGATGATATTTACAGTCCAAATGCAGAATTAAAATACTCTCATTTTCTCCCACTGAAAATAAAGTAGTAGTGAACAGATAAATTCTGGTAATATCCATACAATGGAAACTACTCAGCAATAAAAAGGAACAAACTCCAGACATATGCAACAAATGAACAAATCTCAGAACAGTATGCTAAGTGAATGAGGCCAAACACAAAAGGCTATATACTGCACAATTCCATTCATCTGACATCCCAGAAAAGACAAAACTTTAGGGACAAAAAACAGGGCATAAGGGAACTTGATGGGATATTAGAAATGTTCTATAGCTTGATTATGGTGGTATTTATACAACTGTATATTTCTATTAAAACTCATCCAACTGTACACTTAAAAGGAGCATGTTCTATAGCATATAAATTAAACCTCAACAAATCTGACTTTACAAAAATATTACATAGCAAAAAATTGTGGCAGGTAGTTGAAATAGTATTTAAAGGAAATTTTACAGCCTTAAATGTATGTTAGAAAAGAAAGATAATTGGGCCCGGCGCGGGGGCTCACGCTGGTAATCCCAACACTTTAAGAGGCCGAGGCAGGCAGATCATGAGGTCAGGAGTTCCAGACCAGCCTGGCCAACATGGTGAAACCCCGTCTCTCCTAAAAATACAAAAATTAGCCAGGCATGGTGGTGTGCACCTCTAGTCCCAGCTACTCGGGAGGCTGAGACAGGAGAATTGCTTGAACCTGGGAGGCAAAGATTGCAGTGAGCCAAGATCATGCCACTGCACTCCAGCCTGGGCAACAGTGCAAGACTCCGTCTCGGGGAAAAAGAAAACAAAAAAAAAAGAAAGAAAGAAAGAAAAAGAAAAGAAAGATAATTAAAAATTAGTAAGCTGAATTGTCCAAGTGAAGAAAAGAGAAATAAACCCATAGAAAGCAGAAAGAAGAAAATGATGTAAGAACATAAATTAATGAATTCAAAAGTTAATGTGCAGTAGCAAGGATCAACAAAACCAAAAGCTGGTTTGGGCTTAAAAAAAAAATTACACTTTGATAAGACTGATCCCCACCCCCCGGAAAAAAAAGAAGAAACAAATAACAGGAATGAAAAGCAAGCTATAAATACAGATACTGCAAATTTTAAAATCTGAAACTTGATGCCAATAAATTTTTAAATGTGCATGAAATTAAGATGTCTTGGGAAGCGGCAGAGACCTACATCTGGAGTGAAACCAAACAAAACTGACTACTAAGAAATCTAGACCACAAGGACAAAGTGGAATGAGTAGATTGTTAAAAACACATACTCAAATGACAGAGCCACAGAGGATGAAACCATCTCTGAAAATAGAGACAACCATGATATTTCTGAATATACGTGTTTTCCCTAAAGGCAGGAAAATGAGAAAAAATAAGTTAACGCCCAACCTCCAGTTCTGACAACACGGCAGAGTAACAAGGTCACTCCTGAAACCTCCCCATGTAAGAGAAGCAGGGATATCCAGGGGCCAGAGAAATTGTGTACATGCCCATCCCCACCCCTTCTTTTGATGCTTATATTGCTATTCTTGGTAAATCAGGTGAAAATGAATACCAAGGGTAGTCCTATGGAGAGAAGAAATCACAAGGACAGGTGGGAGAGAAGGTTAAGCTCTGCCTGTATTGCCTTAATGAGAGGGCAGATTCAGGGACCTTGTTGGACAGTGATTACAGGAATAGTAACAATAGCAATAATAAAAGCCAGAATTTTTTAAGCATTAACTGTTCATTATTAGCAGCCATACATTAAGTATTTTATATGTATTAATCTCATTTGCTCTTCATTAAATCTTACAGCTATAATTATTAACCCAGTGCTACAGATGGGGAATTTGAGGTTTGAAGAATTATATAATCCATTGAGGTTAACACAGCCCGCAAGTGGTTGAAATCAAAATTGAATCAGGTTCTGTCTGACTCTGGGGTCTGTACTTTTTCCTTTTTTTTTTTTTTTGAAAAAAAAAAAAAAAAAAGATAGGGTGTCCCACTGTTGCCCAGGCTAGAGTGCAGTGGTGCAATCATAGCTTACTGCAGCCTCAAACTCCGGGTTCAAGTGATCCTCCTGCCTCAGCCTCTTGAGTAGCAGGACTACAGGTGGGCACCACCATGCCTGGCTAATTTTTTAATTTTTTGTAGAGACAAGGTCTAGCTACATTGGTCAGGCTGGTCTCAAACTCCTGGGCTCGAGGGATCCTCCCGCTTTGGCCTCTCAAAGTGCTAGGATTACAGATGTGAGCCCCGCACCTGGCCAGGAGTCTGCACTTTTAATGAAATGTCACCCAACATCTACTACTATTGGCTAAGTGCTTTCACACTCATTTTCTCAGCTAAACAGAGAGAGAATGAAGCACGGACAGCAGTAAAGCCTATATGCGGGGCAGCATTAGCATACAGAGAACCCACGATTTAGTCACTTGCCTTGGTAACAATGAACTGGCAAATTTTCCTAAACCCAAGTTACCATAGTACTAAGTAGTTAGGGGAAAGAGATGGTGGCTTTCTCTATCTGCAAAACGGAAAATCCAGACAATCCCAACTAACTTTTGCTAAAGTTCCTGTGAGAAGTAATCAAAATTTCATGGATAGAGGTTCCCTGGGGACAAATTTTGGCTGAAAAAAAAAACAAAAAACAAAAAAAAACTACTATCTTTACACACAGCTTTGAGCAATGATTTGAACTACTTCCAACTTGTGGAATTCCCTCTTCTCAGAAATGACTGCAGGTAGTCAAGCAAATGTGAGATGATGCCTCTTGTTGGAAATATAGCAAGAGCTGGAAAATATGTCCTTTAAGACCCTTTTCAATTCTGAAAGTTTATCATTCTCTGATACAGTGTTGGAACAGATGATTGAGAGAGACAATGGCTTCTAGGAATTCAAGACATGCCCATCTGTCACCTGTGCTTACAGTGAAGCCACACAGAAGTTAACTATGGAACAGTCCTTCCTAGGGCCTAAGGTGCTAGGATACTTATTGCAGTTCTTAGGCTCCATTTCTGAGCCAGTCTGGACTCAGCTCTTTTTCTCACCATGTAGTTGAGATTAAAATTATCCTGTAGTTTAATATCAGAGAATAAATGGCCACAAGAATGAACGCTAAAGAAGAAGCCTGCCAAGCAGCCATGGATCAAGCAGTCTCCGAACCAAACAAAGGAAATGAAAAACAGTCTCAGGCTCACACAGGCTGATACTGTTTTAAGCAACCTCTTGAGGTCAAAAACCGCAGGCATTTAAGTCCTGCTCTCAAAGCCATTTCAATAACTGAGTTAAAAACCCAGCTCAAATCAGCTAGCACGATCCACCAGCAGAACCAGGCTACTGTGGTTCTGAGACAAAGATGACATTCATTTACCATGTGGTTTCTCAGAAAGCGTATCTACACAGCAGGTTTCCCTGGCAATTTTGGATACATATGTCTTTTCCAGACTGCTGTTCTTGGCTAGTTTTCTGAAAGAAAAGAGCACAAAATCTCATTATATTCCAAAGCACAAATAAATTCAGTCTCAACATACTTTAAACCAAGCTTTACAGGAAAAATAAGAAGTTGAAACAAAAATAGTGTACCCTGTCAAGAACAATTTAGGATAGTCTTCTCACCAGAAACTGCTCGACAGGACTACTTCAGTAAAAAGCCATTAACAGGCAGTGCTGTTGACCTTGGCTAGCTACTGGGCATTCACATGGCACTGCCGGGTCAGAAACCTAAACACCAAACATAGTCTCCATTCATCTTTCTTCTAGCACAGAAGAAAAGAAACTCATCAGAAAAAGTTTAAAAAGCAGAGCATGGAGATTGTCCAGAAAGGTGGTGGCAAGAGTCTGAGAGCGCAGGTGCTGATGGTTAAAACCCCAGCTTAATTCACACACTCAACAGGCAAAAAAATGCAACAATAAAAACAATCACAAAGACTCAATCCCCAAACCTCCTGTTGACAAGAAAAAAGCCTGGCTTAATATATTAGAACGACCTGAAAACAACCCAACTCCAACCAAAAAAGCCCCAAATGTTAAATGCCAAGTAAAAAGAGGATGATTAAATCAATCAAAAGAATGTAATGTGATGGGCTACTATGTGACCCTTAAAAATGATTTCACAAGTGTTTTTAATGATATGAGAAAATGTTTAAGATATGTTAAGTGAAAAAAAATCAAGATTTATTATGCATGCAGAATGATCTCAGCTGTGTAAAATAATATCTAAGTATTAAAAAACTGGAAGGAAATGTTAAAATGTAATTATTATTGCTGGGGGGGGTGGAAGAGTTGTAAGAGACATTTTCTTCTTTAAGCTTTTCTTCAGTCTCTAAACTTTCTATAATGAGTGTGTTTTTACAACTAGAAGGTTAACAAAATAGCATTGTAACATTATAGAAGAGCAAACCAACACCAAAAAAGAAGAAAATAATAACATTTATTAAGTGCTTATTGCAGGCCAGCAGTAAGGACCATTGTCCTAAAGGTGCTTTACGTGCATTACAGGTTTAGTATCCCTTATCCAAGATGCCTGGGACCAGAAGTGTTTTGGATTTTGGATTTTTGGATTTGGGATTACGCAACCTGCATCTCATTTGATACTCACGACAGCCCTATGAAAGAGGTATGACTTTACCATGTTTGACAGATAAGACAATCAAGGGTTAGACAGGTGGCATAATAGGTGGAGAAGATAGGCTATGAGCCCTAACAGAATAACTCCAGTGGTTTTAACCACTATATGCCTCTCAACCACAATGGCATAATCTGTCTCCCTGCCTGCAAGCCTGACCTAAACATAAGCCTCAATGACAAAATCTACTTTAGAAGGCACTATAATAATTTAGGATAGTGTGACTGCCAAGGTACTAAGATACTCAGATAAATATTCAAAAGAGGAACTAAAACACCTCTAATGAAGCTATAAAAAGAATCCATGTGATAGAGCAATGCATCGCTGCAGTTGAAAACATACCAGCACAACAAATCAACCCACAGCTAAATCCCACTATACAAGAGAAGCTAGTAATAACTGTCAAAGAAAGACCCCTGGTAACCACTTATTGAACTACCATGAAAAAAGGAACTCACTAAAAGATACAATAACAATGAGCTAGACAGTAAGGATTTGAATTTGTCTCCCAAAAAGCCCCCTAGCAACAAGAGGCCTGGACCATCAAAGGCTAGAGAAAAGAAAGAAACTAAAGAGAAAAATAAAAAGCATTGTACTTGATGCCAAATTATATAAAATACAACCAGCACAGAAGGACCACCTTACTTTTCTTTCAGTCTAGCACTAAAGGCCTTTTGGTTAGAAACAATCAATTTTGCTTGGCAAAAAAAGGATCAAGACATAGAAGTACTTTGGATCAAATTCTGTAGAATCAGCCTATTTGAGATGCATTAAGGTTAATGCCAAAACCAATACGGTGTTCTGTTCACAGTTTCTTTCTAGAGGTTTTAAAAGCCGAAAAACATTAAAACTCAGAGTTTGAAGTGGAAAGTTTCTATCTGTAAAAACAAGCCACTTTTAGGTACTATAAGCTATTAAGATTTGGTAATTCTAAATTAATTATGTATTTTTTAAACCCTTGGTTGTTAGAAAAATATAAAGCTCGATTGCTACCTTACTCTTAACACCAAGACAAATACATGATAGATTAAATATTGAGAAAGAAAAAATAATAAAACATTCTAAAACAAAGTAAGGGTTAATATTTTTGTAATCTTAGAATGTGAAAAACTTTCCCAAAGATGACATAAAATTCCAGAAACCACAAGAAAAAGCTAATAAATCAAAATATATAAAAATTTAAATGTCTGAAGTTAGATACCATATACAAAGCTTTAAAAGATATTCTAGCAGAATATCTTTACCACATATGTTAAAAGGTTCATAACCTGACTTGATAGCTGAAGAAGTCTTTAAAATCAATAAAGAAAATAAGAATTCCATGGAAAATTCAGTAAATAATATAAAGCAACAATTCACATACCAAAAACGATAGGGAAATTTAACAATATGTATCAAAATTTCAAATTTGTGAACAGTTTGACCCAATAATTCTACTGCAGGAATTAATTCTAAGGGCGTACCATGCAAAGATGTTATTAAAGCAATATTTATTAATATTAAAAAGCTGAAGGCTACCTAAATGACCATCAGCTGGAGACTGGTTAAATCAGAGATCACAAACACAAATGTTTTGAGAGACTGGCAAAGACAACAGAAATAAACTCAACAGTCTGCTCATAAAACAAAAACAGGAAGTGATGGGGTCTGTGAAGAGCTGGAGAACTCAGACCCATTTCAGTAGTTCAAAGTATAAAAATTACATGTGCCACAGGCCAAACTGGCTCCCCCTTTCCCAGTCCCCACACACCCCCAGAGTGAGATGTGTAATCTGTAGCCATGGCACGAGCACTGCTGACTGTTCTCTCTGCAGCCAGCCTAGGAAGATCCCCTTACTCTGAATGCTCGTCTGTTCTATCACATTTGAGTAGATACAAAGGAGCTCATTGATGTGGCCAAACGGATTCTCAGGATTAACAAAACCTTAAAGGTCATCTAGTCTAACTTGAAGCTTTCCTTGAGGCTGCAGTCATTCAGACGTTTAGGCCCAGGTGAACAGTGTAGAGAGGGGAGGGGAAGGAAGTGGAAAGTGATGGAGTACAAAGCCAGAAGTCAGGGAATGAGGACTACACTTGGCTTTCCTGTGGGATTTTCATTTTCCACAACAACAAAATTGAGATGGGAGGAGAAGTGGTGAGAATTCTTAAAAAGCTGAAATCCTGTGCATCACATATTTTCTGTATCACTGTACGTAAAACTCCATTAACCGAATACCAGGAACTCAAGCATTATTCTAATATGAAGTGCTGAATTCACAGTACCATTGTTAAACATCCGTTTAGCAATGAACTCTGGGCAGCTGTTACCCTCACTGACCAAGCTGGCAAAGGGAAGAGTTCCACAGATAATGTGACAGATTGTATATGGTATTTTTACTGCAAGATCTTAATTCATCCCAGGAACTGTTTTAAAAGAATAGTTGTAGTTTATAATTGCAGTCTCAGCAGCACTTCCAAAAGTGGAAAACCTCCACTTGAAATTGGAATGGAACATTTCTTCCCAATGTGTGAAAATAACTTTATGCTTGGTCCTGCATATCTAGGAATAAGAGCACTTGGGAGGGGGTAGAAAATTTCCTGACTTTACCTCATTTTTAATAGCACTACATTAAGATTTATTAAACTAGATGCATCCATGTCTAAAGAACAGTTTTTGCTGTGTATTTTCTCCTAAGTAAAGGGCAAATGGAAGTGACTAGTGGGTCTATAAAGTAGATTCAAGTTTGCTCTCCCTCCAGCTGCTGGCCACCCTCTGATCCAATGCTCTGCAATGTGAACTCTGCTTGATGAAAGGGTACCCTCGGCAGCTGATGGATCCCATACAGCTCTCTCTGTCTCTCTCTGTCTCTTTCATACATACGCACATACATTTACTTGAGCTATTTTACATTAACAAATGTACCATCAGGAAAAAACTGTTTTGAAAAAAAAAACATCAATGTGGGAACTGTCCAGGACCTATAGCCTCCAGGCAGGCACAGAAGGGAAGCAATCAGAGAAAACACAAAAGGTCTATCAGTGTTTTAGTGAGTATCCTTGATATTTAAACCCTAGGAACAAGAAAGTCATAACAGAATTAAGCTCACCCTAGGAACAAGAAAGTCATAACAGAATTAAGCTCATCTTAGGTATAAAATAAATATCATGGCTGGGCATGGTGGCTCACGCCTGTAATTCCAGCACTTTGGGAGGCCGAGGCGGATGGATCACCTGAGGTCAGGAGTTCGAGGCCAGCCTGGCCAACATGGTGAAACCCCGTCTCTACTAAAAATACAAAAATTAGCCGGGCATGGTGGCGGGAGGCTGAGGCAGGAGAACCACCTGAACGCAGGAGGCAGAGGTTGCAGTGAGCCAAGACCACGCCACTGCACTCCAGCCTGGGCAACAGAGCAACACTCCGTCTCAAAAAAAAAAAATCACAAAGCAAACAATGTGTGAACTAGCAGGGCCTGCAACAAAAGTGTGAAATAAGTGTAGGTCTTCCTCTTACCTTCCTTTTTTAGGGCAGCCCACCTCAGTATCTTTCCCTTTTCCAGTAGTTCATCCATGTCTCCCACCCTAAGTGTTACACATGTAAATAAAATTTACTGAATGCCTACTCTGTGTCAGATACTCTGCTAAGCACTTTAAAAGCATTTTTAAATTAATCTTCTCAATAACTCAGAAGTAAATATGATTAGTATCTTCATTTTAGGTTGGGTGAGAAGCCTAGAGTTACTGGTCCCATAAATAATGAAACCAGCAATGGATCCAAGTCTATCTGCTCTTGGTCAGTATATCAGACTGCCTTCTATGCTCATGTTGGCGTCCTGGGTGTCCTAA
Source organism: Homo sapiens (assembly GCF_000001405.40). Classification (NCBI taxonomy): domain Eukaryota; kingdom Metazoa; phylum Chordata; class Mammalia; order Primates; family Hominidae; genus Homo; species Homo sapiens. The sequence goes on along the minus strand of NC_000020.11, from coordinate 45,048,105 downwards.
GCATTTCTCTGCTTTTAAAAGAACAGGAAAAGAACCTTATATATACTGAGCATCTTTTACACACTTTACACAAGCTCTTTATTTTAGGCTCACATGATCCCTATGAGAGAGACGCATTAGCTGCATTTTTTAAATTGGCAAACAAAGACCAAGAGAGTTTGAGGGCTCTTGAAGGCTTAATCTTACCTTTAGCAGACAAAGAAACAGAGTCCCAGAAAGGTTAGGTGGCTTACTTAAGGACACAAAGCTAGTTACAGTCAGAGCTGAGACCTGATTCCCAACCCACTGCTCTTCTTCACTATAAATAAGCCATCACTCTAAAAGGAACCCACATATTAATAATAGATTAGGAATGCCAGGCACTTTGCTAAATGCTTTATGCTTTATCCAATTCGATCAAGGGAATTCCCAACACTGTATTTCCAATCAATGTTTTTTACTACAGTTTTACCAAAGAAGCAGGGAAGAAATCTAAATTCCACATCTATGAAATTATAGTCCAATTAACATATTCCTATACACATAGATGAATGGATATTACAAAAAGAAAATCTGAAGAAATTTAAAAAGATTTCCAAAGAGTGCACAATGGGCCCAAATAACATAATCAAATAACACATTCTGAGCACCTGCATGCTATGGCAATTCGCTAAGGGCTGCACATGTTAGAGAAAGAAAAGATGCAGCATCTGAATTAGATGAATGTTTACCATCGGCACATATATAACCATTCTCACACAAACAAACGTGCGTTATTCTGAGAAAAATAATGGTCTATCTTTTATTAATCATGCACCAAGGGTGGGACAGGTCACCTAGCATCTCTTGTCACCTAGCGCCTCAAAGCCTCTCTGTCAAATAAGTGGGAATAAGATCTATAAGATCTACCATGTGAGGATATTATGAAAAGAAGATGGTATAAAACATTTACAGGGACCTAACACACAACAAGCATTCAATAACTGCTATTTTCATCATTTCCTTGTCAAAATCCAAAATGTAGTTAGTCTTAAGAGACCAAGTGTGTCTGCCAATAAAATTTAAAATTAGACAAGATAATGAGCAACCAATATGAAGATTACTAAAAATATTCATTATCTAACACTGGAGTAAGAAAAGCAAATTAGGCTGGGCGTGGTAGCTCACACCTGTAATCCCAGCACTTTGGGAGGCCGAGGCGGGCAGATCACGAGGTCAGGAGTTCAAGACCAGCCTGGCCAACATGGTGAAACCCTGTCTCTACTAAAAATACAAAAATTAGCCAGATGTGGTGGCAGGTGCCTGTAATCCCAGCTACTCAGGAGGCTGAGGCAGGAGAATTGCTTGAATCCAGGAGGCGGAGGTTGCAGTGAGCCGAGATCACGCCACTGCACTCCAGCCTAGGTGACAGAGCAAGGCTTCATCTCGGAAAAAAAATAAATAAATAAATTTAAAAAAAAAAAGAAAAGCAAATTAGCAGAAAAGCCCATACTGATTAGACAATAGATAACAGAGTAGAAGAGAAGAAAAATTCAGGAACAAGTGCCTGAATGAGACTGACAAGCACACTGTGACAGAGATATAACCAGAAAATATATCAAATATTTCCTGTATCCATTAAGATTCCTCCACAATAGATACCTTTGTTTTCAGAGGTTATATTTGCTTTTTTTTTTTTTTCCTTTTAGTTTTGAGATAGGGTCTCATTCTGTTACCCAGGCTACAGTGCAGTGCCACAGTCATGGCTTGCTGCAGCCTCAACTTCCTGGGCTCAAACGATCCTTCTGCCTCAGCCTCCTGAGTAGCTGGGACTACAGGTACGCACCACCACACTTAGCCAATTTTTCTTTTTTTTTTTTTTGTAGATACAGGGTATTGCTATGTAGCCCAAGCTAGTCATGAACTCCTGACCTCAAGCAATCCTCCTGCCTTGGCCTCCCAAAGGGCTGGGATTGCACCTGGCGAAAACCAAAAATGTTCTTAAAATAATAATGCCTTTTTAGTTAGAATGACATTTTCTGGCTAGGTGCGGTGGCTCAGGCCTATAATCCCAGCACTTTGGGAGGCGGAGGCAGGCGGATCACCTGAGGTCAGGAGTTTGTGACTGGCCCGGCCAACATGGTGAAACCCCATCTCTACTAAAAATACAAAAATTAGCCAGGCATGGTGGCATGCACCTGTAATGTCAGCTACTCAGCAGGCTGAGGCAGGAGAATCATTTGAACCCGGGAGGCAGAGGTTGCAGTGAGCCGAGATTGGGCCACTGCACTCCAGCCTGGGCGACAGAGCGAGACTCCTTCTCAAAAAAACAAACGAACAAACAAAAAAAAAAGACACTTTCTGACAATAGCAAAATTACTGTACAACCCATAATTAGAAAGTAAATAAGAAAGAACAGCAAAAGAAAGTACAAATTAAATTGCTCCAATAAGAATTGTTTGCATAAACAATTAATGAAATACAAAGCTTGTCAATCTGCATTGTGTTCTCAATAAGCATGAAAAAAAACACTGTGAGTTAATAATAAATACTCCTCTAATGTCACGAAATTCCCAGGAAGATGCAATAAACCTGAAATCATTCTTCCTGGTTACTGTAGTCCCTATCACATGTTATTTGAAAGAAGATTCTTTTTCCTGGTTTATAACATTGGGTATTTAATATGTAAGCATAGTTTTTGTTTTTGTTTTCATGTGAGAAAACACACACACTTATGAATTAACGCAGACAGGAAGCCACTTAGGGGTCTGGGTTCCAGACCTGATTCTGGCACCAAGTAGGAAAGATGCCTTTGTAAAATGTCTCTGGGCTCCAGTTCCTCAAACTATAAGAGGATAAGAAACCCCACCCTGCTACCTCACAGAAACACTGTAAGCATTGCCAAACAAAAGAACAAACTATGAATGCATCTTTAACTATATTAAATGCTACCTAGATCTAAAGTGATAATGTTACTATCATCAGCAAACGGAGTCATACCAGAAATCCAGGCTTAACTGCTCCTTTGTCTTCCTCACTTCTGAATTATTTGTCATCATTCAAAGAGTTAATTTTTTTATAATAGTAAAATAAAATGTGAAATAAAAATAAGTGATAATACTTAATACACAATGAACCGAAAATAAACATCAACGGCCTTATAATTCTTGGCTAATAAAATTCTACCAAAGTTTTGAAAGTAAACTTAGTTCAAATAACCCAATGTATATTTCATTTGATCCTTTCTCCAACTCTGTGGGAAAAGCAGGATAGGTACTATTATGTTTAATTTTTACAGATCACAAACTAAAATTCAAAGAGGAGGGTGACTCACCCAAGGTCCCAGCTAAAGCCTGGGCCATTCACCCTTCTTCTTATGTAATGTAATGTTCATTCTACTGGTCTGTGTTACAAGTTTTCCCTATTTTCAAACAAACTCACTTCACACAATGTCAAATTTCTAAAGTGATTCAGTAACTTTTTTCTTTTTTTTGAGACACGATCTTGCTCTGTTGCCCAGACTGGAGTGTAGTGGCACAATCACGGCTCACTGCAAACCATATACTCCCGGGTTCAAGCAAGCCTCCCACCTCAACCACCTGAGTAGCTGGGACCACAGGCACATGCCACCCTACCTGGCTTTTTAAAATGTGCTTTTATTTTTTGTAGAGATGGGGTCTCACTATGTTGCCCAGACTGGCCTTGAACTCCTGGGCTCAAGCGATCCTGCAACCTCAGCCTCCCAAAAAGCTGGGATTATAGGCATGAGCCACTGGTTCGGTAATTTTATCATTCACCCGGCCTGGTTCAATAATTTTATCATTCATTTTACATAGCCAGCAAGCTCTGCCTTAAGCAAATGCCACACAGGAGATTGTGCACTCAAGAAGTGAAAGGGCGGCATCTATTGGTAGAAGTGTGTTACTGTAAGGGAAGTAGTTTCAGAGCTTCAAGATTTGAAAATTTCCGTTAACCTCAACAGTTCATGATTTGAGAGGTGGGTAGAAAGAAACACTGTATTATTGTATAGAGATGTAAGGAAAAGAAAGGAAGAAAGCATTAGGAAGTTCTAAAATTGATACCTATGATCACTTTGGTAATCAATTTCCAAGCAGTAATAGTTTTAATTCCTTTGTTTTAGAGTAGTTTTAGATCAGTCCCTCTGGGAGCAAGTATTCTTTGGGAATGTATCTCTGATTTTATAACAGAAGGCAATGGCAAATCACTGGGGGAAAAGTTTAGGTAGTGAAATTTACTCCATGGACAATGTTTCAAGAAAGGAGGGGAAAGTGGAAGGAGGGAGGAGAAGCTGACATTTATGAAGTGACTACAGGTGAAGTATCCCTTAACCAAAATGTTTGGGACCAGAAGTGTTTTAAACTTTGGATTTTGGAGGATTTTGAAATATTTGCATTATACTTACCTGTTGACCATCTCTAATCCAAAAATATGAAATTTGAAATGCTCCAATGAGCACTTTCTTTGACTGTTCAAAAGTTTCAAATTTTAGAGCATTTCAGGATTTCAGGTTTGGGATACTCAATCTGTATTATATTGCAGGCCCCTGATGTGCATTACTCCATTTAACTCTCATATAGGTTCAAAATGTATCCTATGGGTTCTAGTATTACTTCATTTTACAGATGAGGACAATGAAGCTCAGAGAGGAGAGGTAAGTGGCCCACAGCTACTCAGCAAATGGTGAAGTCAGGATTTGAACGCTGAAAGCCTGATTCCAATGATCTTAACTACCAAATCTACTGCTTCTTCACTAAAAGAACAGTCACTTTGGTACACTTGGTACACAACTGCAACTTTATCAAGCCTTCTAAACAAATGTAAAATCTTTGCTATTGTGAATAGTGCTGTAATGAACAACCTAAATGTTCATCAATGATAGACTGGATAAAGAACATGTGGTATATATATACCATGGAATATTATGCAGCCATAAAAAGGAAGGAGATCATGTCCTTCACAGGGATATGGATGGAGCTGGAGGTGATTATCCTTAGCAAACTAACACGGAACAGAAAAAAAAATGCTGCATGTTCTCACTTATAAGTGGGAGCTGAATGATAAGAACACATGGACACATGGTGGGGAACAACACACACTGGGGCCTGTCAGAGGGTGGGGGCTTGGGAGGAGGGAGAGCATCAGGAAGAATAGCTAATGGATGCTGGGCTTAATACCTAAGTGATGGCATGATCTGTGCCATAAACCAACATGGCACACATTTACCTATGTAAAAAACCAGCACATCCTGCACATGTGCCCCTGAACTTAAAAGTTGGAAATTTTTAAAAAAGAAAAAGTAAAATCTAACATTTTCAGTCAAAAAATCTGGATGTATCGAACAACCAATACCCTGAGTTGTGTTTTTTTCTCAGTAGCAGTACAATAAATTACCATCAATCAGCCTTCTCCTCCCTACACTGTCCATTAGAAATCTCAGTAATATCAGCATCAAACTCCAACAGAGAAATGAAGAAAGGAAATGAAACATGCTTTCCATTCCAGCATTACTGGTGCTTGGAGTAGGTGTGTTATCAAAGACAAAAGATGCTAATTGCGTTGTATTTCACTTGAGTAGTGGAGGATCCAGATTTGTATTAGGTAAAAGTGGTCCTGTTGGGAGAGGGAAATGACACCAGGAACACACCTTAGATAATGAGAAAAGTTCTGCATCATGTTTTTTCTTTCAGAGGCACTGGGCTACATAAGCAAATATCACTTTCAAGAGCTCTAATAGAGACCCTTTCTTTGGATGGAGTGGGAAAACTTGCATAAATCTCCTTTGTCTTCTCAACATTTCATGTCCCAGGAATAAGGATTACTGAATTGTCAAGAGTTCGTGTGAGAAAAAAAAACAGGAGGTAAAGCTGAAAAGAAAGACTGAAGAAAATATCTTCAACAGCTCAAAAGAAGAGTGAAAAATATGTGTCTAAGTGAATGAGATCATAATTCAAAAGCGTGGCTATAGATCCAGGAATAAGAAAAATACATTCATCTCAGCTGAAAACTAAAAACTGTGCTTTCTAGAGTAATAGCTAATTTACATTTTAAATTTCAGCCATTGAAACCTTCTTGATGAATAATAAACAACACTGAAGTTACAGTTGTTTTTCTTTTTCTTTTCTGACTTCAAATTATAGAAAAATTAAAGTAACTGAACCAAATCTGGCTTTGGTTGTAATGAGATTCAAACTTTAAAAACTTCAGGTTCTGATTACAGCAATTAGGAATTCCAGGCCTCCAGGTTGTTAACACCTGGCAACATTTTAATGCCTGCGGCAGGCTAACAAACAATGTTTGCCAGGAGATTGATTACTCACTCTTCCTGTGACACGTGATGTTATGACTAGAGTCTTAGGGGCTGCTTTATACAAACAGCACTAAAATGTGGCAGAGGGAGACCTCTGAATAAATCCACTCCTTGCTGTTTAAAAAAAAAAAAAAGCTAAACACGCTTAAAACATGTAACTTGCTTCTCAAAACTGACAAAGCATGAACCTAAAAAACCAAAACAATCATAAAAAATTGCATTCCCTATTTATGAATAGGTTTATGAAGCAATCAACTTAAAAACTGTTGCAAACAACCTAAATGTGTATCATCAGAGGACTGGCTGAATAAACTACAATACATCCTCACAACAGAATACTAAGCATAGGAAAAAAGAATGAGGACTATCTCTATGTATGGCTATGGAGTAATTTCTAGGATATATAATTAACAAAAAACAAACAGAGAAAAGTATGGACAGGACACTACTGTTATCTCAGAATGGTAGTACAAACATACATGTATTTGTCTGTGCGTGCATGCATGCATGCATACATGTGTCTTGTGTATATCTCCCAAACATTAAAAAAAGGAGGAAACAGAGGAGATAGGAATAGAAACTAAATCTGAACAACTTTGTTTTGTAGACTTGCCCCTTGGAACCATATAGTTTATATAATTATAAAGCAAAACAATAAAAAGCAATACCTCAAACAAAAAACAAAATGAAACAAAAAAACCTATTGGCCAATTAAGTTTGTGGCATAACCACGTAGAAATTATTCCCAGTAGCTTTAACATATAATAATTTCATTGTACATCTATATGGGATGTCCCTAAGGACAACAAGCTGCAACACAAATCTTTAACTGTTTTCAGTATTGTTGTCAGAAGTACTGGCATTATTATTCCGAGGCTGACATTTATTGTGAATTGAAAAACAAATGAGTAATTATATTAGAATTGCTGGGAAGATATTTGGCATGGGGGAAAGGATTACAGATGTGGGATGAAAGTGGTTAAGGAAAAAACTAGTAGTATTCAATCTACACTGGAAATAGCATAAGAACGCATGAGTTTGTAATAAACACATTTCCTGGATTCATACATTGAAAAGGCTTAGAAAAAAATGACCTAACTGCAATGAGCACAACTTGCACCCAGACTGTGGTCTCTAATTACCATTTCCCATTTTAAAAACCTGAGTTCCTTAAAAAAAAAAAAAAGGTCTGTTTCCAGGTTTGGAGCAAGACATGGACAAGATGAGCCTGGAACATCTCACATCTCATCATACTAGAAAGCAAGGATGCTCTCACAAACTACCAGGGAGTATATAAAGCATACCTCAATAAAACATTTAAAAGTAACTACTGGGGTTATATCAAGATGGAACCATTTGAACATAAGAAATAGATGAAAGGATTGAAACAGATCAAATATTTTTAAATCCACGAATTTATGATACAAAAAAAATCCCTGGTTATATCTTTGGAGAATGCCAGGGAACCAATACATTATTTTGAAAATTATAATAAAAATCAAAAAATCAAGTGCATATTCTGTCTTTTCTGTATACATTGTACCTGAGATTATCTAAATAATGAAATGCTTCTTTACTTCAATTGGTAAATGGAGAAGAAATGATCAAATGTCACCACTTTGTAACCTCTAATGAAATGGCATCCAGACAATGACCTTCACTGGTTTCTAACAACGGAAAAAGAGAGATGACCATATATCCAGATATTATGAACCTTCTGATGGAAGTATACATACCACCTATGAAATACCCTTGCCAAAAAAAAAAAAAAAAATCGAACCTGATTCTGATCAAGCTTCTAGATCAGCAATTCTCAAAGTCTGGCTTGCAGATCCCTGGAAGATCCCTGACACACTCTTAGGGGACTCTATAAGACCAAACTATTTTCATATTAATCTTAAGACACTATTTGACTTTTCTACTGTGTTGACATCTGTACTGATTACACAAAAGCAGTGGGGGCTAAAACTGTTAGCCTCAGTAGAAACCAAAAAGTGGCACCAAATAGTGTCAGCAGTTATTGCATTCTTTACAGTCACTGGCTACAGTTTTTTAAAAATCCTTAAGAATGTCCTTGATGAAGTAGTAAAAAAGTTCATGTCTTTTTAATAGTATCTATGATGAAATGGGAAGTCCGCATATAGCACTTCTGTTTTAACTGAAATACAATGGTCATTTTGAAGCAAAGCACTTGTGCAATTGAGCTGCAAGCTCAACCAGCTGCTTTTTCCACAGAGCACCATTTTACATGAAAAATGACAAACTGTGAGTATTCAGACTTGGGTATCTGGCAGACATTTTCTCAGAAATGAAAAAAGTGAGTCTGTCACTCAAAGGAAAACAACTAAGAGTGTTGTAGCTGATGATAAAATTCAAACCTTCAAATGAAAATAAGTATTCTGGAAAACTTGAATCTACCACTGTGAGCTTGACAACTTCCCTACACTTAGCTACTCTTCTGATGAGACTGGTCATAACTTCAAGGAATGTGGGGTTTTTTTATATTGTTTAATGAAATGTGCCAACATTTAGAAGATCCATGTAACTGAATGAACCAACATCTTCCAAATGCCCAATGCGTGATGTTACAAAATCATGTGTGAGTAAAAGTTCCACTCAAAATTTTAAAACATCAATGAATTTTAATATACAGAGTAAGAAAATTTCATGAATTTAGTTTTATATTCTACATTGCAACTAACCTATAAGAAACCACTACTTGTTGAGTTTTGGTATAGGGTCAAAGACTATCCACAGTTATCTTAAACAGCTATTACAATAGTTCTGTCTTTTTCAACTACACCTCTTTTTGCTAGGCTAGACTTTCTTCCTATACTTCAAACAGAACAATGTATTACAACAGACTGAATGCAAAACAGATAGGATCATCTATCTGTCTAAGCCAAAAAATTTGAAAAATGTAAACAATGCTATTTTTCTTACTCATTTGTTTTTGTTTTGGGAAAATGGTCATTTTTCATTGAAAAAAACTACATTAATGTATAATTAGCTTTTTTTTTAAGTAAATAAATTCTTTAAACATTTTTTGAGTTTTAATTTCTAATTCAGTAAATATTAGTATAAACGAAAGCCCTCTGGGGTCCTCAATAATGTTTATAAGTATGAAGCGGTCCTGAGGACCTCTGTTCTAGATAAAACTACCAATTTATAAGAAACTCAGGGAACATATTAAATAAGACCACTTAGATGCAATCAGCAATATCCCGAATGAAGGTTGAAACTATATGGGATAACAACTGGGTTTCTCCAACAGTATCTCAGAGTACACGAGCAGGGGTAGCAGAAAGGAAGGGCTTTAAATTAAAAGTGGCTTAAGAGACATATCAACCAACTTCCTATAAATCGCATTTGGATCCTAATTCAAACAAGCTAAAAAATATATATAAATCCAGGAGACTAAACAGTAACAAGGCATTTTTTGGCATTAAGGAAATTTATTACTCCTAATTTGTAAAAGTATGATAAAGGTATTATAATTTTTAAAAGGTCAATAATATTTTATAAATACACATGAAATATTTAGAAATGAGATATGCCTGGGATTTGCTTCAAAACAATCAAGCAGTGTGGGTGAATAGTGGAGGTGAAGGATTAAATAAAACAAGAATAGCTGACTTGATGATTGTTGTAACTGAGTAATGGGACATTAAATTTTACCTTACCATTAAAGGCTGGTAAATTTAAGAATATGCACTAACTTTTAGAGTCACTTTGAAATAAATGAACAATAATTTCACCAAATGTTTTGGGAGAGTTATTTTTGTCTCTATGAAATGGCAGATAAAGTTTCAAATTGTAGATAACTGAGTTCCCAGGAAACATCAAGATGCATTCTTGACAGTATTGACTTAAGCGTAGGCAAATAAAGCATTTCTTCTACCATTTCAATCATGATTTCTAATTATAAATAAGGTAGTAATAATTCTTGCCTCCCAGCAAGTGTCTGATTTCTAACATGTGCAGCCAAAAGCAAAAAGTACAACCTAATAATAAATGAGTAACTGACTATGTTCTGACAATTCAGTAAAGCTTCTTTGTAAAAACCCAAAGAAATCTCAACTTACAATCAGATTTGGAGCCCTGATCTAGGAGAGAATGGTTAAGATAAAGTTTCATGGAATCATAGGTTGTTATCGGCCTCCTGGGAAAAACTCAGGGCTAAAATTTATCCTTCCTTACCACAAAAAGCCAACTGAATGGCTTATAACTATCCAGGGAATTCAAACAATCAATTTTGTTCAGGTTCTGTTACTTTTATCAAATTAATTTTGAATTAACAGTTTGGTGGTTTTATATCCTGATGGACCCATTATCACACAACGTCAGATGGATATTAGCTCTCTGTGCTGCATTAGGACTCCATTTTTAATTTCTCTGATATACCAAGGAAAAAATCTAAAAGAGTACTAAATATTTCCAGCAAAAAAGGGTACATTGGGCATTAATTTACTTCACCTGAAGTTCTCTCCTTCGCTCCCTTCCTCCCCTTTTGCACACATCCACACTGGTAATGCTCCAGCTCAATTACTCAGTACTTCCTGGACCCATGCCACACTCCTTAGTATCCCCACAGACACACTTCATCTTTCAAAACACACTTCCAATGACACTTATTGGTGCCTTCCCTGGGGTTCTTGCTCTCTCTTTTGGGCTCCTACAGCCCCTTCTTTATGTACTTTATGGAGAGAACTTACCAGAATAGCCTAGAAAAATGCCACACAGTACAGATAGTTAAGAGGATGGGCTCTGGAGCCAAACTGCTTTGGTTAAAATCCTCACTGTGCCACTAACTGTCTGTATAACTGTAGTCAACCACCTCCCTTTTAGTCTCAGGGTTTTCTTTTAATTGACAAATACAGTTTGTACATATTTATTGTATACAACATGATGTTTTGAAATACAGTAGTCCCTCCCTTATCCACAGGAGATACATTCTGAAAACCCCAGTGGATGCCTGAAACTGTGGATGGTAACGAACCCTATACATTCAGCTTTTTCCCATACGTAAATACCTATAATGAAGTTTAATTTATAAAGTTGTTACAGTTAAGAATTTATCAATAACTAATAATAAAATAGAACAATTACAACAACAATTCGCGGATGGAAGATTCACATTTGTTCACAATTTTCATGGATGGATGATTCGTTCTTACCACAGATCTTAGCAACCTCAGCATATGGTTTTTCCCCCCTTATTTTTGGTCAAGAACTTTCACCTCTTCTCTTAAAAGAAGCACTTTACATCTTCTCTTTGGCAAGCTGGAATTGCCAGCATCGCTACTCTCGCACGCTGGGGACATTATTAAGCAAAATAAGGGTTCCCTGAACACAAGCACTGTTATACCTCAAAAGGTGATCTGATAACCAAATTGGCTCCTAAGTGACTAGGAGTGGGTACCGTGTACTGCACAGATATGCTGGACAAAGGGATGATTCATGTCCCAGGCGGGATGATGCGCCATGGCACAAGATTGCATCATGTTACTCAGAATGGCATGCTACTTAAAACTTAGAAACTGTTTATTTCTACAAGTTTCCATTTAATATTTTCAGACTGCAGTGGGTAACTGAAACCTCATAAAATGAACCTCATAAGGACATACTGTATGTACATACATTGTGAAATGGCTCAATCGAGCTAATTTACATGTGTGCTACCTCACATACTTACAATTTCTTTGTGGTGAGAACACTTAATTAAAATCTACTCTCTCAGTGATTTTCAAAATACAATACATTGTTTATTAACTAGTTACCATGTTGTACAATAGATCTCTTGAACTTATTCTTCCTATTAAGCCTCAGTTTTTTTACCCCTAAAATGGCAATAACAACATTCCTACTTCATGGGATGGTTCTGAGAGCGAGGTAACATATGTAATGCCTGGCACATAGTACATTTTCAATAAATGTAAGCTATCATTAGTATAATGTATCAAAATCATTTGATTATTTTCTGCTACATCATAAACTCTCTAAGCGTAATGACTATATTTGAGTTTAATTCAACTAGTAGTTGAATAAAATAATGAATGAATTCAGAGACTATGTCTGAGTTTAATTTGAAATGGTGTGCTAACTCTAAGCTGGGCAATTGCTAGGTGTTATGAATACAAAGACGGGTAAGATAAAGTGAAGGCTGTAAAAGATCTCGCAGTCTTATCTATTCACACATAGTACACACAGAGAACCTCAATAAATATAGATTGAATTAATATGTGAGGGCCAGTTACTATCAACTCTTTTTATAGAAGAAGTCATAAGAAATCTGAAAGCAACTTCATTTGAATAAATAGGAAATTTACTCTAAAAGCTAAGGATACTGAAAGCTAATAATCAACAATACTTGCAAAGCTGATAACTGACTGAAAAGTATTGTGGTTCTCTTAATCTGTATATATATAACCTGGTTAACTTTATTTAGACTAAAACCAGAAAAAAAATCTCAATTGAAAGTTTAAAAATGTATCTTGCTCTATTTATTTCTTTTAAGTTAAGCAAGTAATATATTGATATAGTAATATATTCTCTCTCTGTGTAAAGACAGCTAAAACTAAAGTTCTCTCCACAGGTAATGACTTTCAAGTTATTTTTAGATCCTGTCTTTTTTTATCTATGCAGCTGTATGTGTGCATATACATAGAAATGGTAGCATGATTTGTGTTTTATTAAATTTACACAAATTTTACAGTTTGCATTATTTTGTATTTTATCATTATATAATACACTCATATATAATGTAAACTATGCATCCAACAAAGGTGTATATATTTTTAAAAATTTATCTATATTATATATACACACACACATATACATACATAGGTATGTTTCTTAATCCTACTCTTTAACATTGATCTTTTGTTGTTGTTGTTGTTTTAAGACATGGGGTCTCACTCTGTCACTCAGGGCAGTATACAGTGGTGCAATCCTAGCTCACTGCAGCCTCGAACTCCTGGGCTCAAGAGATCCTCCCACCTCAGCCTCTCAAGTAGCTGAGATTATAGGCATATACCACCAAGCCCAGCTAATTTTTTTTCCTTTTTTTTGTAGAGATGGGGATCTCACTATGATACTTAGGCTGATCTCAAATTCCTGGGTTCAAGTGATCCTCCCGCCTTAACCTCCCAAAGTGCTGGGATTACAGGGTGAACCACCACACCTGGCCTATGTTCTATTCTTATGCCAATATCACAGTGCTTTCATTATTGTGGTTTTGTGGTATGTTTTGGTCTCTGAAAGAATAAGATCAACCTTGTTCTTCTTGTTCAAAAGTATCTTGCATATTTTTATGCATTTACACTTCCACATGGGAAGTAAATATGGCATAGTGTTTAAACATCTATTTATCTAAGTTTTCAAATTTAATAATATAAAATTATAAATAATAATCTCTAATCACACTGCCATATTCTGTTTCTAGTAACTGTCTCTCGCCTTTCCCCTACTGCAGTTTATTGGTACACTCTTCCTTTTTAACTTGATCAAATCTACCAAATATCAGGTCCTTTCAAATATCTTGCTGTTGGTTTTTACCAATCAACTTTTTGGTTTGTTTTCTATTTTCATTAAATTCTGCTTTTATCTTTATCCTATTTTTAACTTATTTATAATCTTTCTTGTATTCTAAAAAGAAAATTCATTTAAGGCTATAAATCTTCTTCTAAGTGCCATTGTTTACTGCCTCCCACAGGTTCTGAATTACAGGGATTTGAATTTTGTATAATTCTTATTATTCATTTCTAAATTGTTTATAATTTATATTTTATTTTATCTTTAAAGTAAGATTTAAGAATATATTTTTATATCTCCAGGTGGGATAAAGTGGCTTTGACTACTTTCTTAATGTTAATTTCTAATTTTATTGCATTATAGTCAGGTAACGTGGCCTGATTTCTTTTTTAACCCTTTCAAACATTGGCTGGGCATGGTGGCTCACACCTGTAATCCCAGCACTTTGAAAGGCCGAGGTGGGTAGATCACCCAAAGTCAGGAGATTGAGACCAGCCTGGCCAACATGGTGAAACCCCATCTCTACTAAAAATACAAAAATTAGCCAGGTAGAGTAGCAGGTGCCTGTAATCTCAGCTATTCAGGAGGCTGAGGCAGGAGAATCACTTGAACCCAGGAGGCAGAGATTGCAGTGAGTTGAGATCACGCCACTGCATTACTCCAGCCTGGGCAACAGAGCAAGACTCTGTCTCAAAACAAAAAACAAAAAAAACATAGTAACTCAAAGTTGACGAACACAAGCAATGGAGAAAGGACTCCTTATTCAATAAATGATCCTGAGATAACTGGCTAGCCATATGCAAAAGACTGAAACTGGACCCCCCTCCTTAAACCGTATACAAAAATCAACTCAAAATGAATTAAAGACTTAAATGTAAAACCTAAAACTATAAAAACCCTAGAAGATAACCTAGAAAACACCATTCTGGATATAGGACCTGGCGAAGATTTCATGATGAAGGCAACAAAAGCAATTGTAACAGAAATTAAAATTGGCAAATAGGTTCTAATTAAACTAAAGAGCTTCTGAACAGCAAAATAAACTTTCAACAGAGTGAACAGACAACCTACAAAATGGGAGAAAATTTCTGCAAACTATGCATCCAAGAAAGATCTAATATTCAGAATCTGTAAGGAACTTAAACAAATTAACAAGTAAAAAGCAAACGACCTCATTAAAAATGGGGAAAGGACATGAACAGACACTTCTCAAAAGAAGACATACACATGGTCAATAAGCATGTGAAAAAAATACTCAACATCACTAACCATTAGAAAAATGCAAATCAAAACCACAATGAGATACTATCTCATACCAGTCAGAATGGCTATTATTAGAAAATCAAAAATAACAGATGCTGGCGAGGTTGCAGAGAAATGGGATTACTTATACACTGCTGGTGGGAATGTAAATTAGTTCAATCATGGTGGAAAGCCATGTGTCGATTTCTCAAAGAACTTAAAAGAGAATTACTGTTCAACCTAGCAGTCCCATTATTGAGTATATACCCAAAGGCACAGAAATTGTTCTACCATAAAGACACATGCATGTGTTGTGTTCGCTGCAGTACTATTCACAATAGCAAAAACATGAAATTAACCTAAATGCCCATCAATGACAGACTGGATAAAGAAAATGTGGTACATGTTGACATGGTATACTACACAGCCACAGAAACGAGCAAGATCACATCCTTTGCAGCAACATGGATGAGCTGGAGGCCATTATCCCAAGCAAACTAACACAAGGACAGAAAACCAAATACAGCATGTTCTCACTTGTAAGTAGGAGCTCAACACTGAGTACACATGGACACAAAGAACAGAACAATAGAAATCAGGGCTTCCTTGAGGGCAGAGGGTGGGAGGAGGGTGAGGATCGAAAAACTACCTATGGGTTACTATGCTTATTACCTGTGTGATGAAATAATCTGTACACCAAACCCCCATGACACACAATTCACCTGTGTAACAAACCTGCACATGTACCCCTGAACCTGAAATAAAGGTAAAAAAAAGAATAAAATAGTTGTTTTACAAATATTCCATGTTTTTAAAGTTTCATATATATTAGAAATTTTGTCTATTTTCTGTTTTATCAGTGTTGTTAATTGCGTTAGTTTTTTGTCTAACTGAAATGTCAATTTTGGAGAGAAGAATATTTAAGTCTTCTTGATTAACTTCTTGAAACTATAATTGCAGTATTCTCATTGCTCCTTCTATTTCTATCAGTTTGGGATAAATATGTATGTTTCATATAGGTGCATGACTTACATCTTCTAGATAAAGTATACCTTTTAACAGTATAAAACATATCCTTCCCAGGTAACATTCTTTTGTCTTAAATTCTATTTCATCTGATTTTTTTTTTTTTTTTTTTTTGAGATGAAGTCTCGCTGTGTCAGCCAGGCTGGAGTGCAGTGGCATGATCTCGGCTCACTGCAACCTCCGCCTCCTGGGTTCAAGCAATTCTTCTGCCTCGGCCCCCTGAGTAGCTGGGACTACAGGTGCATCTGCCACCACGCCCAACTAATTTTTTGTACTTTTAGTAGGGATGGGGTTTCACCATGTTGGCCAGGCTGGTCTCAAACTCCTGACCTCACGTGGTCCGCCTGCCTCGGCCTCCCAAAGTGCTGGGATTACAGGCATGAGCCACCATGCTTGGCCTCATTTGATATCAATATTGTTTCACCCACTTTCTTTTAGTGAGTATTTGCCTAGTGTATCTTTTTCCATTCCTCTGTTTTAAACTTTTCGGTTGTATTTTCTTTCCGTTACATCTCTTATAAACAGCATTTAGCCGGAATTTGACTGTTATTTTTATCCAGACTCTTTCTCTTCTAATAGGAGATTTTAGTGCACTCACATTTACTGTGATTACTGATGCATTTACATTTAAACTGCTATCCCATGTGTCACTCGGCTCCAGCCACAATGGACTCCTTTCCTTCCTTACACATAGTCTATGTCTTGCCTCACAGTCTCTGTACTTATTTCCCCTACCTTCCTGTGACTTGCTTCCCCTCTTCACTGATGTCTCAGCTGAATGTCCTGTCTCTCCACAGGCCTTTTCTCACAATATCTCTTAACTGTGCTTTAAAAAAAAAAAAAATTCGCTATTATTACCTGAACTGATACCTACTAGGGTACTGGCTTAATGTCTATTTCCTTCACTGTAAACTCCATGAGAACATGGGCCTGGTCTGTTTTGTTCACCACTGTTGGCACTTGGGCCATCTTTTTTTTATTTTTGTAATAGAGATGGGGTCTCACTATGTGCCAGGCTGGTCTCGAACTCCTGAGCTCAAGCAAACCTTCCACCTCAGCCTCCCAAAGTGCTGGGATTACAGGTATGAGCCACTGCACCCAGCCTGGGTCATCTTAAACTAAAATATTACAGTGTGTTTTTGGAAGATTCATGAGCCAAATTGGATTTAAGTTTACAGCTGTTTGTGGCTTTATGAATGGCAAAATGGGAAGGTCTGAATTCTCACAAAATATTACATTTTTTTCCAAAAAAGTGATCTGCTAATAGAATATGAAATATCAATTTTAGAGACTATTGCATTTTTAAGCACCTTTTATATTTTAATCACTATGTATCTTAAACACTATTAGAAATTTTTGGAGGGGTTTCTCAACTTGGCAAACAGGCAATTCACTTTTAGAAATGAGACAAATATTCAGTTTCAGATGAAAATATGAAGTTTTGTCAGTACAAAATTCGGCTACTCCTGATTAAATTACTTCCTATTTGCCATTTTGGGCAAAAAGGTCATTGGAAAGCAGCAATTCTCTTCATAGGAGGAAACAGAATTATCTTTTTTCATAATTAAATACTATCTGCCTAGAAATCAGAAAGTCTGTAAGAGATTGTGAAGGAGGCTGGGCCCGGTGGCTCACGCCTGTACTCCCAGCACTTTGGGAGGCCAAAGAGAGTGGATCACAAGGTCAGGTGTTCAAGATCAGCCTGGCCAAGATGGTGAAACCCTGTCTCTACTAAAAATACAAAAATTAGCTGGGTGTGGTGGCAGGCACCTATAATCCCAGATACTCAGGAGGCTGAGGCAGAGAAGTGCTTGAACCCGGGCGGCAGAGGTTGCAGTGAGCTGAGATCATGTCACCACTGCACTCCAGCCTGAGCAACAGAGTGAGACTCCATCTCAAAAAAAAAAAAAAGCAACTGTGAGGGAAACATGTTAGCAAGTCTGACACATATCCTTCGTTAAGCTTTCAGGAGATTATTCAGAACTTTCTTCACTCAAAGGACTAGCTCTTTATTTGCCAGATGTCACTTACAAACATACATTTTCCATATTTTATGTGCTTCTTTGGTACCTCCAGTAAGAGTATAGGAGACTCAAAAGGGGAATAACAAGGAAATTTAAAAATCATACAATGTTAATAAAATAGAAATACATCCTTATCTCTGAATTTCTATAGTACCTAATAGAAAAGAAAACAAGAAATGTATATGAAGATATACTACTGTAAAAACCTTTTAGAACAACTTTAGTGGGTAAGAGTCACCAGGAGGACAGGTTAAAACACCAATCAATGGGTGCTGTCCCCAGATATTCCTATTCAGTCTGCCTGGGGTAAGGCCTGAATAACTGCCTTTCTAACAGTCTCTAGGTGATGCTAACACTGCTGGTCTGGGACCACTTTGAGAACCACTGTTCTAGACTATTATTTCAAATGCTTGCTTTAGGATCAAGGTAAAAGCTATGTAACAAGAATATCAACTATGAAGACAGTTTTCATTTGATCTTTGTTGGGAGAGCAGCTCATGTATCTCTCATCTCAATTTTATTGCTTAGTTTGAAATTTTTCTGTAAGAGACTTTTATTAAGTAAATTATCTTAACATTCTGAAGGTACAAATAGAGTAGAATGTCATATATCAGAATAGGCTGGCTCAAGCATATATAAATCCAAACAATTTAGTGCAAGAGTCCCAATATCAAATGCCCCTAAGTGTCAGACAGGTCAGACAGTTAATACAAATGAGTGAAGTAGGTCAAATAGTGTGAAGAATTAGAGAGGTCATACCTAAAGAGGGCAGCTGCCACTCAGCTCCAGACAACCATTAACCAATAATGTAGGTCTACTGTAGCCAGATCTTTCACATTTTCAAAATAAGCTGGAGATCCAACATTTTGTGTAAAATCTCATAAGTTTTTAACATAAGCAACTAATTTTTAAAAATTAAAAATTTAAACACCGTATAGGACACACAGAAAGGTCTGTGAGCTGGTTGCTGCCAGTTTATGACCTCAGATTTAGAAGAAAGTCTCAGGAGGAATACAAGTCATGCAATGTGCTAACCTGGTCACTGTGCACCATGGGCCCACTCCCCCTAGAAGTCATCTACTTCCAAAATAAAAAGTACTCTCTCTAAAAGCTCCTAAAGCTCCTCCGTATAAGTAGCTTGCCCACCAAAACAAGTTTCCTGCCAATGATCTTAGTATGAGAAAACTGTGGCAAAGAGAAATAAATTCTTTACACGTTGAAACTACTGATCCAAGAATAATGATTAGAATTAAAGTTGGGCAAAAGGCCTGAATAGACATTTCTCAAAAGACATACAAATGGGCAACAGTCATAAGAAAAAATCTCAATATCACTAATCATTAGGAAAATGCAAACTGAAACCACAAAGAGCCGGTACAGTGGCTCATATCTGTAATCCTAGCATTCTGGGAGGCCCGGGCAGGAGGATTATTTCAGGCCAGGTGTTCCAGATGAGCTGGGGCAACATTTCCAGACCTCATCTTTGGAAAAAATTTAAAAATTAGCCAGGCGTGGTGATCCATACCTGTAGTCCTAGGTACTCAGAAGGCTGAGGTGGGAGGATTACTACAGGCCAGGAGTTTGAAGCTGTAGTGAGCTATGATCGGACCACTGCACTCCAGCCTGGGAGAATAAGCAAGACCCTATCTCTTAAAAAAAAAAAAAAAGAGAGATATCATCTCACCCTAGTTAGAATGGCTATTATCAATAAGACAGGAAATAACAAATGCTGGTGAAGATGTAGAGAAAGGGGAATGTTCATACGCCATTGGTAGGAATTTAAAGTAATAAAACGATTATAAAAAACAGTATAGAGGTTCCTTAAAAAATTAAAATAGGTCTACTATATGATCCAGCAATCCCACTGCTGGGCATATATCCAAAAGAAAGGAAATCAATGTATCAACAAGATATCTAAACTCTCCTATTTATTGCAACACTATTCACAATAGCCAAGATATGGAATCAACCCAAGTGTCCATCAATGGATAAATGGATAAAGAAGATGTGGTATACACACAATGGAATATTATCCGCCAGAAAAGAGAAAGAAATGTTGTCGCTTCTTTTATTGCAACATGGATATTACTGGAGGTCATTATGTTAGCTACAATAAGACAGAGACAGAAAGACAAATATTACATGTTCTCACTCATGTGGGAGCTAAAAAAGTGGATCCTATGGAGACAGAGTGTAGAATGACGGTTAGCAGTGGCTGGGAAAGAGGTGAAAGAGGGATGAAGAGAAGTTGGTTAAGGGGTACAAAAATATGTCAGAGAGAAGGAATAAGTTCTAGTATTCGATAGTACAGTAGGAAAATTATAGTTAATAATTTATTGTATACTTCAAAACGGCTGAAGATTTATAATGTTCCCAACACAAAGAAAAACGTCTGAGGTAATAGATATCCCAATTACTCTGATTTGATCACTACACATTATGAACAGGTACTAAAATATTACATGTATCCTAAAAATATCATAAACAATATTTTTTAAAATTAAAAAGGATTAAAGTGACTGGGTTTTCAAAATTGCTAACTTCTTTTTTTTTTTTTTTTTTTTGAGACGGAGTTTCACTCTTGTTGCCCAGGCTGGAGTGCAATGGCATGATCTCGGCTCACCACAACCTCCACCTCCTGGGTTCAAGCGATTCTCCTGCCTCAGCCTCCCGAGTAGCTGGGATTACAGGCATGCACCACCACACTGGCTGATTTTTTTGTATTGTTAGTAGAGACGGGGTTTCTCTGTGTTGGTCAGGCTAGCCTCGAACTCCTGACCTAAGGTGATTGACCGGCCTTGGCCTCCCAAAGTGCTGGGATTACAGGCGTGAGCCACTGCGCCTAGCCAAAATCGCTAACTTCTAAAACATTTAAAAACAAGGAAACTAAGCTTAGAAGTACTACAGATTTGAGGATTCTCAAGCATTCTATCACAATAATGATGTGATTTGGTACCCAGTAGTTAAACATCTTTGCCTGAAGACTGGCTAAACTGAGAAATCAGTCCTTATACACATGTTGAAGACAACTATACAGGCAACATGGAACAGACGCACAATAATTCAAATTTCGTAAGTCTACTATGATTAGCAGTGGCAGCCTGGTGTGCTGTGTTAAGAAGGATTCTGAAGCTGAACCCTGATTCAGTGGAACAGATGGGTGCCAAAGGCCTAGAAGAGGAGAATAGTAGCAGATGTGCCCCATAATTTGCCACCTTTGAATAGTAAATAAAAACACTGCACCTGTGTTCAGAAACGCTACAGTTCTCCTATAATGTATTAATACAGCAACTAGAATAATACCTTTTAAATATAAATAAGGTCAAGTCATCCCTTCCAATGGTCTTTCATTCCACTCAAGAGTAAAAGCTAAAGTCCTTTTTATTACACAAAAAGCCCTGCATTATCTCGCTCTCCATTATATCTCTGATATCATTTCCTGCTGCACATCCTATTGATGCCATTCCAAAACAGACTGTTTCTTCGTTGTTCTGTAAACATACCAGCCAAGTCCCTGCCTCAGGATCTTTGCATCTGCTATTCCTGCTGCCTAAAAATCTCTCCTCTAGATATTCACATAGTTCACATCCTCATCTTCTTACCAGTGAGAACTTCCTTGACTACTCTTATTTTTAAAAAACTATGCACACACACACACACACACACACACACACACTCTTTCTGTCTCCTAACCTCCCTTTTGCTTTATATTTTTTACAATAGTTGCTACCATTTAACACACTAAATACTTATTTTCCTTCGCCTAGAATGAAACCTCCATGAGGGATGGGTTTTTGGCTGTTCTGTTAATGACCACATCCCTAGAATAGTGTCAAACACATGACATCCAAAAAAAAAAAAAAAAACCACTGGATAAGTAAGTAAATGAACAAACAGGTAATAAAACAAATAGCCTGGGTTCTATCATGGGTTCAGTGACTAATCAGTTAATTTACCTCAGATGAGTTATTCTGGTCCTCAAAGGATCTCTACCATTAGTTGTATAAACTGTGATATTCCTGCCATTTTATAAAAGTAGAAATTAAGTTATGGAAGAATGGCGTCATTTCCTCTAGGCCAGTCAGTAGTATAGTGGAAAGCCAGAACTAGACAGGCCTACCAGAATTCAAGCCCAATGCCCAATCTAAGTTCTTTTATAAACAACAGAATTATGACAGATGGAGGATCAAACTTCAGAATTTTAGAATGTAAAAATAAAAAGCTCCTGAAGAGAAAAATCTTTTCTAGTAATAGTCAAGAAGAAAATGCAGACTCCTTAGCTTACTTTTTCCCAAAATTTTTATTGCTCTACTCCTTAAATGCCTATGAACATTAATAAGTGTCTATGGTTGAGGGAAAATGTTCCACAGTAGAGAAAGGAAAACACATCCAGTTTTTCATATGAAACTGGAATAATTATACATTCATCCTCTGAAAAAAACTGAGAATAATCCTTTCAGCAGGGTTAAAATTAGGAGAATAGTTAGCAAAACAACAAGGACACCACAAAACAGTGTCAATTGCCCTCCAATCTAATTCTTAAATATAAAATCAAAACCCCAAATAAACTATTAAAGACAGTTGCAATTTCATTTGATGATTGAATACTTCTCTCACCATGAACAATTTCTAACTGGACAAAAATAAAAACTGAATATGGACTTCGAAAGCGAAAAAGATGCCACTAATCAGGGACCAGAGAACTGCCCAAACATCAGTCAAAATACTGTCCTTCAGCTCAGTAGACACTGTCAGGGATGGTTTAGGAGACTCAAAATGCACAAGAAAATGCTTGGGCACTAATGTGTGATATTTCAAATAACTTCCCCTGAAGACATAACCATTTACTTCCAACACTACTTACAAACTCGTAGTCTCCATCCTGTGGTATTTTCCAATCTGAAGAATTTTTCAGTGGACCAGGTACACTCTTGCCAAAGCTGTTGATCTGGTTTTCCTTTTCTTTTTGTTCAAAATATTCAAGAAAGGATGGTTTCGCAGGCTGCATGGTCTCATCCCTTCCTGAAAACAAAGAAAAATGAAAAATGAAAAGAAACATTCTAAATTTTAGGTAAGTTTAATAAATAGACATATCTCCAGATGGGCTACAATCTCTGGATCAGTGGATATTTCTGTTAGATAAAGGACTCCTTCAAGAATCTAGTGAAACTACAAAAAATGCACAAATCCTTGCCCAAAAAATTCTCATGGAATTCCAGAGGAGTTAAGATTTCCCCTAAAATACATTCAGAAATTTCCCTGGGGTCCCTCTTTCTAAATGGAAAGATTTGGGTGATGCAATGATTCTGATAATCTGCAAATAATACATTTGGAGTCTCCCATAGCAAACAGCTCCTATAATATTTAGAATGAGACAGAAGCAAGCAAAAATATTTAGCATCTATCACATACAATATTCTCTATAGGCATTTAAGTAGGAAGAGGGGATGATACAGTAGGGTGACTTTCTTTGATAATCTCATAATCTAACTGGAATAATGAGAAAAACATACATGAAAAAGAAAACATAAATAAATCACAATTCATCCACTCTATGAAATATTAGGTAACTTTAAAAATACTATCTACATATGGCTTACAATAAACTTACAGGAAAAAATAGGATACAGTATTATATATACAGTATGATTTTGACTCTATAAAATCATACATATAGGAAAAAAAAAAAACTAGGGGAAAATACCCAAAATGTTAACAGGGTTTATCTCTGGTAGTAGGACTATTGGTGATTTTATTTACTTCTCATGAACATTTTTTTAAATAAGTTAGTACTGGGTCAGGCGCGGTGGCTCACGCCTGTAATCCCAGCACTTTGGGAGGCTGAGGTGGGCAGATCACAAGGCCAGGAGATCGAGACCATCCTGGCTAATACGATGAAACCCCATCTCTATTAAAAATACAAAAAATTAGCCGGGCGTGGTGGCGGGCGCCTGTAGTCCCAACTACTCGGGAGGCTGAGGCAGGAGAATGGCGTGAACCCGGGAGGCAGAGCTTGCAGTTAGCTGAGATCGCGCCACTGCACTCCAGCCTGGGTGACAGAGCGAGACTCTGTCTCAAAAAAAAAAAAAAAAAAAAAAAGAAGTTAGTATTGAACAGGTATAAAATAAATAGAATTGATTAAAAGAATTATATGTGCCCAGTTCTTGCATGCTGTGTGGTCAGGGAAGACTGGTAAAAGGGGACTTAGATGGGGCCTCAAACCATCCTGGAGAAAAGCATCAGCAGTTACATAGTAGCAGTAACCGTTAAGAGAGCAGAATACAGCAGCTATTAGTTATTAGTAACAAGAGCAGAAAGAATAATTTTACCTGGCATGATTTAAAAATCAAACTAGCTGAATGTACCTGTTTCAAAGGTTGAAGTATCTTTGTGCCTCTGATTAGTATTCTAATACAGGGAAATACAGGAAGTATTTTTCATTGCTTTCCATGAACATAGGGGTTTATACGGCCCTTTCCTACAGTAATCAGGAAAAACAACCAGAAGGCTCAGCACCTTAAGAAGTAGATGAGAAGGTATCTAGAAGATAAAGAACAGCAAGTGTTTCTCTCCAGGCACCCTTGGTCTATGCAATCTTACTTATTTCATGACACTTCCTAGTCCAGTTTCAGGCCAGCCACCCTACCTCTCAGAACATTTGTCATTTTTCTCACTATCACCATTGCTAAGTTCAACAGCAGCCAATCCCGTATCTGCCCATATCCACAGACTGCCAATGGTTTCCTACTACACTGTTTTCTCCTCACTAATTAAGAATTAAATACATTATTTGCTAGGACCAATCAGCAAGTATATGGTGTTTTGTTTTGTGTGCTCTAGGTATGATGTTAGAGCCATGATCATGCAACTGCACTCCAGCCTGGGAGACAGAGTGAGACACGGTCCCAAGAAATAAAAAGGAAAAATCAGTCTTTGACCACTTTATTGTGGTAACAAAAAAGAGCAACTCCTTTGTAGGAAATACAAACAAAAGAGGGTATCTTCTTTCTTAGGAAATACACACTTAAAATTTGAGAGTAAGCTGCATATATCACGCACCAACCTCTCTTGTCTCATTATTTCTGTCATTCACGTCTGTTTATCCATCCATCCATTCATTTTTATATATGCACAGATAAATGACTAAATTGAGTTCATCAATAAAAATGGCGACTTCTGGACAGAAATAACAGGTAATTTAAAACTTTTTCTCCAATGGAATTTACAAAAACCATAAGGGCGTCATTCTTTTTTAAAATGTATTATATCCAACAATAAAACAATATATTTCTATGGTTCTTCATTAATTACTTTCAGTTGCAATACAGGTGGACTTAAGAAATTGAATCTTTAAACCAAGGATGATGAAACACTAAAGATAACATTTCTGTGGTCTAATTCTAAACCATGTCATAAAAATCAAAGAAATGTCTGTTAAGTGAGAATATAATTATTTGTCTATTTCTGTCACTGTTCAGATGAAAAAGTGAGAACATCTGCTTGCCTCATATTTGAGTTCTTCTTTCTTACCAACCCACTTAAAAATTTCTAATTTTTGGAGTTAAAACACCAACTGTTCTTTGTCTCTTTCAACAATGAAAATCCACAAATAAGAAAGTCTATCTAAAATGTATTTGCTTTTACCTTCTGATATCAATACCAGGGACCTGATTATACCTGACATTTATTAGAATTCGAAGTTCCAAAAACTAAAGTGAAATAAAAAGAGAATTTTTTTTATCTAACCACATATTCAGATATAAGCTGTAAGTAAAATGCACATATGTATTAGAAATTTAATTATAGCAAAATGATTAGTTAAAATGTTACATTTATCAGATTGCCAAAAAGCTAAAGTTGATTTTGGAGACAGAAGAACGGAAAAATTCCTCTCCTCAAATTTTATGTTATGTATATTTTACCACAATAAAAAAAAATGGAAAGTAATCCCTATCCTGCAGTTCAAAGATTTAGATTCTGGTTCTGACTACACGATCTTGGTAAAACCACAGGTTCCCAATCTGCAAAAAGAAGACACAGGGCCAGATTATATCTAATGTTCCCTGCAGCTTTGAAAAATTCCGTGATTTTATGACTTGGCAGTAGCATATGAAAACATATTTATGCTCAGTTATTAATAACTATTCAAAAGAAGAAGTTCTTATCTCTAGTAGGATTATGATACTGGATGCCTCTCATCTAAAACATGCTACAACTAGATGTGTACAGGCATAAAGCAAAGACCAAAGTGAAAAATAGTTAAGACTCAAGAAATATTTTAGTGACAAGAGTATCTCTGATTCTTTGGATTTTTTGTTGTTGGTGGTTTAACAGATGGAAGAGGTAACTCAAACTGTAATAAAGATATCGTCTAGAGATGCAGATGAAATATTTTATGGAACTAAAGTGAAAAACTGAATGAACTGACTGATAGGGGAAGCCACCTTAACTGGCAAGAAACAGCAGACATTCAAAAACAATTAGCTGATCCTTGTATTTAGTGATTCCAGAAAATAAATGCCTCCACCATAATGATTCTTTCTTCATGTGTGAGAGTGCTTTACTGACATGTTAAGTTTATATGAAGAAGACAGCAGTATTCCTATTGTGAATAACACTGTCATTACATTGCAGCACCTGTACTAAGTCTGATTTTATAGACTGATAATAATTCTCAGTAAACAGATTTGCATTCCTATCACAATTAGTATCTAAGATAAATTGTTTTTAAAAATGGCCACAACAATTTCCTCTTGGTATCTTCATCCTTACCTTACTCCCTCTCACAATGACTCTGGGCCTGGCTATCTAACCTGCTTTGGGCATTGAGACAATAGCAAATGTACAGCAAGAAGAGACTTAAAAATTCTTGTGTAGGCTGGGCATGGTGGCTCATGCTTGTAATCCCACCACTTTGGAGGCCAAGGTGGGTAGACTGCTTGAGCCCAGGAGTTCGAGACCAGCCTGGGCAACATAGCAAGACCTGGTCTCTACAAATAATAATTTTTTAAAAAAATTAGCTGGGTGTGGTGGCACGCACCTGTGGTCTCAAATATTTGGGAGGCTGAGGCAGGAGGATCACCTGAGCCCAGGAGGTCAAGGCTGCAGTGAGCTATGATCGCACAACTGTACTCCAGCCTGGGTAACAGAGCAAGACCCTGTCTCAAAAAAAAAAAAAGTCTTGTATATTTTACTATAATATAAATAAACCTGATTGAGCCTGCTAGATGGTGAAATACTACGTGGAGAGGCCCAAGTCAACAAATGTCTCAACAAATAAATCAGCCATCCCCAGCTGTTATTGCACCAGCTGACCACAGAGCAGAGCTAACCAGCTCAGACCAGAATTGCCTGCCTACCTGAGTCCAACCTAACTGCCAACTTACAGAATCATGAATCAAGTTAAATAAAATGGCTATTTTAAACCACTAAATTTTAGGGTGGTTTACAATGCAGCAAAAGCTAACTGACACAGTTTCAGTATCTCTATCTCACATAAACATAAACATAAACATAAACATAAACATACACACACACACACACACACACACACACGCATAAACATACACCCCTAAATCTGGAAAAAAGAGTTCTATTCTTTGGAAACTTAGGTTCAAATTTAACTAACATTCACTAAATACCTTCTACATTTCAGGCTTTCTACTAGGTGCTTTCACATAATGGTCTCATCCAAACTGCACATCCAAACTGCATGACCACCATATAAAGTAGAGGGGGAAAAGCCTTACACTTAATAGGCATCTATCAAGTGCCAGAAAATGTACTATATCACTTAATCCTCAAAGAGTCTTTTGAGATATATGTTATTTATTATGCCCCTTTTACAAGTGAGAAATTTGCAGATTTCTAAGCTAGTAACCAACAAGGATGGGACTTGAATGCCAAATGTCAGGTTTTAAGTTTAGTGATCTACATCTCATATTGTACAGTCTCTAAAATCAAAATAAAGATTCTTGACATGTTAGAACTGCCATTAAACTAAGTGCAGAAAGAGTGGGGAAATGTAATTTTCCCAGTAACCTTATCTTTGAACTTTTCTTTCAGCACCCGTTAGCTAGATAGATGATCAAGTGTGCTGGACAGCAGCTTGTCAGGTTGAAAAGTGTAAGAGAATCATTCCAAGCTGATTAAAGGCCATGCTGTCCCCCAGGGCTTCAGCTAGCTTGTGGGTTTTTTGTTTTAACTTGAGCTAGCATATTTTTTCAGATGTATCCCAAGAAATAAAGATGTTCAGCTGAATGATAATACAAGAAACCTAAAGCCGTAGAAAGAATGGACTGAAGAGAGAAATCAAGCCTTGAAAATACCACATCTTGCTCTGATTCTTTTATCTGATGCCGGAAATGCATGAATTCCTATGCTAAGACTGGCCTATTTTTCTTTGTAAGCAGCATTTGTCAAGCTAAATGAACAATCTGTCTAAGCCTACAGACAAAGCAGTGAATTCATAAGCAACTGTATCTTCCATTTATTTTTCTTTGAAAAATGCTACGTAAAAGCAGAAGGAATCAACAACCCAAATGTCTATCAGCTGATGAACAGATAAACAAAATGCAGTGTATCCATACAGTGGAATATTATTCAGCAACAAAAAGAAATAGTGATACATGCTATAACATGGATAAACCTCAAAAACATTATGCAAAATGAAAGACGCCATTCTCAAAAGGCCACATGTTATATGATTCCATTTACATAAACTGTCCAAAACAGGCAAATCTATAGAGACAGAAAGTAGATTAATGGTTGCCTGGGGGTGAGAGGCAAATGAGAAGTGACTGCTAACAGGATTAGAGTTTTTTGAGGGGATGATAAAAATGTCTTGAATTCAATAGTGCTTAAAGTTGCAACACCTTGTTAATATCCTAAAAAAACACTGAATTCTATGCTTTAAAATGGCAAATTTTATGACATATAAATTATATCTCAATTTAAAAATAGTGGCCAGGCATGGTGGCTCATGCCTGTAATTCCAGCACTTCAGGTGGCCAAGGCAGGAGGATGGCTTGAGGCCACGAGTTCGAGACTAGCCTGAGCAACATAGTGAGACCCTGTCTCTACAAAAATTTTTTTTTTAAATTAGCTGGGCATAGTGGTGCACACCTGTAGTCCCAACTATTCAGGAGGCTAAGGCAGAAGGATCACTTGAGCCCAGTTCAAGACTGCAGTAAGCTATGCTCATGCCACTGCACTTCAGCCTGGGCAACAGACCAAGATCCTGTCTCCAAATTAAAAAAAAAAAAAAAAAGTAGAACTTTAAAAATTAGATAGAATTTTAAAAATTAGATTGTGGTGATGGTTGCACAACTCTGTGAATAAACTAAAAACCATTAAACTGTACACTTTAAATGAACAAATTGTATGGTGTGTAAATTATATGTCAGTAACTCAATTTTTTTTAAGCAGCAAGACACCTTTCCTTAACTATTTGCTCTTATTTCTGGATTCATATGAACTACAACATAATGTCTAGGTAGTCATAACTGGGAAGGACCTTGACCAAAGACTGAAGCCCACTGTTCCATTGGAATGACCATCTACTAGACCTTAAACTTCATGACCTTCAATTTCAAACCTTCATTTTCCAGACTGTCACTAAGTAAACCAATATGGTCAACCTACTGTTTCCTTAATTCCTACAATGACTCTTTTCTACTTAAATTGTAATTAATTCTGTGCAAACCAGAGAACTGGGCAGAGCCTGATTTTTTTTCTCTGTTTCATGCATGAATGTTTGCAGGAAAAACAACAACAACAACAACAACAACAACTCTGGTAATCCTGCAAATGTTTTCCTCTGGCTTGGAATAGTATGCCTTAATGTGCAATTCTTATCACAGGGTTTGTTTTTTTCTAACATTTGTTATGAGTGTGTGGTTTTGGGTTTTGTTTTTGTTACCAGGCACCTAAGTGCTTTACATGTATCAGCTCATTTAATTACACTGGTTACTATCCAAGTAGCTGTGTACAGCCATAAATATTCCTTTGAATGTCCTTTGAAACCACTAAGAATTGCTGGAATCATAAGTTATAAGGTTCCCTGGAGCCCAGAATAACTCTTCCAGTTAAGCAGTTTCAGTAACTGCCTCTATATGAATGGACTTAATTTCTGGGCAATGGTGCTCTAGCTGTTTTAATTCTGGTGAACTGAAATATATAAATTCAAAGAGAGCTAAATCCAAAATTCAAAGGATTACTAACTAGAGCAATAGTGGCAGCACATCTAAAAAGATAAAAAATGTTCACAGGTGAGAATGGTCCACATCTTGGTTCTTGCAAGAATTTCCTAATTGGTCTCACCTTTTACAGTCTTTTGAAACTCCATTTTATCACTTTCCTAGTCAAAGTGTCTTCAGATACCCTATTAACAAGAGAATCAGGTTCAAACTCCTTACTTTCAAATTCAAAGTCTTCCAAAATCCAGTCAACACCCACATCTGCTTCGGCCAACCTGAATAATGAAAACACATTTCTACCTTTCTGACTTTGCACCTGCCTGTAACATCCTTCCCCAGCCTTCCTGCATATCTGAGTCATTGCCTTCCTTTTCACAAATCCTTTAACGCTTTCCTGTACCACTTACCTAGCATTTGTCTTAGTATATTATTACCTTCATATGTAGAAGTCCTTTCTCCTACGTCGCATCATTATCAAATACTATTATTTGAAGCGCCTAGAGTAATGCTCTATACACATAAGGAATTAGAACAATTAGAACAGTACACATGCCATAAGTATTAGATAATGATAATGACAAATGTCATCTTCCCCTTTTAATATATAAGTTACTGAAAGCAGTGAATGCCTCATTTGGTTTTCATACTCTACATGTTAATGACACATAGTGACTATTTAATAAATGCTTCTTGGTTGGTATTAAATATTCATTATAAACAAATACTGATTCCAAATTGATATTTATAGAGCATAAACATTTGAAAAGAATCATCTGCTTTTTCTTTATAGATCCACTTAAATTGATATTTAAAAATGTATCTCCATTTTCTTGCTGAACAAAAGAAGGTCAGAACAGCAAGCTTAGAGCAACAGAGAAATAATATATTCCACTAACTGATGAAGAAAGATTTATCTGCCTCTTAGGCTTAAGGACCAAAGTATATTGTTTGTGATTCACTTTCCTATGTTCTTCATTACCATTATGCTACTGCCCTCTCTTGAAAAATGTATTTCCCTCATGGCTGTTCTTGGCTCTCCTTTTACCAATATAACTATACTGGAGTAGCTATCTTTCAAAATATATAGGCCTTGAGCCCTTCACTCAAGTTATACTGAGATCTGGTACTTTCATATCCTAAAATGTGGTCTGGCAGGGTGTTCTGAATGAATTTTCAGGCATCAGGAGTTCTGTGCTTTTTGGCTCATTCCAAAAGAATCAAGAATGCTAATGGTTTCCAAAGATAAAAGGGGGCCCAACATCTGGATACAATAAGAAAAACTGCACAAACAATTAGGATTTAGTCTCCACTCTGGCAGGACAACCTTGAATTATTTTTGAAACTGTGAGAAAAACCTAAGTACCAAGATGTCTGCTCTTCTATTGTAAATCTCACCCACGAGGGAGCTACTGATAAAATGCACAGTGAACCACAGTGGTTATCTTTCGGGGGTGGAAAAAAAATCCAGTCGGTAATAAATTCCACTGTATTAAGATAAGAGGCTGAAACTTTACAAAAGAAGGCTCATGTGTATCTAAAGTCTGGCCCTCTTAAAAATCCGTCACCTTGTATTCTGGGCTATTTAATAGATTCTCAAAACATGTATCATCTTATTGCCAAGGAATTTAAAACACAGACACACACAGACACAAACCACACAGAGCCTCCCTCTCTCTTCTCGGCACAATGGTAAAATGTTACTGAAACTGACAAGTGACCTTCCCTTAGCTCAACCATGTTCATGCCAGCACTCAGGCATTCCTGGGGTGGCACCTACAAAACATCATCAATACCAAGAGCAAAAACTAAAAGTTAGTAAAAAGTTAGTATCAAGAGAAAAGGAATTAGGAAGAAGAAAAGTAGCACTGTTGAAGAAATGTTTACGTCCAATGAAAAAAACACTCTCATACATTAAAAGACTTACTATAATACCTACCATTTTTGAGCATTTACACATTAAATATTTTACACATACAATCTCATATCATCTTGACAAAACTACAAAATAGGAACTTTGGTGCCCCATTTTTTCAGACAAGGAAACTGAGGATCAAAAAAGAAAGAACCTGACCAAGGTGACGTAGTCTGTAAGACCCTGAGCAAAGTTTCAAGCCAAAGACTGATGCTAAAAATCAATGTTCACTCCACTACTCCTTTGTCCTTCTCTTGCCCTTACTCAGAGATAGGGTTCCAACAAAATCAAATGTTTTCAGCTTTAGTTTTGGGGTGCATAACTGGACTAATGCTGTCTGAAACTCTCATGTGATGCTGACTGTGAGTGGCAAGCATACACCAACACAATACTCTGATGATAGATGTTTAAATCCTGAAGGGATCAGAAATTGGACAGTAAGGCTACCGTGGTAAAAGAAGTGTTAAAATACTTGCAGTACTTTATGTCCTAATTACTGTACTTGCAAATGCCATAATCTGAGTCAGTGAGAATAAGACAGATAACACACAAGGGAGACAATGTTCTAACAACCCCTTTCAAACTGCAGATGGAAAGAAAATAGGCTCTGAGTCAAGAATTCCTATCTTATGCAGCTCTGAAATCAGTATCTGATGGACGGTGTTGAAGTAAAATCATTTTGACAACAGCCTAGCCTTTCACCTGATTTCAACATGAGGAAACTCACAGCAACAATAGGTGCCTTCATGAAACTTAGGACTTTCTGAGGAACTATAAACACATAATGTTTTTACCACAAAATACTATCTCAGTAATTTAACTAAAACATGTCTCTTAGTTGCCCTAACTTAATTATGTCATTATGCTTTAAAATTCTGTTTCAAAGAGATTAATGTGGCTGTTGCTCTGGGAGAAAAATTAGAATCTTATGCACTAAGTACAAGTTTTAAAGAGGAATCATCATCTCACTCCCTTCAATTCACTGAATCTAATTTGAAGGCTTGGTCAGGGGAAACATTCTTTCAATTAGTAGTCCAAGTTCTGCCTCCCATTGACCTATTAAGCCTGGAGATGAGGAGGGGTGACCAGGGCTATGCATCTCTTGGGAATGTGGTAAGGACAAGAAAACCATGACATTATCGCCAATGAATCCTGAGAGGAAGAACCGCCGCATGTCAAATCTTTAGTGGATGAGTACATGTTACTGCAAGTGGCCATCCTTTGGCTTGTCATTTCCTCATGAGGGGCAAAAGCATTTAACTGCTAAACTACAAGTCTGTGCAAATCAAGCTACTTCAGTTGCTCCAAAATGTTTTTGTTATCTTTGCCACTAAAAAAAAAATATTTTTTTGCTTTCAAATATATACTTTTTAAATATTTAATAATGTTGTGAAAGCTTGGATTCTTTCTACATCAAGTATAAAATTAATCCTTTCCATTTTATTTTATTTTATTTTATTTTGAGACAGTCTTGCTCTGTCACCCAGGCTGGAGTGTAGTGGTACGATCTTGGCCCACTGCAATCTCCGCCTCCCGGTTTCAAGAGATTCTCCTTCCCCAGCTTCCTTAGTAGCTGGGATTACAGGCACGCCCCACTACACCCAGCTGATTTTTTGTATTTTTAGTAGAGATGGGGTTTCGCCATGCTGGTCAGGCTGGTCTCGAACTCCTGACCTCAAGTGATCCACCCACCTCGGCCTCCCAAAGTGCTGAGATTACAGGCATGAGCCACCACATCCTGGACCGTTTTCATTTTAGCTCTAAATATTAACACCCTATTTCATAATGATCAAATAAAACAGAAGAAATTCTTCTGCTTTAAAAAAATGGTTGCTTGAAAACGGATAATGGTGAAACTATTCTTCTGCATATTAAGATAAAAGAAAGAGAAAATATATAATTTAATATAAAAGAGAAAATATGCAAAAAATTCCATCATTTTCACAGTACTACCAATTGTATTCAGTGCCACCAGTATATTATTTTGGATGACATATGTGAGTAATACCAAAATTAACAAAACCCACAACCACACAGTGACAATTTTAACAATTTAACAATTTTAACAAATCTCCAGAAGCTAAAAGATCAAGTATCAAAAATTGGTAAAGATAGACAAATGAAAGACAATTAGCAACTGATTGCTAATTACAGATTCCTGCACCAAACAATTAGAAAATACATTATTTTTAAGACACACAAAGCACATTTAATGAAAATTAATAACATGTTAGGCCACAATGTCTCAAAAAATAACAAAGAATTGATATAACAGACCACACTCTTCAACCACAATTCTATAAATTAAAAATTTTAAATAAGCAGTTTTTAAAAATCATACATTTGCTATTAAAAAACACTTCCGAATAACTCATGGGTTAAAAAATAAATGTGTATAGCACAAGCACTACACACTGGAAAAAAATATTTACAATATACCACATATGAAAATGTATGGAATACAGCTAAAACAGAACTAAGAGAAAAAGTTACAATGTTGATTAAATGTATTAGTAAGCAAGAAAATTAAAAAGCTAACTATTCAAATTAAAAAAAGACAAAACAACATTAATTAAAGAATTTTTTTTAAATAAAACCTCTTAAACTAAAAATAAACCAAAACTTATTTAGCCTGTTAAGGGGTATCGACCAAATTCTGCTGCAAAATCAGACTCCATGGTAAAAAATCCCAAGAATTTTCTTTAAAGTGAGCAACAAGACAAGAATGTCCACTACCAGCTCTACTATGCAACACTGTATTGGAGGTCTTAATAAGAAAAAAACCTTGGCCAGGCTTGGTGGTTCACACTTGTAATCCCAGTACTTTGGGAGGTTGAGGAAGGAGGATTACCTGCACCCAGGAGTTCCAGACCAGCCTGGGCAACACAGGGAGATCCCATCTCTATAAAAAAAAAAAAAAAAAAAAAAAAAAAAAAATCACAGGTGTGGTGGCACATGCCTGTGGTCCCAGCTACTCAGGTGGCTGAGGCAGGAGGATTGCTTGGCCCCAGGAATTCAAGGCTGCAGTGAGCTAGGATCGCGCCACTGCATTCCAGAGTGAGACAGTGCCTCAAAAAAAAAAAAAAGAAGAAGAAGAAGAAGAAGATTATATATAAAGATCAAAAGGAAAAACTATAATCATAATTCATAGACAATAAGACTGTCTCCATTTTTTTAAAAAGGCAATCTCCATAAAACCTGTTACAATGAATAAAACAGTCCATAAATATCTACAGTAGTTGTCTATAGAAGAAAAATGTTAGAAACAAAAGTTTTTTAAACTATGCCATTTGTAATAGCAACAAATAAGTATCTAAAAATAGATTTAACAAAAAGCTCTAAAACATCTTTGTTGGTACAATTATAAAATTATCTAAGAATATAAAAGATAGACCAAACAGATTGAAAGATAAACCATGTTCATGCATAGAAAGAATTAACACAGAGATGGCAATTCTGCCTAATTAATCTGTGTATCCAATGCAATTAAGTCAAAATTCCAGTAGTATTTTATAAAATTTGATATACTGATCCTAAAATTTATATGGGAGAGGCCGGGTGCAGTGGCTCACGCCTGTAATCCCAGCACTTTGGGAGGCTGAGGTGGACGGATCACGAGGTCAGGAGATCGAGACCATCCTGGCCAAAACAGTGAAACCCTATCTCTACTAAAATACAAACCATTAGCCAGGTGTGGTGGTGCGTGCCTGTAGTCCCAGTTACTTGGGAAGTTGAGACAGGGGAATTGCTTGAACCCAGGAGGCAGAGGTTGCAGTGAGCTGAGATCGCGCCACTGCACTCTAGCCTGGTGACAGAGCAAGACTCCATCTCAAAAAAAAAAAAAAATTTGTATCGGAGAAGAGTGATATAAATTTCAAGAAGTAATCTGTGATGAAAAGAAAAATAAGGGGATGGGAAATCTATTGCAGACAAATAGTCAAAGAAGGACTGAGAAGGTGACAGGATCAAAGACCTGGATAGAGGGAGGAAGCAAGTCTTTCAGATGGAAAAATAAAACAGACTACTAGAGCTCATATTGTAAACAAAAACAAATTCCTGATCTATATCAGGAATATATATATTTTTACTGTTATTTACTGTAACATAAGCCTTAGTCCTGGCTCCCAACAACTTGACTTAAAAAAAAAAAAAAAAATATATATATATATATATATATGTATGTTCTACACAAGAACTTTCAAATCAGTTCTACACAAGAATTATTAGGTTTTTTAAAAAATTTATTCAGTTATTCAAGTAAGGCCATTTTAGCTGATTACAGTTTAAAAACTATATGCATGGTACCATGCTACAGAAAAAGAACACCAATTGTGTCAAGTCCACTGAGAAATCTGGGAAGGGAGAGAAAAAGTGACTATTTTGAGATGTTTTGGCTGACTTCTTATTTGAACTTTGCCAAGTATGAGGTATCCAATCTCCCAACTAAATAAAATAAAGACATTGCCCTAGTGTCACTGCGGTTACTTAAAATACACTTAAGAATGAATAAGTAATGGTCTTGTTCTAGCATAAAGGCTACTTTTATATAAAGGGGATTTGTGAACTCAAATGGGAACACGATTATAACCCATTAACTTAATACAGAGCTCCCTCTGCTGGCCCAGAGAATGCACAATGATCCTAACACTGACACAGACCCTCTCATGTCACTTCAATAATGTGTCCTGCTGTTTGGGGAGGTAAACAAGGCTATTCTAGAGCCCTTATTCAAAAACAAAAACAACAACAAAAACAAGAACATATCTAGACAAATAGAAGAAGCCTTCCAAAATCCCCAATCTAATATTTTATCCAGACAGAGGTTTTCCAAGTAACGTGGACCATGGTTTGCCTCTTTCGTTCTCACATGTATGCTTGAGGCCACTTAAAATCAATCAAATCCCACCTTAATCCCTTCTCTCCAACTGCAATCTGACTCCTTCCTATAGATTCAGATACATACATCCAAAACAAATTCCCTCAGAGGTAACAATATCATTAGCTTATCAGAGGCATGCTCCCTTTGAAAACCATCTGTCCTTTCTTTCTGGAAATACTGAGGACATATGTAGAGTAACTGGTTATCAAAATAACCAGCAAGGAGAAGTACATTACTACAAGCTGAGACTCACCAACACATGATCTGTAACATAAGCCTTAGTCCCAGCTCCCAACACTTGATAAAGGGGCTCTGCTAGAAGTAGTATAATCTAATGATTCAGAACATAACCACTGAAATCAAACATATCTGGGTTCAAATCTTGGCTTCTCTATTACTCATTATATAATCACAAGTATGTTACTTAATCTCTGCAACTGGGTTTCAACTGCTATTAAACAGGGAATGGTTCAATTTACCACACAGCATGGTTGTAATGATCAAAATATGTGAAATGCTTAAAGGATAAATCACAGTGTGTGGTATATATTAAGTGCCTAATCACTAATAATTATTATTAGCAGTTATAACATCTATCCTATTGAGTATAACACATAAGTTACATATAATAAATAATTGGGAGGCCGGGCGCGGTGGCTCACGACTGTAATCCCAGCACTTTGGGAGGCAGAGGCAGGCGGATCACAAGGTCAGGAGTTGGAGACCAGCCTGCCCAATATGGTGAAACCCCATCTCTACTAAAAACATAAAAATTAGCCAGGTGTGGTGGCATGCACCTGTAATCCCAATCTCAGGAGGCTGAGACAGGAGAATTGCTTGAACCCAGGAGGCAGGGGTCGCAATAAGCCGAGATCGCACCACTGCACTCCAGCCTGGGCAACAGAGCAAGACTCCGTTTCAGAAAAAAATAAATAAACAAATAAATAATTGGGAAGTCCTAGCCAGAACAACCAGGCAAAAGAAAGAAATAAAATGCACTCAAATAGGAAAAGAAGAAGTCAAACTATCTCTCTTTACTGACAATATGATTCTATACCTAGAAAATCCTAAAGACTCTGTCAAAAGGCTACTAGAATTGATAAGCACATTTAGTAAAGTTTCAGGATAAAAAAATGTACAAAAATCAGTAGCATTTCTATACACAAACAATGGCCAGGCTGAGAGTGAAATCAAGAACACAATCCTACTTACAACAGCCACAAAGAAAATGAAATATCTAAGAATACAGGTAACCAAGGAAGTGAAGGATCTCTAGGAGAACTACAAAACACTGCTGAAAGAAATCAGAGACAACACAAATAAATGGAAAAACATTGTATGCTCACGGATAGGAAGAATCAATATAATTAAAATGTATATACTCTCCGAAGCAATTTACAGATTCCATACTATTCCTATAAAATTGCCAATGACATTCTTCACGGAACTAGAAAAAACTATTCTAAAATTTATATGGAACCAAAAAGAGCCCAAATAGCCAAAGCAATCCTAAGCAAAAAGAACAAAGCCAGAGGCAGTGCACTACCTGACTTCAAACTATAAGACTATAGTAACCAGAATGCTGTTCTTGTACTGGTACAACAACAGACACATAGACCAATGGAACAGAATAGGAAACTCAGAAATAAACCTGCACACCTACAACCAGCTAATCTTCGACAAGGCCAACAAAAACAAGCAATGGGTAAAGGACACCCTATTTAATAAATGGTACTGGCATAACTGACTAGCCATATTAAGAAGATTGAAAGTGGATCCTTATCTTTCACCATATATAAAAATTAAGTGAAGATGGATTAAAGATTTAAATGTAAGACCTCAAACTATAAAAATCCAAAAAGAAAACCTAGGCGATACCCTTCACAACATTGGCCTTGGCAGAAAGTTTTTGGCCAAGTCCTCAAAAGGAATGGCAACAAAAGCAAAAATTGACAAGTGGGACCTAATTAAACTAAAGAGCTTCTGCACAACAGCAAAAGAAACTATCAACAGTGTAAACAACCTACAGAAAGGGAGAAAATATTCACAAACTATACATTCAACAAAGGTCTAATATCCAGAATCTATAAAAAAAAAATTTACACAAATCAACAAGCAAAAAACAATTCCATTAAAAAATGGGCAAAGGACATGAACAGACACTTCTCAAAAGAAGACATACAAGTGGCTAACAAATACATGAAAAAATGTTCAGCATCACTAATCATCAGAGAAATCCAAATCCAAACCACAATGAGATATCTCATACCAGTAAGAATGGCTATTACTAAAAAAAAGGTCAGAAAACAACAGATGCTGGTGAGGCTATGGAGAAAAGGGAATGGTTATATACTGTTGGTAGGAATGTAAGTTAGTTCAGCCACTGTAAAAAGCAGTTTGCTAATTTCTCAAAGAACTTAAAACACCAATCCCATTACTGGCTATATACCCAAAGGAAAATAAATCATTTTACCAAAAATGCACATGCATTCATACGATGAGTTGACCACCACACTATTCACAATAGCGAAGATATGGAATCAACCTAGGTGCCCATCAATAGTGGACTGGATAAAGAAAATATGATACATATACGCCATGGAATACTACGCAACCATCCGTGTAAGCAGCCATAAAAAAAGAATGCAATTAGGCCAGGCGCAGTGGCTAACGCCTGTAATCCCAGCACTTTGGGAGGCCATGGCGGGTGGATCATTTGAGGTCAGGAGTTCGAGACCAGCCTGGACGACATGGTGAAACCCTGTCTCTACTAAAAATACAAAAATTAGCCTGGTGTGGTGGTACATGCCTGTAATCCCAGCTACTCAGGAGGCTGAGGCAGGAGAATTGCTTGAACCTGGGAGGCAGAGGTTGCAGTGAGTCGAGGTCGTGCCAACGCACTCCAGCCTGGGCGACAGAGCAAGACTCCGTTAAAAAAATGCAATTATGTCCTTTGCAGCAACATGGATGGAGCTGGAGGCCATAATTCTAAGCAAACTAACACAAAAACAGAAAACCAAATACCGCATGTGTTCACTTAGTGGGAGCTAAACACTGAGCACACATGGATATAAACATGAGAATAACAGACATTGCAGACTACTAGAGGTGAGAGGGAGAAAGGGGACCATGGGTCGAAAAACTAGCTACTGGGTCCTATGCTCATTACCTGGGTATAATATATTTATGCATCAAACCTGCACATGTACCCCCTGTATGTAAAATAAAAGTTGAAATTTTTTAAATAAATAAATGAATAAACAATTGTTTCGAACAAACAAAAGCCATCCCTGGATTCTCAGTGAAAGACAGCACCAGAATCACCATAACTATGATGAGTTTTCTATTATGGATCTAACGCCTATGAATATAATAGGCAACCAAAACAAATCAGAAGCTCTGTGGAATGAAGAGAGCATAGACTCTGAAGTGCTTTCTTTTTTTTGTTTGTTTGTTTTTTGAGATGGAGTCTCGCTCTGTCACCCGGGCTGGAGTGCAGTGGCGCGATTTCGGCTCACTGCAACCTCCACCTCCTGGGTTCAAGCTATTCTCCTGCCTCAGCCTTCCGAGTAGCTGGGACTACAGGCGCCCGCCACCATGCCCAGCTAATTTTTGTATTCTTAAGATGGGGTTTCACCATATTGGCCAGGCTGGTCTCGATCTTCTGACCTTGTGATCTGCCCGCCATGGCCTCCCAAAGTGCTGGGATTACAGGCGTGAGCTACTGCGTCCAGCCAACTCTGAAGTGCTTTCAATTTCCAGCTCCACCACTTACTAGCCATGTGACCATGAACAAGCAACAATCTCAATCTCTCTGAACCTGTTCCTTTATAGAGAAAGTGGAGAAACATCATCTCTGTAGACAGTTAAGATAACGGAATGAGCTGAAGTGCTAAGGCCTCCCCTCCTGTTATAAACAAACAGAAACTCAAGACTTAAAAAACAAACAAACAAACAAACAAAAAACAACCCATAGCGCTCAGAACCAGAAAACGAAAACTTCCAGATGCCAAAAGCGGGAAAGAAACCCACAGCACTGAGCCGAGTGGCCTACTGGGAAAACCAAATCACAAGGACTTTAGCTTTAAGGCAGATGTGCAAATAGCAATCAGGATAAGGCAGAAGGCAAGACATACCTGTTAAAGGGGAAGCCAGAACTCAATTCCCAGCATAAAGATAGGAGCCAGGACAATACTGCCCAGAAGCTTAAGAAGATGGCTTAAAAATGGCTTCTGCTTCGGTAGGTAAGAGGTGGAAAAAATCAACTTCTAGAAATACAATTCCCTTGGCTGTACCACAAGTCCAATGTGGAACTGAGAAATAATCTAAAGACTGCTCTAGAAAGAAATACCCCATAGGGCCCTAGGGATGCCTGTACAACCCAAGGAATACAAAGGACCTCCGAGCAAGATAATTCTCACCAAACATAAGCTCAAAAACAAAATTTACAAAGTGTAAGAAGAAATGTAACAATATGAGAGATAACAAACACAATAAACAGAAAAATTAGACCCAAAAAACACAAAATAATAGCAGGATCTGAAAGTTTTTTTTTAAAGGGAAATTGAAATGTTCAAAGAGATAAACAGAAAAAAATCTGTAAGACAAGCCCGGAGCAGTCGTATGCACCTGTAGTCCCAGCTGCTTGGGAGACTGAGGTAGGAGGATGACGAGCCCAGGAGTTCAAGACCTGCCTGGACAACATAGCAAGACCACATTTCTGGGAATAAATAAATAAATAAATAAATAAATACATCCGAAACAAAATGAAACAAAAATAAAATAAAAAAGGAGAAAAAGAAATCCTAGAAAAAATAATAATAATAGAGAAACCAAAGAGAATTTTCTAAAACTGAATAAAGTCCTGGGTCCTTAGATTGAAAAGTACAGAGCCAGAAGAAGCAGAATTAGAAGGAAAAAAAAAATCCAACATAGAGACAATAAGTTAAAACAGAAAATATTCAGGAAAATGAAAAAAAGAGAAAAAAGTAAATCATCTAGAAAAGAACAATATTGACAACAGAATTTCCATCACCATCAACAGATACCAGAAAATATCAAAATGATCTCTTCAAAGTACAAAGAGAAAATAAGAGTCCACTTAGAAATCCATGCCTCAGTAAACTATATTCAAAAAAGAGAAAAAAATTAAGACTTTTATTAACCATACAAATTATAAAAGTTTGCTACCCATTACATCCTACTGAAAGGAGAAGAAAAATGAGCCCATAAGATAAAGTATAAGCTTAAAGAAGCAAAGGTAAGCAAACATATTAGTAGCTCACTATGTTCATAAATTGTATTGACTCTAAATAATGATTATAGTAGCTAACGTTTTGTTTTTTTTTTTTTTTTTTTTGAGACAGAGTCTCGCTCTGTTGCCCAGGCTGGAGTGCAGTGGCGCGATCTCGGTTCACTGCAACCTCCGCCTCCCAGGTTCACGCCACTCTCCTGCCTTAGCCTCCCGAGTAGCTAGGACTATAGGCGCCTGCCACCATGCCCGGCTAATATTTTGTATTTTGTTTAGTAGAGACGGGGTTTCACCATGTTAGCCAGGATGGTCTCGATCTCCTGACCTCGTGATCCGCCTGCCTCGGCCTCCCAAAGTGCTGGGATTACAGGCGTGAGCCACAGCGCCCAGCTGCTAATGTTTTTTAAAAACCTGGTGAACCAAAGCAATAGACAACAATAACAAAATATGAGAGAGGCAGTTTGAAAAAAAGGCGAAGTGTCTTAAATCCTTTTTCTTATTCAGGAAGAGGAGAGAGATACTGATTAACTTTGAAATTTATTAGGAAAGTAGAAATTTAAGTAAGCATATACTTATGCATACACTTTGCCAGTTGGTAGAAGAGAGTGGAGAGAGGGGATTAAGGTAAGGGAAAGGAAGTGATGGCGGTGAGGACTCAATCAATCCAACAGAAGGAAAGAAAGGAGGCTGGGCGCGGTGGCTCATGCCTGTAATCCCAGCACTTTGGGAGGCCAAGGCGGGCGGATTACGAGGTCAAGAGTTTGAGACCAGCCTGACCAACATAGTGAAACCCTGTCTCTACTAAAAATACAAAAAAAAATTGGCTGAGTGTAGTGGCATGCACCTGTAATCCCAGCTACTTGGGAGGCTGGGGCAGGAGAATCGCTTGAACCTGGGAGGCGGAGGTTGCAGTGAGCCAAGATCGCACCACTGCATTCCAGCCTGGGCAACAGGGCAAGACTCCGTCTCAAAAAAAAAAAAGAAAAAAGAAAAAAAAAAAGGAGAAAAAAAGGATTTCATGACAAAAATATCAAAAGCAATTGCAACAAAAGCAAAAATTGACAAACGGAATCTAATTAAACTAAAGAGTCTCTGCACAGCAAAAGAAACTATCATCAGAGTGAACAGACAACCTACAGAATGGGAGAAAACTTTTGCAATCTACCCGTCTGACAAAGGTCTAATATCCAGAATCTACAAGGAACTTACACAAATTTACAAGAAAAAAAAAACCATGAAAAATTAGGCAAAGGACATGAACAGGCATTTCTTAAAAGATTATTTTTTTTTTATTTTTATTTTTAAGGCTAGTCAAGTGAAACAGTGGGAGTGGAGAAAAACAAAGA
The DNA here is from genome assembly GCF_000001405.40 of Homo sapiens. Classification (NCBI taxonomy): domain Eukaryota; kingdom Metazoa; phylum Chordata; class Mammalia; order Primates; family Hominidae; genus Homo; species Homo sapiens. Next base: position 45,004,409 of record NC_000020.11, on the reverse strand, counting down.
AAAAATTGGTTGTGGCCGGGCGCAGTGGCTCATGACTTTTAATCCCAGCACTCGGGGAGGCCAAGATGGGGGAATCACTTGAGGTCAAGAGTTCAAGACCAGCCTGGCCAACATGGTGAAACCCCATCTCTACTAAAAATACAAAAATTAGCCAGGCATGGTGGCACACGCCTGTAATCCCAGCTACACAGGAAGCTGAGGCAGGAGAATCACTTGAACTCAGAAGGCAGAGGTTGCAATGAGCCAAGATCACACCACTGCACTCCAGCCTGGGCGAAAGAGCAAGACTCCGTCTCAAAAAAAAAGAAAAAACTGGTTGTGATCAATTAGTTGTAAACACCACTGCACTCGGACTAACCAACAGTTATCATTTTTTTAAAGACATTTTTAGAGGCCGGGAACAGTGACTCAACCTGTAATTCCAACACTTTGGGAGGCTGAAGTGGGCAGATCATGTGAGATCAGGAGTTTGAGACCAGCCTGGCCAACATGGTGAAACCCCATCTCTACTAAAAATACAAAAAAAGTAGCCAGGTGTGGCAGCACACGCCTGTAGTCGCAGCTACTCGGGAGGCTGAGACAGGAGAATCACTTGAACCCGGGAGGTGGAGGTTGCTGTGAGCCAAGATCGCACCACTGCACTCCAAGCCTGGGCGACAGAGTGAGACTCCGTCTCCAAAAAAAAAAAAAAAAAAAATTTAGAGACGTTTTAGGTTCACAGCAAAACTGAGAGGAAGGAAAGGAGGGTTCCCATATCCCATATACTCCCTGCCACACATGCATAGCCTCCCTTAACATTTATAATTTTAATTTCCAAGGATAAACATTTCATAGAGGTTCAAATAAGGAACTAAATGAAAGTCTATCCATTTTCACAAATTTTAACCTCTAGAAATTTCAGTTCTGCAAGTCATGAATTACACAATTTTTATAAATGTGTTGACTATTAGAGGAATAAGGGACAATGAAAATAAACAAGTTTAGTAATAATTTAATTTTACTGATTAGGGCACTGAGACCCATAGGAGGAAAGTGAATTATCTAACACCACATAGATCAGTATCTGAGCCCCAGGCTTGTACCTGGTCCAATATTAAATATTAAATCAGGCCAGGAGAGGTGGCTCACACCTCTAATTCCAGCACTTTGGGAGGCCAAGGCAGGATGATCACTTAAGACCAGGAGCCCAAAACCAGCCTGGGCATCATAGCAAGACCCTGTCTCTACAAAAAATTTAAAAATTAGCTGGACACACCTATACATACTCCCAGCTACTTGGGAGACTGAGGTGGGAGGATAGTTTGAGCCCAGGAGATCAAGGTTACAGTGAGCTGATCATACCTACTGTACGCTAACCTGGGCAAGAACAAGACCCTATCTGTTAAAAAAATAATAACTTAAATAAATACTTAAAATCAATTATAAAGAAATGGTATGATGACTCAGATTTACTTTGAATTAATTCATTTTACTATTTTCTAGAGTTATTATCAGAAAAAAAAAAAAATCTTGCCCAAAATACCACTGATGTCATAGCATGTCCTATAAATCAGGACTTTGAAGCCTGCATTACCTTAAGAATCTTTTTTACCCCTTACTCCTCTCACTGCTTTTCATGGCCTTAAAAATGAATACTTTTACAAAGTGTTTACTAATTGCTTTTTGGTGAGGTGGGGCTGAAATAAGACGGGCAGTGAGTTGATCATTGCTGAAGCTGAGTGATATAGGTCTATAGGGGTCATTATATTATTCTGTGTAATTGTATGTATGTTTTAATTTTCCATAATGATAAATTTAAGTAACTCCTAAAACAATAAGGAATTTTTAAAAATCTCAAAATAAGTGGCAAATCTGTCAAATCTGTAATCCAAAAGGGAGAATTACAAAATCTGCAACAGACTGTCTGTGAACAAATTGTATTTAATGTTACTCAGACTGTGACTGCTTAGGTTTTTAAACAGTTCTCTTCATGATTATAATAAAAGATGCATGTTTCTCATTAGACATGCTAAAACTATCCAGTTCTGAAAACAAGTTCAGAAACTGAAAAGAATAAACAACTCATTGAATTAGCATTTGAATTATGAAAATCACATTTGGAAAAAAATTAATTCTTTAAATAAAAATGGGCACAATTTCCCTAACACGTGCATGTACAACACATACTAACAGGTTGGCCTAGTTGTATTACACAGCGGTTATAATCATCTACATAATTAAACCCCTTAAGACAAGTAGACAATTTAGTACTCAGAGTCAATGAAAATAACTAGAGGTCAGTAGCTCATTACTGCAAAATGAACATTACTAACAAATCATACTGGCTACTTTTAAAACAGGAGGGGAGGAGAAGGGCAATCTAGTACATGGCATTTAGTTGATAATTTGTACATCATCAAACATGGGATTTCTACAGTGCCTTAATCTTGAGTTTAGGGGATGAAACATAAAGCACCACGAGCACTGAATGACACAAGAATTTCACTCTAAGATAGGAGCTGAACACAAGATGTTAGGCCTAGTCACAGGCAAAAAAGGATCAGCCAGATACGGACAGAAGCAGAGATGAGTTTAAACTAGAAGAAACTGGATAGAACTTTTCAACTTGTACAGTCATCTTTCATTGACTGACAGTATTGGTAAACTTGGGTTAGACCCAAACTGTCATGAAAATAAACTGAAGATGTATGTACAGTAAATAACTCAGAATGTCATTACACCTTCACAGGAATTATGCATCAAACAATGCATGTGCTTGCCTCCAAAGATCAAGGTAAGGAAGGAAAATAATAACAACATTCAATGAGAAAATGGCTGCTCTGGTTCAAAAGCAAAATTCTTTCTCACTGTTGATGCTTTCTTGACTTTGACTCCACAGGCCAGCTTTCCCCCTCACCAAACCTCCTGTCCCCATCGCAAACTTCCAAGTTTTCTACTCCTTTGGTTGTGACAAAAGAAAGAACCCAAGGCTAAGCCTGCATGAACCATGAGAATCTGTCTTCTCTGAAATATGTATGCTTGGTCTAAGAAGTCAGTGAATTTACTCAGAGCCTTACTTTTCATAGTTCCTTCCTCTTCCTCATCCTCTGCATTGATCACCATGGTGCCCAGTTGTGATGGCAACGTGTCATCGTGCTCAATCATAGTATTGGCTCCATCAGTCATGGTGCTGGCTACTCGGACAGTGCCCATCTCATCACCCACTGCTCGAACCATCGTGCCAGAATCCATTTCATCCTCTTCCTGTAAAAGGATACAATCTCAAATTGGGGCTAATTTGACAAAAGACTTTGAGTTTTCTGAATAACTACTACCTGTCTTAGTGAAAATATTTCGAGATTTAACACTTATTCAGGTCCTAAACTCACCTTCCAGAAATGAAAGCGCTGTTACTTAAGCAAAGAAGACAAATTTATCCACGTGATAATAAGCAGTGTATCTAACCCTAAAGGAATTCTTCCTCTACTCTTCTTAATAGAGTTTTGTGACATAGATCTAAGAAACTCATGTGAACATCTTTGGAATCTCAGGGTTGTGAAGAAGTCTATAAATGTAAAAGCTACATGTTAAGTATGGATCCCAGATTCCCCAAAAGGATATGAAAAGCCAAGTCCCAGACCTGAGCATTCTCTCTCTAAAATAAAAAGTTAAATTGAGTAAAAGAGGGGCAAAGAGTAAAATTTAAAAGTGTTTTAGGAAGCACTGGGAGAAGAATAAGCACAGATACAACAACCCTCTAGCATGCGTTGATCCAGGTTAGGACATAGTTATGCTGGAAGCATCTCCAGCTCCAAGTTGATCCAATACCTCCTACTCATCTTACCTGGTTTGGCAATCATAAAATAACAAGCATCAATGTCTGAGGCCCACAGCAACGGCTGCCACTCACTGAGTTTTCTTCATCGTCCTGGTCCACTTCCCGCTGCTGGGATTCCTGGCGTTTCAGTTTCACATCCATGGCTTCATTAATTAAGTCTCGCAGTATTGACACTCCTTTGGCACTCCTGACAAATGGGTGCTAAAAGAACAAAGTAGAAAATACTGGAGACAGTTTATATGGTGACAGTGCCAAAACAGTACCTGGAACACAGTAGGTACTGGATAACATGTGTTGAATCAATCAACGAATCTGATCTTTCTCTTTGTGCTTCGGACAACAGCTAAACCACACTCGCTTTATAACTCTGAGTAGAGCAAATTCAGTCTTTGCCTATCTTTTTCAGCCTGGCTGAAATGCCTATGCCATTTCTCTCTGTCAAATCTAGCGATTCTCAATAGGGAGTATCATCTCCTGGAGGAACTTGTGTAAACATGTTGGGAACATGTTATAGCTGCCACAATGTTTGGTGAGCACAAATGGCATGGGACATTAGCAATTTTGCAAAGTACAGAACTGTCCTGTACGACCATGAACTGTGGCAGATTCTGCACATTTTTCAAATGTCTCAGGGTGTGTATACACCTTAGTAGATAATACTAAAAAAATGTTTTCAAGAGATATGCAAAAAGGCCAGTGATTTGGGAGGTGATTTTAGAGAGGGGAGCTTAATGGAATAAAGAAATTATTTAGAAATCACTGAAAAATCTACTCATCTGACTTGTTCTTTCTATGGTAGCATTTCCAACTACACATTTAGGTAAAAAGGATTTTAGTGCAAAAATGCAGTTGCTGCAGACATACTAAAACTGATCATATATATGTAACAGATTTTGACCCAAATATTATTCAATCACCAAAGATACTTGAAACAAAGGGGTATTGCTGAATTTCATTAATAAAATTTGCTTTATAAGTTTTTAATATTAATACCATCATATGTTTTTATTGTTTGTATTTGTAGCACGTGATAAGAAATCTATGCTGTGAAAGTTACATATGGAAATTCTTTTTGGGGAATTGCCTGTTGTCTTCCAAACTTACTCCAATATTGTCCCCATTGTTTCTTGGCAATCCATTCTCTGTTCTCCATCACCCGTCAAAGGATACAAGTTCCAAGTAAGAACTCCAGAGATGGACAGTATACCTCAAAATGTGGTCAGAATGCAACACAGGAGATACATTTCCGTAACATTTTGTCACTACCCCATCCAGGTAGAAAAAGAATTTGGCAATCCACTTAGAAATAAGACCCAGCTCATTTGCAATAATATCATATTGCCTTGTTCTTTCCACTTAGAAAATCTGTAAGATCATATCCCACCTTCTGTAATAAGAGACAAATAAATCTGGCCTGTTATTATTTAACATCAGTTTCATGCTAGTGTCCACTCATTCTTTTTACTGTATTTCTTAAATGGCGTAGTTTCTGATTTTCTTTTCCTTTTCTTTGTTTTTTTTTTTTGAGATGGAGTCTTGCTCTGTTGCCCAGACTGGAGTGCAGTGGCACAATCTCAGCTCACTGTAACCTCTGCCTCCCGGGTTCAAGTGCTTCTCCTGCCTCAGCCTCCTGCTGGGATTACAGGCATGCGCCACCACGCCCAGCTCATTTTTGTATTGTTTTAGTAGAGATGGGGATTCACCATGTTGGCCAGGCTGGTCTCAAACTCCCGACCTCAAGTGATCCGCCTGCCTCAGCCTCCCAAAGTGCTGGGATTACAGGCATGAGCCACTGCACCTGGCTAGTTTCTGATTTTCTTACAGCTCTTAAATCTAAACTCATTCATGATGCCAGGCACAGGTATCTATTTCATTATGTCTGCAAACTGGGTCAGGCTGAAGTAACTGCACGTTGAAAGCCATATTATTTCATTATAAATTATCTTTATTTTTCTCCATCACATCATAGACAATATTGATTCTTTTTAAATTATGGGCATAAAAAGGTTTTATTATATGTGAGTTTCATTCCAGAAAAGTAATGAGAGTTTTTAAATATATACATTGGTTATAAAAAGGGGGCACTGGGTCTGAAATGACTGCAAACGGTTGGCCTAGCCCAATTATAATAGCTAATATTTATCACGTTCATACCATACTGTCTTCAATACATGTGAACATTGTTCAAAGTAACACACATTATATCATTTAATCATCACAACACATGAGGCAGGTACTGTATCCCCATTTCACAGATCACAAAACCAAAAGAACAGAGAGATTAAGTTACTTGCCCAAGATCACAAAGCTAGTAAATTGGGAGCCAGGATTCAAACCTGGGCAATCTGACCAGGATCCAAGCTCCTAACCACTAAGCATACTGCCTGCCACATGCCACCTGTCCTTCAAGGACCAGGCCTAGAAGCTACCTCCTCCAGGAAAACACTTTTTGCATCTCCAGTCCAAAGAGGCCTTCTCCCACCCTGAACTACAACAGTACCCACCACTGCTCTTAATTCTTTGTCAGACTCGGGTAGACTTGATGGTACCCCTGCTTTGGAATAAAAAAGGCTCAAGTTCTAATACTGACTGTGCTACTTACCAGCTGAGTGACCCGAAATGAGTAAACCTCCCTAAGTTTCCATTTTTTATCTATAAAACTGAAATAATACCCACCCTTCACAGGGTCTATGTGATGATTAAATGGCACATATGCAAAGTATGTGGCGGACAGCAGGTACTCACTAAATGTCAGTTCCCTTTCTCTAATCCCATACTGCCCTGTATTTTCTTACATTATTGTCTTGTTCAATGATTTAACATTCTTTTCTACTCAAATAGATTCAAACCTCCCTAGAGGTAGAGAATGTCTTAAACTTCTTTTACTTTGTTTTTCGAGATAGCGTCTCACTCTATTGCTCAGGCTGGAATGTAGCAGCACAATCATGCCTCACTGCGGCCTCAACCTCCTGGGATCAAGAGATTCTCCCACCTCCCACCTCAGCCTTCCAGGTAGCTGGAACTACAGGCATGCGCCACCACACCTGGCTAATTTTTTGCATTCTTTTTGTAGAGACATGGTTTCACCATGCTGGCTGGCCTCAAACTCCTGGGCTCAAGCAATATACCTGCCTCAGCCTCCCAAAGTGCTACGATTACAGGCGTGAGCCACTGCACCCAGCCTGCCTTATACTTCTTTACTATCTCCACGTAGGTGACCTCATGGCATCTTTTGGTCAGCAAGTAAATGAAATGGAGCGAGATGGCATCACAGGGTGATTCATACCTGCAGGAGCTGAGTGGCTGTGGCCCTCTGCTCAGGGCTCTTTACAAGACACTGTTTCACAAAATCTGTAAAGTTATCTGACCATAGCTCTGGTTTTCGGAATGTGGGAGGAGGATTTGTAGGAATCATGAAGATTGCCTGGTTAGAACAAACAAACAAACAAAAAGATCTGGTAAAATAAAAGTAATGCTCCAATAAAAAATACATGTGGAATTACATTTGAAGCTTGGTAAATGATTTTTCACTTACCCACTGAGAAGCTCACCCAAATTCCAACAAAAGTCTAAGCATCTGATGGTTAAAGAACCTGATATATCTCCCTCTCTCCTTTTCCCTCTCTCATATATGGGTCTTGTTCCCTAAACCTCACAACATCAATCAAGCTTTTTTATTATTATTATTTTGGTAACCACAGTACATTGCCTTTCAAAGTAGAAAGGCGAGACCTAAGAGTATCTACATCCTAAAGATAACCTTGACCCCATAGTTGTCAAGTTTCCCTGCCTCTTAAAAGTTATTACCACCCCCAGATGTCAGCAGCAACTACACAATAAGGTCATCAACCAGAAGTCCCAAAAATCACAATGGGGTCATTAACTTCCAAAGTAAGCTAAATCAACGCATGTGTGAGGGGGAAAAATTAAAAATTGGCCCACTACGTTGCAGTTACATTCTACTATGTCCAAAAATAAGACTATTATTTATTAAATTTCCAATTTTAAAAAAGCCATGTTTTTTGAAAAGTAAAACACTATACAAATAAGCAGCTTAAATTATATTCTTTAAATCTAAAATTGTAACTAGTAAATCTCCTCACTCCTTCTCCCAAAAAAGAGGGAGGACTTACCTTGGGAACATGAATTTGTGTAAGTCTTTTAATAGGAGAATTAATTAGTCAGAGAAGAGGAAGAGCTGTGGTAAGGAAGGATGGAGAGGACCACAGAGCCCCTGAGGAAGGCAGGGTTGGCGGGGGGGTGTATTACAACAGTGCTGTGATGAAGGGTTCTGGGACAGTTAAGCCTGGGAACTGCTTAGGGTGTGAGCACTGGAAGAGCTTCACTGGAGATGCATTCTATGGGCCCTTAACATTCTAGAAGGAGACAGGGGTTGGAGAGTACACAGCCTCCAGATGAAGAGGATATGGGGATCTACAAACCAAAACTTACAAATTCAAAACACCTATAGGGGCCAGGCAGAAGAAAGATAAAAAATGAACAAGGCTGGGTTTCAGTGACATGAGTTCAAAAATACAGTTTGCTTTCTTCTTAACACTATTATAAGAAAAACATTAGAGAAATACTGTAATAAGTGGCAGCTAATACTTGGTGACACAACAGGGAATCATGGAGACTGATAAAGTAGAGAGTTCATACTCTGAACCACTACTCAGCTCTAGTGAATGTTGACATGTTAAAATGTGGTTGTCTAAACTATTCAAAATGAGTGAGTGACAGACAGAGAGAGAGAGTAGCACAAATCAAACTAAGCATTTCTATGGCCTATGTCCTGCCAGAGGGCTATCAATACACAACCTCTGGAATGGAGAGGGGTGGAACACACTTAAATTAATTAATGACTACAACTAGAGTCAGTAGAGGTGTATCATCTATAGCGACACTTACAAATTTACACATAATTCATTTATTGTTTGCAACTTAAACAAGTAAGCCATTGAACTTTTTTTTTTTTTTTTTTTTTTTTGAGATGGAGTCTCACTCTCTCTCCCAGGCTAGAGTACAGTGTCACGATCTCAGCTCACTGCAACCTCTGCCTCTGGGGTTCAAGTGATTCTCATGCCTCAGTCTCCCAAGCAGCTGGGATTACAGGCGCACGCCACCACACCCAGCTAATTTTTGTATTTTTAGTAGAGACAAGGTTTCACCATGTTGGCCAGGTTGGTCTCAAACTCCTGACCTCTGGTGATCCATCCACCTCAGCCTCCCAAAGTGCTGGGATTACACGTGTGAGCCACAACACCTGGCTTGAACTTCACTTTTTAATGATGATCAGTAACTAACCACCCCACTGGCTTTCTGTCCACTTTCTTACCCTCATTGGATGGATATCAGCATAAGGGGGCTTTCCTTCAGCCATTTCTATGGCAGTTATTCCCAGGGACCAGATGTCTGCTACACAGTTGTATCCAATTTCCTGAATCACTTCTGGAGCCATCCAAAATGGTGTTCCTATCACTGTATTCCGCTTGGCCATGGTATCCTAAAATAGAAAGGGAGAGAGACTGACACTAAGCTTAAAACTACTGAGATGTCCACAGAGGAAGTCTACAGAGAAAAAAAGAAGAAAAAAAAAAAAACTACTGAGAAAAAGAGGCTTTTCCAACAATAAAAAAATGCCTTGTACTTGAAATACATATAAAAACCATACTCTGAGCATGATCAAGCAGGCATAGAAGAAATTCAAATGACAAAGAAACACAAAAAGATTCTCAATCAATTATTAAAACAAAAACTAAAATGACTGACAAAAAATTTTAAATTAATAATTAATGCTGATAATAGCATAGAAAATCAGGCACCGAAATAAAATGTTACTGTAGTATAAATTGGTACATTTTAGTACATAAGTTGGCAATATTTATTCAACTTTTAAATATTCATATCCTTTGATCCAAATCTATTTCTTGAAATCTATCTTATGTTCAAGTATCTCAAACGATATGCACAAAGACTGTAGAAATGTCTGTAATGGGGGAGATGAGGAGGAAAAGGAAACAACTCAAATGATCATCAAAAGATAGTAAGTTAAATATAATAAATAACCATATACTGAAACACCATATTAAAAAGAAAAAAAAAAGAAGATATATACCTTTTCCTAGCATGAAAAAAATGCACAACATACATTACAAAGCAAAAAAAAGTTGTACAATTATATATAATATAGCCCTGTTTTTGTAAAAGGAAAATATATATAATAATGATGATCATAACAATAATAAAACAATAACCAATAATATGAAACACTGTTATATCATAGCACAAAAAATCTGGAGTAATACACACCAAACCATTAATTATATCTAGTAGGCAGAATCACTAAAGATTTTTACTGTCTATCCTGTATACATCTGTAACATTCTGAAGGTTTATATGAGCATACATGTGCAATAAAAAAATTTTAAACTTGATATATAAAAAATAATATACAAAATATCTTAGTTTATGGGCTAAAGAAGAATATGTGGATACAGTACACATTACAGCAAATAACCACTTGCATACTTTCTCAGGATGGCATGGCCCTACTGAAAGAGAACCTCCCTACAGTTCCTATGCTTTAGCAAAAGAAGGATTTTTTTTTTTTTTTTGAGAAAGAGTTTTGATCTTCTGCCCAGGCTGGAGTGAAGAGGCACAATCTTGGCTCACTGCAACCTCCGCCCCTGGGGTTCAAGCGACTCTCCTGACTGAGTCTCCCAAGTAGCTTGGATTACAGGCGCCCACCATCATGCCCGACTAATTTTTGTATTTTTAGTAGAGACAAGGTCTCGCCACATTGGCCAGGCTGGTCTCAAACTCCTGACCTCAGGTGATCCACCTGCCTCGGCCTCCCGAAGTGCTGGGATTACAGGCATGAGCCACAATGCCCAGCAAAAGAAGAATTTTTAAACAGAACTAAATACGAAAAAGGACTTCCGATCATCATCACTGATATTCCTTCTGAAATGCCTGTGATTTAGGCTATGCCAGTCAGAAGCAAATGACAGGTCATTTAAATCAATCTCATTGTCAGTCCTATGTAAAAAACTAACACAGGAACTAACTTACTGCTTAGTCATTTCCTTAGCTCTGAAACTTCAAATTTGCAAGGGTGTTTTCAAATGGTGATAGTCAAAATTGTTTTCACTGGATTATTTCAATTAGAAATGGTTACTTGGATAGCTAGAAAGTTTTTGAAAATTAATAAGAGCAATGAGTGTACACTAACCCCACTTAGATTTGTATTATAAAGTTATATTAGTACAATAGCATAGCAATAAAAAATATAAAGTCCAGAAGTTCACTATGGCATATGTGTATATGTATGTGTGTGTGTACATATATATCATATATATGTATATATAATAACCTGTTATATATACCACATATACATATGATTTATGATTAAAATGTCATTTAAAATCAGCAAGCAAAGAATAGATTATGAAAAAAAAAAGCACTGGGAATCTAGTCATTTGTAGAACTCTACACTTAAATGCCTACCTTATACTTTCACCAAAATAAGTTCAAATAAGTTGAAATTTTAAACATAAAAAACAAAGCCCAACGAATACTTTAAAGAAGTACATTAGACAGTCAGGCACGGTGGCTCATGCCTATAATCCCAGCACTTTGGGAGGCAGAGGTGGGCAGATTGCCTGAGCTCAGGAGTTCGAAACCAGCCTGGGAAACATAGCGAAATCCCGTCTCTACTAAAAGTACAAAAAATTAGCCGGGTGTGGTAGCAGGTACCTGTAATCCCAGCTACTCGGGAGGCTGAAGCACGAGAATCACTTGAACCTGGGAGGTGAAGGTTACAGTGAGCCAAGATTGCGCTACTGTCCTCTAGCCTAGGTGACAGAGCGAGACTGTCTCAAAAACAAAAAACAAAAAACAAACAAAAAAAAAACAGTACATTAGCCAGGCATGGTGGCACATGCCTGTAGTCCTAGCTACTTGGGAGGCTAAGGTGGGAGGATCACTTGAGCCCAGAAGTTCAAGATTACAGTGAACTATGATCATGCCACTGCACTCCAGCCTGAGCAACAGAGCAGGTGTGCTGGCTTATACCTCTAATCCCAATACTTTGGGAGGCAGAGGCAGGAGTTCCGGACCAGCCTGGGTAAAATAGGGAGAGCCTATCTCTATAAAAAATGTTAAAATTTTAACTGGGCGAAGTGGCACACACCTGTAGTCCTAGCTACTTGGGAGCCTGAAGCAAGAGGATTGCTTGAGCCCAGGAGTTTGACACCACAATGAGCCATGATCATGCCACTGTACTCCAGCCTGGGTGCCAGGGCAAGACCTTGTCTCAAAAAAAAATAAAATAAAATAAAATAATAAAAAATAAAAAAAACATAGATTAACCATTCTATAATGTTAAGGAGAAAAGGATTTTTTAAGCATGACATCAAAGATAGAAACCATAAGATAAAAGGTAGATGGATTTTTCTATATAAAATTTGGAAACTTATGTAGTATTTTTTTAAAAAGCCATAATCAAAATTAAAAGACAACTAGTAAACTAGAAGATATTTCAGCATATACAAAATAGGAGTAACAATTTTAACATAAATTTTTTTAGTTTATCTTTTTTAATAAGATTTATTTAAAAGATGCAACACTCAGCCAGGCACAATGGCTCAAACCTGTAATCCCAGCACTTTGGCACGCCAAGGGGGGCAGATTGCTTGAGCTCAGGAGTTTGAGACCAGCCTGGTCAACATGGTGAAACTATGTCTCTACAAAAACTACTAAAAATTAGCTGGGGGTGGTGGTGTGCGTCTGTAGTCCCAGCTACCCAAGAGGCCAAAAGTGGGGGTATCACCTAAGCCTGGTGGTTGAGGCTGCAGTGAGCCGTGATTGTGCCACTGCACTCCAGGCTGGGTGACAGAGCAAGACCCTGTCTCCCAAAAACAAAAAAAAAAAGTACAACATTCAATTAGGAAAACTGACACAAAAATGAACATTTACAAACGAATTTTTATAAATGGCCAATAATTAAATGCAAAAATATGTCAACTGCTTTGAGAAATAGCAGGGAAGATACAAGTTGCTGCCCATTCAGCATTAGCAAATATGAGGGGAAAAGAGCACATTTATATACTGAAGTTGGAAACTGAAACTGTTCACTTCTAGAAGAAATTCAGCACTATGCATCAAAAGCACTTTGCCAATATACATTCACATATTTTCTGACCTAGATTCCAATGTAAATAAATTATCCTAAGGATTTACTCAAGGAAATGCTGAAAAATTTAGTTGCAAGAATGTTAATCACAGAGTTTATGTTTATAGTGGTGGGAAAACTCTAAGCAACCTTAATGGGCACCCAACATCCAACTGTAGGGAAAGAGTTAAATAAATCATGCTATATCCATACAATGAAATACCCATGTTGCCACCAGAAATAATATTACAGAGTCTTGGGTAAAGATGACAGCTTGAGCAAATACATTTTACTTTCACTATCTCTCAAAACTCACTCAAAAAGATACTAAAAGGATTGTTTTTTAAGAATAAATCTACAAGAATAAAAAAACAAAGGGGAAAATAACTACAGCCACAGAATTTTAAAAGCTGGAGAGCAGATGGCCCAATAGTAACTAACTGAACAGACTATCAGATGGAATCCTCAGTCAGTCGCCAGGAAAACTAGGAAACAACCTGATTTTAACACCAACCCCTCCAAAAGACTTAGAAATTGGTGGCATCAGGCAGAGAAAAGAGGGGTGAAAACGGACATCCAAATAGGAAGCCTGGGTTGAAAGAGTTAAGAAGCAGCTAAGCACCCTAAACCTTCCTCTCCCATCAAGCAACTAGTGGGCTTCCCTCGCCCCACCCTGGCATTAGACTGGAGGTGTACTCTCTGGGGAGTGAAACCGAGGATCTCTAGACTATAGAGAGTGTGGGTGGTGTTGTGAATCAGGAACATTAAATGAGCATTAACATGTTAACAATCCCCACTGCCACCACCACCACCACTTCCCAGAAAGCTGCCAACAAGGCCTACAGCCTCTAGACAAGAGACCGGAGAGGGGCCTAAACTTAGTAGTACTGGAGGTTTCACAACCAAACAGCCAAGTCAGATCATCTTGTACTACAGTTTCAGTTTATTTTAGTGAAGGAAAAAAAATCTCATTTTTTTTAACAAAACAACATACATGTTCACAGTTAATTTAAAAAAAAAAAAGTCCAGCAAGGTGCCAGGACACAAGATAATATACAAAAATCAATTGTATGTTACACTAGCAATGAACAATCTGAAAATAAGGCAAATCCATTTAAAATAGTATCAAAAAGTACAAACTACTTAGGAATGAATTTAACCAAATACATGCAAAACTTGTACACTGCAAATTATAAAACATTGCTAAAAGAATTAAAGAAAATCTAAATAAATGGAAAGACAGCTTATATTCATAGATCGGAAGACAATATTGCCAAAATGGCAGTATTTTCAAGCTGATTTACGATTCAAAATAATGTCTACCAAAATCCCAACGGCCTTTTCTGCAGAAATTGACAAGCTGATCCTAAAATTTATGTGGAAATACAAGGGACCCAGAATAGCCAAAACAATCTTGAAATAGAAGGACAAAGTTGGAACACTCACACTTAACCAACTTCAAAAATTACTTCAAACTTACAGTAATCAAGACAGCACAGAACTGGTGCAAGGACAGACATATAGGTCAATGGAATAGAATTGAAGGCATAGAAATAAACTCATACATTTCAACAAAGAAAAAACAGTCTTTTCAACAAATGTTGGAACAACTACATATCAACATATAAAAGAATGAAATTGGATGCCTATCTCACACCATGAAAACTAACTCAAAACAGATTACAGATCTAAACATAAGAGCTAGAACCATTAAACACTTCAAAGAAATCATAGGAGTAAATCTCCATGACCCTGCATTAGCTAATGATTTCTTAGATGTGACACCAGAAGCACAAGCAACAAAAGAAAAAAGAAACTGGACACGACCAAAATTTAAAAATTTTGTATTTCAAAGGACACCTTCAAGACAACCCACAGAATGAGAGAAAATATTTGCAAATCATGTACATAAGAGACTTATATCTAAAATATATAAAGAACTCTTAATTCAACAATAACAAGGTAAATAACCCAATTAAAAATGGGCAAAAGATTTAAATAGACATTTTCCCAAAGATACCCGAATGTCCAATAAGCAGAAAAAATGACAGTCGACATCACTAGTCATTAGTAAAATGCAAATCAAGACCACAAAGAGATACTGCCTCATACTCACTAGGATGGTTATAATCAAAAACACAAAAAAGAAAATGTTGGCGAGGATGCAGAGAAGTTGGAATTCTCATACATCAGCAGGGAACACAAAATGGTGAGCCACTTTGGAAAACAGTTTGGCAGTTCCTTAAAAAATTAAACACAGAGTTACCATGTGATCCAGCAACTCTGTGTATCACATGAAAACAACGGTTCACATAAAAACCTGTACACAAATTTCACAGTAGCATTATTCCTAACAGCCAAAAAGCAGAAACAATCTAAATATTCAACTAATGAATAAGTAAACAAAATGTGTTACAGCCACAATGGAATATTACTGAGCAATAAAAAGGAATGAAGAATTGATGCATGTTACAACATGGATGAACTCAAAAACATTATGTTAAACAAAAGAAGCCAGAAACAAAAGGGCACATTATGTATGATTCTATTTATATGAAATATTCAGAATATGCAAATCTATAGTGACAGAAAGTAGATTAGTGGTTGTCAAGGGCTGGGAAGAGAATGGGGACTAACAGCTAAAGGGTACAGTTTATTTTGAGGATGATGAAAATGTTCTGGAATTAGACATTGGCAATAGCTGCACAATTTTGTGAATATACTAAACACTGAATTGTACATATTAAAAGGGGAGAAAAATTCTGCCAAGGCAGGCATTATAGCAATAAGAACACTGTAAGTCATTATTGGGTAATCAATCAATTACTAAAATTAGTAAATGGAATGGATACATATATATATATATATATATATATATATATATATACACACACACATATATATACACACACACATACATACATACACATTTTTTTTTTGAGATGGGGTCTCACTCTGTTGCCCAGGCTGGAGTGCAGAGTGCAATGGCGCAATCTCCCAGGTTCAGCCTCCCAAGTAGCTGAGATTACAGGCGTGCGCTACCATGTCCGGCTAATGTTTGTATTTTTAGTGGAGATGGGGTTTCACCATGTTGGCCAGGCTGGTCTCGAACTCCTAACCTCAAGTGATCCTCCCACCTTAGCCTCCCAAAGCGCTGGGATTACAGGCATAAGCCACTGCACCCGGCCAATATTATATTATTTTATAGACCATCAGAGGGTGTATTTTTTCAATTTGGTTTCCTGACTAAGACTGTGGTTTAGGTAATATTGTCTGGTACTGTTTACTTTTGTGTTAACAACAAAACCTTTTGGAGAGCCCACAAATCATGATACTGAATAAGGTTCTGATTTATTTTAAACATCAAAGCAATTTCTGTGCTGTTACAATACCTGAGGCTCCCTAACATGTCCCAGGCAGACTTATAATAAAAAAAAAATAATAAAAAAAAAACCGTACATAACACCAGTTCTAAACACACACTATATATATTCATTCTACCACCCAAGAAAACCACTTGATATGTAATATTTTTGCAAATTTTAGAGTATACCTGCCTAAAACTATTTCTATTTTTCTATATATACTTTCATATATACTTATGTAGAATCAAATAATTCTAGACTTCCTATTTTGAAAACAAGTTTTTTTTTTTCTTTTTTCACTTCCATGCACTAGTTAGGCAGGAGAAGAATCAAGAGACTGTATCCTGGACTCAAACGAACAGAGTGTTTTCAGTACAGTAACTGCCAAGTACTACCTGGAAGTTGAATGAGATGATGTTATGTCTTAGTCAAGGAAAGCAGTTTGGACTTAATTTTTCTTCCTCTTAATTTTTCTTCCTTTTATAAATATGTTGATGTAGTGCACTAGAGTAATCTATCATTTCTTGCTTTACTTTTCATCTTTATAAAAGTTGAACAAAGTTAAGCTATGTGACCTGAACCCCAGGAAAAGATCTAAAATAACCCACTAACTAGCTCTTTTGTAACCTATTGGCAGATTCTGTGATTTTTTACTAATACAATTAAGTCAAGTATTATATTTTAAAAATAGGTAAATAAAAGGAACTGCTTCTCAGGACAGAAATGAAAATTATCAATACAAGTAATATTTTTACTTACTGTAAGTTGACCTGCTACCCCAAAATCTGCAAGTTTTGCATGTCCTTCTGTATTTAGCAAAATATTTCCTGCCTTGATATCTCGGTGTATTTTTCTCATAAAATGAAGGTATTCAAGTCCCTTAAGAGTTGATTGTAATATTGTAGCTATTTCATCTTCTGTTAACTGAAAAAAGAATAAGAAGTTCAAATTCTATCAGTTTACATCAGCGCATTAGAAAAAGGAGAAAAAATCAGATCCAAACCTTTCTTTAATATAAACAGATCTTATTCAACCTGTGAACAGCATTTGACTGCTTATACCATAGATACACTGACCACTCCCAAGGCTATATTTCCATACCAGATCTCCCCTCAATCAGATTTATGTATCTCCAACTAGAATACCTAGCCAGCATCATAAGCATAACATGTCAAAATCAAACTCTATGTCTATCACCTTACCCCTCTCCCTCTGATCCTTCCAACCTACTCCACTTCTCCCACAGTCCTCCCTCTCTCAGTAAAAGGAAACTTTATTCTTTCAGTTGCTCTGGTCAAAAACCTTGAAGTCATCCTTGACTTTTCTCTATCTTCAAAACACTGTATATCCAAATACACCCTCTGTAATCACCATGGTCCAAGTCACCATCGTGTCCTGACTGCACTATTCTCATAATCTCCCGACTGGCTTCTTTGCTTCTGCTCTTGACACTCTACAATGTATTTTCCACACAGAAGCTATAATTAAAATGTAAGCCAGAGTCAAAACCTACCAATGTCTTCCTAACCCACTTAAAATAAAAGTCAGTCCTTACCAAGGCTTTACATGATCTGGCTCTCAGCTACCTCTTTAACTTCATCTTTTACCACTTTCTACCTTGCTCAATCTGTTTCAACAAGGGCTTGCTTCCTTGCTGTTCCTCAAACACTCTAAGCACACTCCCCTTTCTGGGACTTTTCAACTGCCTATTCTCTTCATCCTGATGTCTATCCAGTATGCTTCCTCAGTTTGTAATCTGCCCAAATATCACCTCCTCAGAAAATGGAGAGGGCTTTCTTACTCCATTTCTAGCTCATACTCTATTCCCTTAAATTACCTTGTCACTGCAGTATACTACCATCTGACATATTACCCATTATTTATCTATGTATGTGATATCATCCCTGTTAGAAACACAAGCTCCTAAAAATGTCTGATTTGTTTACTTTTGTTTCCCTAATACCAATAAAGCCACCTGGCACACAGTAGGCACTGAAAAAAATATCTGTTGAAAGTGAGAATGCTAGAAACTAGTATAGAATATCTGATCTGGCCAATATAGACTTTCTGCAGACCCAACACCAGTCCTAAACAAACTCAATCTATCAACAAACTGTTACATAGTTCCCCTTCTGACAAACAACTCAGATGTGAAATGGAGTGTGCTCTGGTGCAAAAACTGTAGGATTTGGGACTAGGAAGACGTAGCTTTTACTCTTGGCTCTACTTTCATGTGACTTAAGCAAGTTACTGACCTTCTCTTATTCTCTTAGCCTGTTTCCCAATCTATAAAATAGGAATATAACTTTTAAGAGTGTCATGAAAATCAATTAATATGTCATAATTTAACACCTTTGATATTATCAATCAATATTTAATAAGCACCAGGTACTATGCTAATAATATGAAAAAAAGTCAAGCACAGTGGCACATGCCTGTAATCTCAGCACTTTGGGAGGCTGAGGCGGACAGATCACTTGAGGCCAGGAGTTCAAGACCAGCCTGGCCAACATGGCAAAACCCTGTCTCTACTAAAAATACAAAAATTAGCTGGGTGTGGTGGCAGGCACCTGTAATCCAGCTACTCAGGAGGCTGAAGCAGGAGAATCACTTGAACCCGGGAGGCGGAGATTGCAGTGAGCTGAGATTGTGTGCACTCCAGCCTGAGTGACACAGCCAGACTCTGTCTCAAAAATAAATAAATAAATAAATAAAGGCTAACCGTTACTAAGTGTTTAATCCATGCTAAGCACTATGTAATCTCATTTCATCCTTATAACAACTAAATGAGGTAGAGGAACTATTATTATCATCATCATTTTATACATAATGAAGCTGAGGGCACAGACAAGTTAAGTCATTTATGCCAAAAGTCAGAGAGAAATGATAAAGCTTTCACTAAAGTCCAGGCAAACACTACTGGCAAGGTAGTAGGCTAGAGTCTGGGGTACCTTCTATAGTGGAAGAGAACAAAGCTCATGACTTGACTTACCACCTCTTTATTCTAACCAGTTAAGTTAATCAGTTGAAGTAGCACTGCCTAATAGAAATATAATGGGAACCACAAATATAATTTTTAATTTTCTAGTAGCCACATTGAAAAAGGAAACAAGCAGACGCAGTGGCTGGTGCTGTAATCCCAGCTACTCAGGAGGCTGAGGCAGGAGGATCACTTGAGCCCAGCAGTTCCAACATACAGTGACCTATGATCACACCACTGCACTCTAGCCTGGGCAACAGAGCAAGACTCTATCTTTGAAAAAAAAAAAGAAAGAATTAATTTTGATAATCTGCTTTACTTAACCATATTTATCCAAAATATTATCACTCCACCATGTCATCAATATGAAAAAATCAAAGATTTTTGTTTACAATTTTTATGGCAATAATTCTTCAAACTCTGGTGTATAATTTATATTTACAGCATATCTCAGTTCAGACTAGCCACATTTTAAGTCCTTAATAACCACATGCGGCTAGTGGATATCACGGTGGACAGGGCAGAGTTATAACATTTGGCAAAATAACGTGTAGTAATTAAAAATCAGCACTTAGGCCGGGAACGGTGGCTCACGCCTGTAATCCCAGCACTTTGGGAGGCCGAGGCAGGCAGATTGCGAGGTCAGGAAATCGAGACCATCCTGGCTAACACGGTGAAACCACGTCTCTACTAAAAATACATAACAAATTAGCCAGGCGTGGTGGCGGGCGCCTGTACTAGGGAGTACAGCTACCAGGGAGGCTAAGGCAGGAAAATGGCATGAACCTGGGAGGCGGAGCTTGCACTGAGCCGAGTTCACACCACTGCACTCCAGCCTGGGCAACAGAGCAAGGAGACTCTGTCTCAAAAAAAAAAAAAAAAAAAAAAACAACGACAACAACAAAAAACCAGCACTTAGTAATTAAGTTAAAATTTACTTAAATATAATAACCTACTATTACAATGGCAAAAAAAAACCAAAAGTGCCATCAAAATTAATTTTGGACTAGTTTAAAATACCTGAAATAAATTGACTTAATGCTGCATATAAGAAGCCCTGAAATCCAATGTTTAATTCAATAAATTATTCCAGTTTTGGAACTTCTTTACATATATCTTATGTTAGGATATTATTCCTAAAGAACTTGCTATTCGATTAAGCAAACACACTAATTCTGAATAATGTAAATTAAGAAGATAGTATATGAATAATCCAAAAGTTATAACTCAGTTTTAAAACACCCTCACCTTATAATTTGTGTAGCACCTCACAATTTACAAAGTACTTTTACATATTTAAATTAATTTTCCCAACTTTGCAAATATGGAATACAGATATTATTATTCTTATTTTTCTTATTAAGACAAAAAAACCACAGGCTAAGATTTTCTCTACTTCTCCACTTATCCACCCACAATCTACCCAGAAGTCAGAGTTATCTTTTTTATTTTTTGAAACAGAGTCTTGCTCTGCTGCCCAGGCTGCAGTGCAGTGGCGCAATCACAGCTTACAGCAGCCTTAACCTCCTGGGCTCAAGCAATCCTCCCACTTCAACCCCCATCACACCCCAAAAGTTAGCTGGGACTACAGGCGCATGACACCACACTTGACTAATTTTGTTTTTCTTTTTTCTTTTGTAGAGACGAGGTCTCGCTATGTTGCCCAGGCTGGCCTCGAACTCCTGGACTGAAGCAATCCTCCGCCTCAGCCTCCCCAAGTGCTGGGATTACAGGCATGAGGTACCACACCCAGCCCCAGAGTTATCTTTCTAAAACATACATCAGATGGCTCGCTCACTTGCTTAGAATCCAGCAATGGTTTCCTATAATACCTGGGATAAAATTCAAACTCATTCCCATGACCTGCAATATCCAATACAATCTAGCCCTGCCCACCTGTCAAACCTCATCTCCTACAGCTTCTCCTTTGCCTATTCCCTTCTAGTCATGGTAGCCCTTCTATCACTCAGACATGCCAAACTCATTCCAGCCTCAAGGTCTTTGCACTGGTTACTGCCCACCTACAATGTTCCTTCAGGACTCTTAGCTCCTTTTCGTCATTTGAGTCTTCCTGTAAACGTCACCACTTCTGAGTGACCTTCCTCAACTATCTACTCTAAAATAGCCCACCAGTCTCCACAACTTTACCATCACTTCATCCTCATTCATTTTCCTCATAGTATATATCATTATTATATCTTTTCTATTAATAGTTACTATTAATTTGCTTTTGTTGCCCTATTCCGAAGTACACTACCATGACAGCAGAGTTGTCATCTGTTTTATTTACTATTAGATCCTTCAGGCCTAAAACAGTGTTCAAGAAATATTTACTGAACGAATACATAAAGACATTAAGTAACTGAACCAGAACTAAAACCCATGACTCCTAGGTCTTATACTGCAACCACAGTATCAGCAAATAATCTTTCATAAGGGGATTATTCTCTGATTAACAGGAAATACAGGAATTTAATTTGTGAACACGCTAGGTAGAAGCAGAAACCCAAATCCAAATCCAAATTTAAACATTTAAAATTCATTCTATAACTAAGATCTAACAGTCATTTTCTTCCCAGTAAGAAATAACCAAAGCATGCTAAAAATCACTGGACTAAATTGGTGTCAAAACTGCCACATTGCCAGGCATGGGGGGGTCATACTTGTAATCCCAGCACTTTGGGAGGCCGAGGTGGGAAAATTGCTTGAGGCCAGGAGTTCGAAACCAGCCTGGGCAACACAGTGAGACACCATCTCCACAAAAAAAAAAAATTAAAAAACAAAACAAAACATTAGCTGGGCATGGTGGTACACGCCTGTAGTCCCAGCTACTCAGGAGCCTGAAGTGAGAGGATCACTGAAGCCCAGGAGGTAGAGCTATGACTGTAGTGAGCTATGACTGTGCCACTACACTCCAGCCTGGGTGACAGGGGACTCTGGTCTCTTGAAAAAAAAAAAAAAAAAAAGCTGTCACACTTAGGAGACATAAAAGAATAAAGATGGAAAATAACCATGGAAAAGGGGAAATCTGACAGTCGTCTCTCTAGTAGGAGAATGCCCTGAAAAAGAGGCAGAGAAAAGAAGATGGCATAAGAAACTAGCTCAGTTGCATGTTCTAGAAGGTAAACCTACCGTTTTATTTCGTAATCGAATGATATCAGATACAGAACCAGCCCCACAGTACTCCATAACGATCCATAAGTCTGTGTTCTTAAAATAACTGCCATAATATTTGACTACATGAGGGCTAGAGAGAGAGAGACAATACAAATTAATAAAATGGCCTTCAAATATCTCTTAATTCATGCTAGCAAGTATATACAAATTAATTCCTCATCTGGAAAGATCAATTATTCATAGTTAAGGATAAAATGGACAACCTCCTGATAAGAATGCAAAATGGTATAGCTTTTCTGGAGGGTAATAAATCACAAAAGTATAAAAAACTTGGTGAGTTCTTTAACCAGCATTTCTATGTCTACAATTTATCCTCAAAAAAGAATTATAAATGTTCAAAAAGTAACAGTTACCATCATAGCACTATTGACAAAAGTGGAAATTTAGATATCATCTAAATGTCCATCCAACATTAGGGAGTTTATTTAAGAAATAATGATACAGGGCCAGGTGCAGTGGCTCACACCTGTAATCCCAACACTTTGGGAGGCCGATGCGGGCGGATTGCCTGAGCTCAGGAGTTCGTGACCAGCCTGGACAAGATGGTGAAACCCTGTCTCTACTAAAATACAAAAAATTAGCCAGCCGTGGCAGTGTGCACCTGTAGTCCCTGCTACTCGGGAGGCTGAGGCAGGAAAATTGTTTGAACCCAGGAGGTAGAGGTTGCAGCGAGCCGAAATCGCGCCACTGCACTCCAGCCTGGGCGACAGAGCAAGACTCCATCTCAAAAAAAACAAAGAATGCTATAGCCGTATAATAAAATATCATGAATCCATGAAAAATGTTATAGACTATGTGATAACATGAGAAGATACTGTGTTTACACAAACAAACAAACAAAAAAGCAGGCTACAAAACAGGAATTACTGTAAAACTCCAAAGTGATTTGGAAGAATATGTGTATCAAGCAGTGTTTAAGAATGATGATTTCAGCCAGGCGCAGTGGCTCACATCTGTAATCCCAGCACTTTGGGAGGCCGAGGTGGGCGGATCCCGAGGTCAGGAGATCGAGACCATCCTGGCTAACATGGTGAAACCCCGTCTCTACTAAAAATACAAAAAAATTAGCCTGGCGTGGTGGCAGGCCCTGTAGTCCCAACTACTCAGGAGGCTGAGGCAGGAGAATGGCATGAACCCAGGAGCCGGAGCTTGCAGTGAGTCGAGATCGCGCCACTGCACTCCAGCCTGGGCAACAGAGTGAGGAGACTCCGTCTCAAAAAAAAGAAAAAATGATGATTTCTCCAAAGGGAAAAGTGATTTTCTTTTCTTTTCATTTGAATTTTTCTAAGAAGTCATATGTACTTTGTAATAAAAACATACACATACTACAATCTATTATAAAGAAAAAATGTTCAGGATCAAACCTGGAATTTTAGGTCTCAAGCTGGAAGAGAGATACCAAACAAGAAATTCAGAGAAAAATCAAATATCCTATTAAAATAAAATAATGTGCCCTCTGAGAGCTGCCAGCTTTAACTGGCTAGATTGTTATCATGGCCAAATGAAGTTTCCTAACAACTGATGTTAAAACCAAATTGGCTTCATTAACTCAGAACTCTTACAATTTCCTCTTCAAACCTTAGGAAACATGCCAGTGACAAGGACAGCAAAACACACACACACATTAAATATTAATGAAAAAAGTGTCTAAGGTAAATATCAACACATTTACTCTCCCTGTAATACAGTACTGACAGGAGTTAAATACTGTAGGCCATTACTATCAAGTATTTACTACTGGAATATGTTCTCTATAGACTTGCACTGTTGGCTAGATTCTCCTCTACATATATATATACTTAGCCTGTCCAATTAGTCTATAAACTCCCAAAGCACAAGGACTCTGCTCTGTATTTCACTGTATTCCTTACAGTGCTTAGCACAGAGTAGACGCTTGAAAATATCTCTTCTTTAATTAAAGACATTTCCATACTCTGTTTGGAACACAGCTCCCGCACAGTCTATCGAAAGTGACAAAGTCCCAATTTGCCAAATGGAAAGAACTTCCAAAATGTATCTGAAAAAGGAGCAAATGGAAAACTGCCACCTTCATCTGGTCAATCCAATCAAGAAAAATGGGGATTTTATCTAGTAGACAGTAATCACAAAAATAGAAGGGAAAAAAAAAGAAGGGAGAGAAAAAAGAAAGGACTACATTCCCAAGTCTGTGAGACTGAAAGGCTTCTGGACTAATTTTTTGGTAGGTAGCCCCACCTAAACCCTAATGTAGAAGTTTTGCAAACAGCAGGTACTAAGTTGATCTGCTGACCAAAAAGCCTTCAGAAGAATGAATGCAGCTTCAACTGAGAGAATTTCTCACCCATCTTCAGCTCCCTAGAGCTGGCATTGCCCCTAACTTTGTGTTTGTCTCTAATCTAAATAGTGCTGGGGAAGCCTGCTCTATCAGTGACCAACCCATGTTGTCATGGAATTTCAGAGCAAACCACGTGGTTTTCTGTGGTTGTCTTTTGGTCTGACTTCCTGCTTACAACATTTGACAAATCTTAGTTCCTCAAAAATAAATACGTAGGTACTCTCAGCTAGAATAATTTTTTTTAATGTGAAGGAACAAACAGTAGTATATACATAACTACTCTTTTTTTATAGATTTACCTGATATTCTAAGGTTTCTAGAACTAAAAAACATTTGAATTATCTGTTCTTGGCTATCTCTGCAGAAATGTTTTCTCAATAGGAAGTAAAAAAGATCATTATCACACACACAAAAAAAAGCAAGCACCACCTTCTGCCTCTTCTTCCTAGTTTCTAAAAGGGCTCACTGAAGAAAAGAAAAAAGCCAGGTATGGTGGCTCACTCCTGTAATCCCAGTACTTTGGGACTTGGCCGAGGCAGGCAGATCATTTATGGTCAGGAATTTGAGATCAGCCTGACGAATATGGTGAAATTCCATCTCTACTAAAAATACAAAAATATTAGCTGGGCGTAGTGGCACATGCCTGTAGTCCCAGCTACTCGGGAGGCTGAGGCACAAGAATCACTTGAACCTGGGAGGTGGAGGTTGCAATGAGCCGAGATTGCACCACTGCACCCCAGCCTGGGCGACAGAGCGAGACTTTGTCTCAGAAAAAAAAAAAAAGAAAAATTGAAAAAAAAAAACAAAACACCATGCATAAAAATTACGGAGGTTTAGCTACAAAAACAACCATTATCATCATATTTTTTTCTGAAAAGAAAATGCACAGTGATTCCATCGAATTCTCCCTTCTGCAAAATATCTAAGTAAATGTGTCTCTAGGTATCAAACTCTACACAATCATAGCTAATTCAAAACCACATTCTCCCCAAAGGAAGCCCACATGCCTTTACCTGTCACATTGCTGCATTATAGAGATTTCTTTGATTATCTCCTGGAGGTCTGATTCCACAGGAACTTGCTTAATAGCAACAATCTGGCCGGTCTCTTTATGAATAGCTTTGTATACGCTGCCATAGGACCTATACATTTGGGAGAAGAAGAACATTTATAAAGTCAAAGCAAGCCAAGATATAAGAAGTGGTAAAACACAAGCAACTGATAGTTCTAACATATATCCCTAAGTGCCTAATACATATACACTTGCAAAACTAAGATAGCTAAAATACTTTTGGGGAAAAAACTGTCAAGAGAACTACAACAAAATGGCATCTTGAAAGCTTCACATTCAAAACTGTAATGAATGTATTCTTATGAGATGGTAATATAGTAGCTGCCATGCACTGCATGCCTGCTATCTGCTAGAGACTGTACACCATCTCAATTCATTCCTACAAAAAATGAAGATGAGATGACTATCCCTATTTTACAGGTAAATGTAAAAAGGTTCAAAGGGGTTTATGATTTGCCCAAGGTCACATAAGTTATCAGTCCAGGATTTGAAACCAGTTGTGTTATCAGTCCAGGATTTGAACCCGGGTGTGTCTGAAAACAAAGCTTACGTTGTCTCCCCATCTATACTGGGGTACAATATGGAAGTGGCAGTCTTTGTTTTATTGTATTCACTCTAGTACCACAAGATCTTTCTGTCCTTGCTCCTCTTACTTACAATAATACTTAAAATATTATGGAAACTAATTAAAATCTAAGCCTGTTTAATATTAGTATCAGGTAAACACAGCACACACACTCTTTGCTTCCTACTCCATCTTCCCTTAACAGCTTAATATCAAAATAAAGTTTGTGTATCTAGTCAATTTGGAGGCTACAGATCCACTAGATTTTGAAAGTAAAGAAGCTGGATTTGAGTCCTACCAACACTACATTTAGCTATCATTTACACCTTATTAACCTTGTTGTACCTGAATTTTCTCATCTGTAAAATGACAATAATACAAACTACCTTACAAGATGTGATGGTATCTCATTTGTGATGGTCAAATGAGATACCATCATCACTTTATACAGATAACATTTTCATTGGAATCCTGGGCAGCTGTCAGTGAAATAATACTGAGTAAACTGTCTTTCATATTTCCCAACACATCTGTATCTTCACACTGTCTTGGTGAAAAAAAAAATCAAAATAGCAGTGCCACCTACTATGTCAAAGTACAATACTCTAACTGCCAAATAGATGCTCATGAACTGTTTCAATGTGAAAGTAACATAAAACTTTTTAAGTCTATGCAGAGCACATAAAAATATTTCCATTCCATTAGAAGCTGTCATACTTGCAAAACTAGCATAATCATCCTTAAATATTACACCAAATACTTTTTGCCAGAGAGAGGCAACTGTTGAGCATGTGTCCCTTCTTCCTTGCTAAAATAACTTCCTAATTTGTTACAGTGGTGATGTGCTTCGTCCCAGGAGATATACCATGGTAGTCCAAGCCACTCACAGAATTCCTATTCCCTTCTGCCAGTGACTGAACTAGTGGCAAACATGTCGCCCAGTTCTGGCCACTGAAATTTGAAGATAATTCTGCTGAAAGGTTTCTGGGAAAGACTTTCTTCCCTGGTAGGAGACAAGCACACAAGAAGGCCCATTTCCACCTGCCACTTCCCTTCTTTCTTTGGTTACTGCCATGTGAGGGATGATGCTTGAAACTAATGCAGCCATTTGAGACTACGAGAATTACCCAGATGTCAAACCATTGTCAAGCCAATTAACGGCTTCTCGAATCTCACACCCCCAGATGTATTATTTAGTTCTTAATGTCTTTATTGGTTAGCCACTGTTTGTTGGGTATTGTTACTTCCATCCAAAGGCATTCTTGATAAATTAGCTCCTGTATGTCTGAAACTGTCTTTATTTCACCTCCACTCTAGAATGATAGTTTGGTTGGATACCGGATTGACAACAGCTTTCCCTCAGCACTGTTGTTGCAGTGTTCCAACATCGACTGTGGCTGAGAAGTCAGCTTTTATCAGATTATCATTTTCCATGGGTAATCTCCCCATAGTTTTTAAGGTTTCCTTTGTCCTTAACAGTCTACTATTCTACTGTAATGTAACTAGGAGTTGATCTGGCACTTCATAAACTTCTTCAATCTGAGGGCTCGTGTCTTTCCTCAAGAATGAAAAACTCTCAGGATTATTATGTGATTATTTCCTCTACCACTTCTAGGATCTTCTTTTAGAATTCCTACCAAAACTGTATTAGACCTCCTCAATCTATGTTGTCTTCCTGGTTTCCAACACTGTATTTCTGCATGTTGTGATCAGTCTCATTTCTATCTTTCAATTCACAAATTCTCCTTTCAGTTTGTCTAGTTTACTGTTTATCCAATTTATTGGGCTTTTAAAACTTCAATTGTTGTAGTTTTCATTGTCAAGATTCCCAACTTTTTATCTGCCTTTGGGCAAATATGTTAATAATCATGTCAATAATCTGATGTCCTTTTAAAAATGTTATCTCCTCCTTGATCTTTTTGAAAATTGTAATTATATTAAATTGTTTTTGAGATTGCTTCATTATTTCTTTTTCCTTCAGTGTGAATTCTCCCATTCTGCTGATTATCTCATGGCAGTAGATTTCCTTGCATGGATTTCATTTTCTCTTGAATGATTTTCCTCTATACCACACTCACTGTCGATGATTTCATGGTTTTCTCAGTACAGTAGTCTGGGATATACAACTTAAACCAGGTCTTATATTCAGAGTTTGGGGTTTTTGCCCTTCAAGATACCATACTTAAATACAATCCAAGCTCAGTTCCTATTATCGAACCAGTATATCCATTTTTTCCCTAGGCCACAGGCAAATGACACTTTCTGGTTGTGGTCAGGCAAATTTATTTCAGCTTTAGTTCACAGATGGAGAGCCGAGTTCCAGCCCCCAACTTCATGCAGGAAGCTCAAATGCAATCTCCTGACAAGGATAAGGCATGCTTTAGTCTCCGCTGATTATTTAGATTTCTTTCCTATCCCTTGTCCATAGCTGTCTATATATCCTTATATTTAAAATAATTTTCACTCATTATTCTTATATATTAGAAAGTTCTCTTCATACACTCACTCAGCAATCTTGACCAGAACACTCTTCATACCTCCCTATGCATCCTGATAGCAAGGAAAACTCCAATAGCTCACATGAAGTTAAGATTCCTGATTCCATATACTGCATCTACAGTAATCTGAAGGCAGGGATAGGGGGTGGTTAGAAGATTTCAGCAATCATACTCACAAGCAAGTCCCTTAAAACTTGATTCCCTACAACAAAATGAGATGATTCAATGAATTACAACTGACAGCAGAGAATGGAGAAGTAGGTGTTTTACATAAGCCATGCAAGGCAAGGATCTATGTAGAAAAATGGAAATACCACAGTATCTGAGGCCAAATTAATCAGATACAAGTCTTAACAATAGCACTCATTTTTTATGAAACCATGGGCAAGATGCTTTTGTTATCATTCTATGATAAAAATTCAAATGAGTCAATGTGTACAACTTTAAGTAGAAGAAAAAAGGTGCTAGGCTCCACTTGAAAACACTTCCCAAGTGCTCTCCACTCATCCTGGTCTGGAGCTTTGGCTCTACTCTGCCACAGATCCATATGATCCTCATAACACAGAATGATTGCAGCCTCCAGAATCCAACAGTTTTTTTAGCCATAGCTCATTTCACAAGATACAAGTCAGTGAGAGTTCACAAACCATTCATCCTCCCGAACAATTTAAGAATAGCATTGGCCAGGCGTGGTGGCTCACATCTGTAATTCCAGCAATTTGGGAGGCTGAGGCAGGCAGATCACAAGATCACGAGATCAAGACCATCCTGGCCAATATGGTGAAACCCCATCTCTACTAAAATACAAAAAATAAGTCGGGCGTGGTGGTGTGTGCCTATAGTCCCAGCTACTCAGGAGGCTGAGGCAGGGGAATCGCTTGAACCTGGGAGGCGGAGGTTGCAGTGAGCCGAGATTGTGACATTGCACTCCAGCCTGGTGACAGAGCAAGACTTAATCTCAAAAAAAAAGAATAGCATTGTGTCACATGTTTGGAAAAGAAGTGCAGTGAAGGTCTTCCTTCAAAATATTCCTAGTTAAATGAGGCTTGCTTAGGTTCATTCAGTCAGAATAACAGAAATCCAAGAAATACCAGAAATCTGGTATTATTTAGAAGAACAATAAGGTGATAGTATGGGAAGAAAGATCTGAAGCTTTGTTTTCTCCCTGGTGATATCTTCATAGGGAAATTTCCACATTCCTTGCAGAAGACATCCATAGATCTAAAACGCAATTTGTCCAGGTGCAGTGGTTCACGTCTCTAATCCTAGCACTTTGGGAGGCTGAGGCAGGAGGATCACTTAAGGCCAAGAGTTCAAGACCAGCCTGGGCAACACAGTGAGACCTCGTCTCTACAAAAATAAATAAACAAACAAATAAATAAAATACAATTTAAAAAATCATAATTAGCTTATTTTTTGTTTACATTATATTTCTGATATATTCTCTGTCTATAGTCTTCCTTTGACATTCCACAAACCCAATCAGCTCAGAGCTACCTATAACAACACCTAAAAATACTTTAAGACTTGACATGATGAGGTCTTGAAAATGCTTCAGTTGATACATTTAAAATAGAATAGCAATAGTTGCCACTTACTGAACATTTATTATTGTGATAAGCACTATACTTTACCCCAATTACCTCAGGTAATAACACAACTCTATGAATTGATATATTATTATCCCAACTTTACAGATGAGGATTGTGAGCCTCCAAAATAGTAAGCAATTTGCTTAAGCCCACTTGTCTATTATGACCAGTAAACAGTAGAGCAAGGATTTTAACCCAGGTCAGCCTCACATTGTAGTAGTAAGAGCAAACTGTATTAGAAATGAGAGAAATAAGTTACATAGTCAATTATGCCTATCAGTCTTGAACTTATTCTAAGTATAACTTATGAGCATTGTTAGATTAAAGGTCACAGCCTTGCTGCCTTAGGGAAAATAGCAAGGATGGCAAGCTAAAGCTGAAAATGGCAGGCAACAGATGTAGAGGGACTGTCATTTCCCCATACCTTTAATGATGCCAGTCAACTGGCAGTCTTCAGATTCATCTTGGACTTGTCTTTTCACAGCACAGCTGGTGTGTCATTTTTACTTCCCTTCTCTGCTTGATTTCTTGCTGGATTCCAAAGAGTATTTTTCCAACTTACAAAAAGACGATGACTCATGTTTTTTACAAGGAGGTAAATCATAAAAAAACCATTTCATGTAATCCAGGATTGGGTTTAACGTTGTAAATCTGTCTCCTAACATAAAAAATACTAAACCCAAAAAATAATCTAATGACATAAAGGAAATTATTTTAAAGAGCATATAGTCATCAGTCAGTAGTTGTTTTTACAAGTTAGTATGTCAGGTCTTCCCTTGATCCAGAAATACTCCCAAGGGATTAAAAATACAGACACACACACACACAAACACGAGTGTGCGCTCGCACACACATAGCCTGTCTCTGAAAGACACACAAGAAGCCGCTACCCTTGGTGATTCTGGGTGGCTAAGAGACAGAGAGAGGTAGGAGGCAGTTTTTTTTTTTTTTTATTGTATGCGTCTTAATATTTTTTTAAATTTTGAATCATATGATTGTATCGCCTATTCAAAAATTAACAAGAAAAACTTAAGAAATGGTGTCATTAACATTTTAATTTCCTGGTCATTACAGAAGAAGGAATAAATACACAGGATTGAATTAAAATGATATATAAAAGTATAAAAATTATGTAAACTTAATTGTATCATGAAAGTCAATGATGGTCACTGCACATTACTAATATCATTTCATCAGTATTTTATAAACGCATTAACAAATCTGTGTTTCAGGAAATCCACTGGCTCCCAACCCAGGATTGTGGATCTCCTAAGTAGCTGTGAAGGTGGTGATAGTGCTTAATTTATTTACTATATTTCACAAAGGTGCAAATATTAAAATACTAAATTACATTGATTTTCATTGAAACAGTTATTGCATACCAATCAGAAATTATGAACAGCAAATTAAAAAGTTTCTTATAGAATTTTAATCTAATTAGTGCTATCTGTTAAGTAGATAAAATCATACAGATCCTACAAAAGAGAAAACAATAGATATTCTTCGTGTTAAAAAGACCAGGAATCACTAAATCTGTCTATAATAGGGATTGGAGTAAAGCGAAGAAGGACATCACAAGCTGTAAATTTACCTTCCACCCCACCTAGAACAATGCTGAAAGGTTCATATCCTTCTGCTTCTTCTGGGGCAGGAAAAAGACTGGGACCCAATGACCTACCTATAGTTTCTTTACACTCACCCTTCTCCAAGTTTCTCTAAGACATCAAATACTTCTTCTGGTTGTTTGGTTAAACTATCTTCATCCAACTTTTTCAGCTGCCTGTGAATAAAGAAATATAAACACAAAATACATTTTATTTGCTAGGAACTAGAACATAAAATATATCTTTTTTTTATAATTAGCATCTCAGGAACTTCTCTATACAGACTTCACTAGTTAAGACTGTTTTAAGAAACAAGGTTTCTTGGGAGGCCGATACAGGCAGATCACGAGATCAGGAGATCGAGACCATCCTGGCTAACATGGTGAAACCCCGTCTCCACTAAAAATACAAAAAAATTAGCTGGGCGTGGTAACGCATGCCTGTAATCCCAGCTACTCAGGACGCTGAAGCATAAGAATGGCGTGAACCCAGGAGGCAGAGTTTGCAGTGAACCGAAATTGCGCCACTACGCTCAAGCTTGGGTGACAGAGAGAGACTGTCTCAAAAAAAAAAAAAAAAAAAAAAAAAGTCATGTGGCTGAAATGCTGTAGATTCAAGCATTCGATGTATCCTTCAAAATCTATTTAAATCTTGAGATTTCATGAATTAAAATGATGTAATTATCTCTTCAGAAAAGGTGTTTAATGTAAGGTAACTATGAATTGAAACATAACTATGAATTGGACTGCAGACTAAGGAAGACACGGGAAACCTTTGCTCTTCCATTAGCAAGTTTTTTGTAAGTTTGTCAAAACACATAAATTCTGTAGGTATCACAGAAACAGAAAGTGGAAAGTGTACATTTAGATATGATCAAAAGTGAAAAATCACTAGGCAGCTGTGAGTTTCAGATATTCTCACAAAGACCTTCCTATGAGTAGATACATACCTTTGACTAGTCCCAAAAATCAAAGGTACTTGGCTGCTCACAATTTCCAGATAATTCAGATTTCTGACTATGCTAGACAATCATAACAAACATGGGAGGTTATAAATTAACATTTTTTTAAAACTCTGAGATCTCTGAAAATTACTAATGAGCTTAAAGAAGGAACTTGCCAAGGAATATGTGTGTGTGTGTGTGTGTGTGTGTGTGTGTGTGTGTGTGTGTAGTCTACACAATGGCTTCCTGAAACTACAAAGAACAACAAAGAATAGAGAGCTGAGGAAACGGTGAAATATGGAAGTAGTCACACTGGAGACCTCTTTGTAGAAAAAAAAAGGTTTAGACTAGCTGGATAATATCAATTATTACAACAAAAGACTTAAATACACACACATACACACACACACACACACACACAAATGTGTACCTTCCTAAATAAAACAGATTAAAATTAGAAGACAAAAAATAAAACAAACCAACAAAAACCCTGACCACATCAAGTGTATCTACCAATAAACACTGATCTCAGAAGGACAATCTTATAGTTTATGAATATCAAGGACTATAAACTAGAGAAATGGAGAACTGCTCCAAGTCAAAACTGCCTTAACTTGATATCAACAGAACAAAATGATCACAGTGACCTTTGAAAATCAAAAGGTCCTAAAAATTAAATACCAATGACATCATAAAAACTCCTACCTTCAAAATGAAAAGGGATGAAGTGAAACTCCTCTTAAACTTCAGAACTGAAACTTCTATAAACTCAGAAGTCAGAACGAACATCTCATATGCCAGGGTTTTTTTGGTAAAGTCCTGAATTGTAATTGTATAAACATTGGACAATACCTCACTTCTCAAGTATAATCAAAGTTGTATAAACAGCTTATACAAAGGAAGATCAAGTATGTTTCTTTGAAGTGTTGACTCTCTGTGGTTTACAAAATGCAAAAGTCACTATTTCAACTACTTCAGGGACCACAGCATAACAAAGGAAATTGCCACTGCCTTGAGATAGACAGCTGCAAACCTCTGATAATACTTTGACAAACTTTTTTTTTCTTTTTTTTTAATTATTATTATACTTTAAGTTTTAGGGTACATGTGCACAATGTGCAGGTTAGTTACATATGTATACATGTGCCATGCTGGTGTGCTGCACCCATTAACTCGTCATTTAGCATATGACGGCTCGAATACATCTTTGAAACAATCTAAGTGCTTTTTTGTTTGTTTTTGATCCGGGGCTATTAAAAACAACTTGAACTTAAGGCGCTATTACATCTCTGGTGCCTGATAACCAAGAGGTGGTCAAAATATATTTGTGAAATGGATTCACAAATGTAATGATGGGAATCACGAATTTCATCAGCAATCTTTGAATTATCACAATAAAACAGAATTTCACCTAAGAAGTATTACTGAATTATCAACATTTCTATAAAAATATTTTGATAAGTGATTCATAATAATATTTTATACCATGACTCTTCACAGAAAAAACACTATTACCAAAACAGCCTGACTCTGATAATACAGTTCTCTTATCTGGGACTTCCCCAGGTTCCAGACGGTTTCAGCACTTGCTCATAAATGAACAAGCCTGATCAACAGAGCATCCATGGACCAAATACTGGTGGATGCTCCTCTCCTAAGTCAGATGGCCATGTGGATGGCCAGCATCCCAGGAATGCACTCTACGCCTTCCACTATAACATTAATCTAATGGCAACTCATTTTTTAAAATTATTAACTCCTATATGAGACACCAATCTGTCATCACTTAATCACACACACACACAAATGTCAAACTCACGAACACAAAGGGCATTTCCTGCACTGGGGTTATTGGAAACACATGCCATCTGAATTTCTGAAAAGACACCTGTATCTTTCCAAACACAAGTAATGGTGTCTATGAAGTAGTCACTTACAGGTCTGGCTAATTCTCAAAGCTTTCTCCCATTTCAGAACTCCCATAAAGTTCATTTTATGTGTAACTATTTCTTTTTCCACACAGAATTTGATATGGATTACAACAACTATACATGATAAATGGACAAAATCTTACATAATAAAACTGTGTCCCCAGCTTACCCCAATTCATATGCTGAAGTCCTAATACCCACCACCTAAGAATGTGACTGTATTTGGAGACAAGGCCTTTAAAGAGGTAATTAAGATAAAATGAGGTCATATGGGCATGCCCTAATCCAGTATGACTGGTGTCCTTATAAGAGGAGATTAGGACACTGACAGGTACAGAAGGAAGAACATGGAGACACAGGGAGATGGCCATCTACGAGTCAAGCAAAGGCGTCAAAAGAAACAACTCTGACAATGCCTTGATTTCAGATCTCTAGCCTTCAGAACAGTGAGAGAATAAATTTACGTTGCTTAAACCACCCACTCCATGACACTTTGTCTTGTCCTGATAAACTGATACACGTGATAATAAAATTGATCTGCTTCAAATTAGGCAATCTACTAGTTACAATGAGCTGGGAATCACCAGCCACTTCAGAACCCAGTCCTGCAATGCTCTTCTCTTGTGCTTTTAATACATTTTTTAAAATCCAAAAGGTACAGGAATGAGCATGCCAAGAAACTTTAGTCCTTTGCTCAAGATTATGTAAGACAAGGCAAAGGGGGAAACAAAACTCAGATTCCTAATCCTCTTTTCAATTAAACCAAGGCCTCGGAGAAAGAAACCAAGAAGAACGAACGAACATAGTTCAGAAAGAAACATAACTAGTGTGCATTCATAATTGGATCACTATGGTACTATAGTAAATATCTGCTAACATACACAGAGACCTGTGAAACAGGGGTACTTTTAGAGAGGCATCAGAGTGAGGCAGTTAAGAGCATGGCCGGGCCCGGTGGCTCACGCCTGTAATCCCACCACTTTGAGAAGCCAAGGTGGGCGGATCACGAGGTCAGGAGATAGAGACCATCCTGGCTAACACGGTGAAACCCCGTCTCTACTAAAACTACAAAAAATTAGCCAGGCGTGGTGGCACGCACCTGTGGTCCCAGTTACACAGGAGGCTGAGGCAGGAGAATCGCTTGAACCCAGAAGGCGGAAGTAGCAGTGAGCCGAGATTGCGCCACTGCACTTCAGACTGGGCGACAGAGTGAGACTCCGTCTCAAAAAAAAAAAAAGAACATGGACTTTGGACCAGACCCCATAGACATTAAAATCCTAGCTCTGTCTCTTACTTGCTATGACTTCTCCCAGCAAATCACTACCCTCTGTATCTCAGTTTTATCATCTGTAAAACAGACATATAGGGATATCTACCACACAGGATTGTTGTGAGGTTCAAATGAGTTCAAATGAGGTTTTTATGGTTCAAAAATGGTCAAATATCAGCAATTTCATATGCTTCAGCAGGACACATGGAAAGCACTTAGAACAGTGCCTGGCACCCGGTAAGTGCAATATGAGTGTAATAATCATTACTATTACAGTCTCAGCACACTACGCTAGGGTGAATCCAAAGCCCATCCCAACCACCTATTTGCCTTCTGCAATGTTTGTGCACCTCAAACATCCCCAAGCTCAAACAACCCCTAAGAGTGCTGCCCAGGCAGTCAATCCCTTCTCTTCACCTCTTGGTTGCCCTGCACTTCCACACCCTGAACACTTCCTTCTTTAGAGCTCATTCTGCTGCAGGAAGTCAGACGTCTCTGTGAAATAGAAGTAACCACACTGAACCTCAGAGAAGCATGACTCCTTCGGTCTCTAGTCCCTACTTTTCTCCAGATGTGGTAGAGTGGCAAAAGACCCGGGATGTCCACAAGGGAAATCCAGGAGTTGAGATTTTCTAGGATCAGCCACCATCCTGATCTTGAACTAAAGCAATTCCAGGTACCACTAGGATTTGGTGCTGATATTCACAAAACAACTGAGGCCTGAAAAGGGCACAGACTGGCAGGGTTCAGTGACCCGGAGTAAAGAAGGAAACACTTCCCAACTACTCTGGACCTCAGTCTCCCCATCTCGAAAATATCCTCTTATTTCCTTACCTACCTCCCAATGTCAGGTTCTGAAGAGCTGAGGAGGATGTGAAGACCATTAGGAAGACACTGAACATCAGTAATAAAAGATGCCATCCTACAGTGGGGACACCACCAACAGCATCCTCTGAAATGCTACCCTCCACCATCCCCTCCCTTGCTAGACCCTCAACCTTTCCTCGCATGCTTTCAGCCTTAGGCGCAAAGCTTTTCCCCTCCACAGATCCCCCCACCGCACCCCTCAAGTGGGACTTCAGACCCTTAGAAAGTCCACCCGGCCTTCCTCTTGGCCAGTTCTCGATCCACCCCCTTAAAGAGATCCCTCACAGATTCTCACCCTGCTTCAGCATTCGCCCCCACCTCCGTGAGTCCCTGCTTGGATAGCGTTCCCCCGAGTGGCCCGGCCTCAGCAGGTACTCTCCCTAACTTGTCCCCACGTTCCTCAGCACAGTCTCACCACAGCGAGTGCTCCCTCTAACCGGTCCCAAGTCTAACCTCCTTAGCAGATGCTCCCCTCAGCCGGACCCTCACCCACCAGACGTCCCCCCCCTCACTCAGCAGGTGCCCCATCGGCTGGGTCGCTTAGCTCCGGGGACTCCCACACAGGTGTATCCCCTCAACCAGTTCCCGCCTTTTCTTCCCCTGACCCCATGCCCGTCCTCTTAGCCAGTGGCCCCTCACCGGCGCGGCGGGTTCCTCAGCTGTACCGTCTCCATGGCGCTGCCAGCAGCCGCCCAGACCCGCTCACTGCTCCATCCTCCCGCGGACCTCCTGAGCCCGCCCCGCAGACCCTCCCACACTTCCGCTTTCCGCCCCTACCGGAAGCGGCGCGCGGCGCGGGAGCGGGGCGGAGCCACGGCCCTGATCACGTGGTTCGGGCGTGAGTCTTGTGGCGCGGTGGGGCGCGGACCCGGAACCGCCAAGTGGTGAAGGCGCCTCCAGGCGGTGCCCGCTGGTCTCTAGAGTGTCAGTGGCGCTGTCTTCCTGCGTTACCGGAGCGCACAAAATACTCGGTCCCCAGGCCGAGAACGCACCTCTACCTGGGTCCTGGGTCCCATTTCACAGACTGAGATGCGTGAAGCGCCTCCTTTAGAAGAGCTGACAATTCTTAGCAAACCAAGTTTTGCGTGATTTTGGGGAGGCGGCGCTGCCCCAGGAACGCCTGGAGGTATTTGTGGTTTTCTGCCGCTTACCTGGTTGAACTCTGGTCCCAACGGGCCCCCTGCACATTTTCTCCTACAATGCATCAACGCGCAAATTGCCCCACTGTCTTTCTTAAAGGCCTCCCCTTTAAGTCAGTTTGCAGACATAAAAATAAGCAACATTAATTAAGCATTTGCCGTGTACTTGTCTTCATATATTATCTCATTTAATCCCCTGTGTCAAGCCGATAAGGTCATCCCCGTTTTTATTTATTTAATGATTTAACACAGTCCCTAAACGTTTTCAGTGCTTTACCTCATTTAATACTCCTAACAACCTAGACGGTATTATTATTATTCCTACTTCATAAGGCCAGAGAGGTGAAGTATCTAGCCCAAGGTCACATAGCTTAGAGTATAGGTTTGGGGATTTAAATCCAGTTTGGTCTGATTTCAGGGCCTGCACCACCAAACTGGACAGCCATGGGTGTGTAACCTCTTTTTGGGCCTGAGAAACAGACCTTTCTCTCCACTCAGAGCTCCGGCTTCAGCTATTGTGCTTCCGAATGCCACTACCATCAGTAAGTATTAGGAAAATGGCAGATTCTACCCAATTGACCCATGGGGAAAGTTATAGGAGAAAACTTAACCAGAGCAACCTCTCACTGTTTTTAATTGCCTTGCTTTTCCCAAGGATATGCCATCTACAGAACTTAACACCTGAGCACCCACCCTTCAGGGCCACCCATGGGCCCAAAACGGGATAAAGGAGCCATTCCCTGACATAGGAGGAAAACATTTGCTGAGAAGCTACTGTGTGCCAGACACAATCTTGGACTTTCACTTAATCCTCAAAACAGCCCTAGGAAGAAGTACCTACCGTTAACAGATAAGAAAGCTGAGACCCACGGTTTACACAGCTAAGGAGAGCAAAGGTTTTAACCCAGGACTGTCCTGACTCCACAACATCAAAGTTGTTGTTTTGTTTTTGGTGTTTTGTAGAAACAGGATCTCCCTATTATTACCCAGGCTGGTCTCAAACTCCTGGGCTGCAGCAGTCCTCCCACCTCGGCCTCCCAGAGTGCTGGGATTACAGGCAAGAGCCACCACACCTGGCTGATGAATAGGAATTGGGTAAACATTTTTGAAAATTAAATACCAAATTACCATTACACAATGCCAAACAGACCTCCTTTGTCCCCTTCCCAGGATTTTTCCAGAAGATGGACTCACATTATGATGGCCCCCTTTTTCCGCAGAGTGTTCCCAATGAAAATTTCTGAAATGATGGGAATGTTCTAAATATGTGCTGTCCGAAATAGTAACCATTAGCCACATATGGCTATTGAGCACTTTAAATGTGGCTAGCATAACTGAAAGGCCACATTTTTATTTAAATTTAAATTTAAATAGCAAACCGTGGCTAATCATAATAATAGCTTAAGAGAGAAATGGTGAGCAGGGTTACTGGGAGAGGTATTTTCCTATAAGCTCTGGATATACAGTTGACCTGGGAACAACAAGGGTTTGAGCTGCATGGGTCCACCAATACAACCCTTGTTTTGTTTTGTTTTGTTTTCAATAAATACAGTCAGCCCTCTCTATCAGAGGGTTCCACATCCACAATGAAACATGGTTGGAAAATACAGTATGGGATGTGAAACCTGTGTATAGGGTGGGCTGACTTTTCGTTTCCATAGGTTCTGCAGGGTCAACTATAGTACATGAGTATACTCACATTTTAGTATCCTAATAGATCCTCAAACCAACACCTGGCAGAAAATGGGGAACAATTGCATAACAGTATTCAAGGGACTGGGTATGATGGCTTGCACCTGTAATCCCAGCACTTTTGGAGGCCAAGGCAGAACAGGAGTTCGAGACCAGCCTGGGCAATATGGTGAAACCCCTTTTCTACAAAAAACTTAGCCAAGCATGGCATATTTGTGTAATGCCATTTGCATGACCCACATGGTCACCCTGGACCCCGTGGATCAGGCCCTGCCTGGTGCCACCACCGCCACTTCTGTGCCAGGCCCCCAGTGTGATGCAAGTTGCATGATGCTCTTTGCTGTAGTGCCTTTTAATGGCATAGCTTTGGCAGGTTTGGAGATGTTCAGAATAGGCAAATCCTGTGGTGGATTTGTGGTTGTCTAAGGCCCTGGTGGAAGGGAGCATAGGTGAATTGGAGGGGATGATTAAAAGGTGTGAGATTTCATTTTGGGGTGATGAAAATGTTCTAAAATTGGTTGTAGTAATGGTTATACAACTCTGAATATACTAAAAGGCATTGAATTGTACACTTTCAATATGTGAGTTATATCTCAATAAAGCTATTTTACAAAAAAAGACACCTCTTCCCAGAAGACTTCTCTGTTCCCTTGTCCCTCCCCTGACCCTCTCATCTGTCCCTCCTTCAAATTATTTCAGTACTGTTTTTATCAGTCCTGGCATTTATAGGAAGCACTGCAGGAAGGGATTTCCAGGTATTGACTGCTGTGTAAGAAACCACCCCAAAGTTTATAGGCATAGAACAACAGTCTTTTTTTCTTCTCAGAAATCTACAATTTGAGCATGGCTCAGCAGGAAGGCTCATCTCTGTTTATGGTGTCAATCAGGATCAATCAGCCCTGTCCAAAAGGCATTTCACACAGCTGACAGGTTGGTGCTAGCTGTTGGCTGGAAGCTCACTTGGGTCTGAAGGCTAGGGGCGTCTCCATTTTTCTTGAGCTTCCTCACAAAATAAAGCCTGGGTTCTAAAGCATGTTCCCGAGGGAGAGCCAAGTGGGATGCTGCAGTGCCTTTTAGTGGAAGATACTTAATGTCATTACCACTGTGGAGGGGGGCCACAAAGGCCCACCCAGTTTCAAGGAGAAGGGATGCAGACTCCACCTCCTCATAGGGCAGTGGCAAGGGTCTGGAAGAGCTTGGGGAACCAGAAATATTATTGGGGCCATTTTTGGAAAATAAAATTTGCCACAGCTACACTTATCCGATAAACCACTCAGGAAATATTCAGCTGCAAGCAAGTGAAAACATCTAAATGTTGGCTTAAAGCACCATGGCATTTACTGTTTGTTTTGAGACAGAGTCTCGCCGTATTGCCCAGGATGGACCACAGCAGCCCAGTGATCTGGGCTCACTGGATTCAAGCAATTCTCCTGCCTCAGCCTCCTGAGTAGCTGGGATTACAGGCGCATGCCACCACGCCCAGCTACTGTTTGTATTTTTAGTAGAGATGGGGTTTCACCATGTTGGCCAGGTTGGTCTCAAACTCCTGACTTCAAGTGATCCGTCCACCTCGGCCTCCCAAAGAGCTGGGATTACAGCTGTGAGCCACCACACCTTGCCTTTATTGTTTATTAATAAGCTAATAAGTCAGCAGTTGATTCAATGACTCAGCAATATCTATTTCATTTTTTCCCCTCCCATCCTACTCAGCATGTTGGCTTTTCATACTTGTGTTTATTGCCTCATGGTTGCAAAATGACTGCCACACCTCCAGGTATCATATCCTTAACCCAGCACTACCCAAAGCAGAAAAAGAGCAAGAATGGCTACTTGACCCAGTACCTCTCTGTTATGGGGAGGGAAACCTTTCCCATAAACACTCAGCAGACTCTTTTTTTTTTTTTTTTTTTTTTTTGAGACGGAGTGTTGCTCTGTCGCCCAGGCTGGAGTGCAGCAGTGCAATCTCAGCTCACTGCAACCTCCACCTCCCGGGTTCAAGCTATTCTCCTGCCTCAGCCTCCTGAGTAGCTGGGACTACAGGTGCGTGCCACCACCCCAGCTAATTTTTTGTATTATTAGTAGAGATGGGGTTTCACTGTGTTAGCCAGGATGGTCTCGATTTCCTGCCTTGTGATCCACCCGCCTCGGCCTCCCAAAGTGCTAGGACTACAGATGTGAGCCACTGCGACCAGCCTCAGACTCCCTTTTATCTCATTGCCCAGATCAGCATCACATGTGCATCCCTTGATGAATCACTGGCAAGAGAAAATGACATTTTTCTAATTGGCTTAGAGCAATCCTGATTCACTTCCCCAGGCTGGGAGAGTCTCAGGCAAAATTCAGGCTCCTGGAAGCAAAGATGGAAGTCACTGAGTAGCCAGCCAGCAGCATGGGCCTCATCTGGTTTTCCCACCACAGTCAGTGTTCATCCTTGGTCGGGGCAGAGGGCAAGGGGAAGCATTTCAGATGGAACAGCCATCCAGCCCTCAGAAAGCTTATAGTCTGGTGGAGTTAAGTGTATGCAGATCATTATAACTGAATTCCTGAAGGTAGAGACTAGATCTTTATCAATCAATGACTTTTATTGGATGCCAGACCCTATTAGGGTCTTGGATAAACAAAGATAAAAAGGACCCACTTCCTGCCATTAAAGACCTCGCAGTGTTTAAGGAAAACTACAAACTGGCAATCAAAGGGTGACTAATGCAAAGTTAGGGATAAAGCTAGAGACCAATAGGGAGCAAAGGGAGCATAGTGGGGGGTGGGGAGGGGGCTGGAAGCAGGAAAGGCTTTCAGAGAAGATGATGTTTGAATGGAATGTTATAAGTTAATTCAGGATTAGGCAGGAGAAAAAGTATTTAGAAAAAAAAATCCAGGAGAAGGAGATAACAAGCAAAGGCTAGGAAGCAAGAATTTAGTGTGTGTAGATAGCAATGCGTGGGACATAGAGTCGTCAGATGAGGCTGGAGATAAATTGAAGTCACACTCTGTGAAAGATCTTCATCCATTCTGAAAGCTGATCATACGAATTGGGTCATTCTTGTCATATCCAACTAAGACAGAATTGAAAAGCCAGGGGAACAAATACTCAGGGCATATAACATTGCTCCAAAAAAGTAATTTTTTGCAAGCCTGGCTGCTAAAACTGCCTGCTGTAACCTAAAACCAGTTTTATCTAATA
The DNA here is from genome assembly GCF_000001405.40 of Homo sapiens. Lineage (NCBI taxonomy): Eukaryota > Metazoa > Chordata > Mammalia > Primates > Hominidae > Homo > Homo sapiens. The sequence goes on along the minus strand of NC_000020.11, from coordinate 44,961,230 downwards.
GCTACTGAAACAGCCTGCTACAATTCTGAGTTTTATCCACCACTATCACTTACCAATCAAAGCTTGCCAGCTCCCCAAGAAGCTGATAAACCCCCACTTTACTAGTGCCTGTAAACTTCCTTGAAGAGCAATATGTAACATTTCTGTTTTATAAAAATCTCCAAACCTTCTCTTTGTTCTTCTGACATACCAAAGACAACCTGGTCTGTGTGTAAGCCCTGAATTGCAATTCTTGATTGCCAAATAAAATATTTAAACTTTAGAGATTCATCTCTATATGTTGACTTTGACACCATCAATCCACCTGTGCATTAATTTATTAAATAAATATCTATAGAGCACTAGGTACCAGGTACTTTCTAGCCTTGGAACCTTTGCACTTACCATCCCTCTGGCTGGAACAGCATTCCCTAAATCTTGTCTGGTCTCAGCTCAACTATTACCCCCTGAGAAAGGCCTTCCTTCATCCCCTTATTTAAAATAGCCCACACGTGGTCACTTTCCATTGCATTATCCTGTTTTGTTTTCCTTACAGCACTAATCACATGAAATGAGAGTCTTCGTTTGCTTATCAGTTAATTGCCTGTGGGGACCCCACTAGGACATAATCTCCCTGATAGCGGGGCCAGCCTCCTTCCCTGCGTCATCCACGGCGTTCTAGCAACTCAGGGAGCCCAGAGCATGCTGCCGCCCCGCGTGCAAGGGAGCCTAAGTTCCAAACCGAGCACGCGCAGAGGGCGGGACGCTCCGGGCCTCCAGGTCTCGCAGGCCCCGCCCCCTCGCCGCGGGTTCGCTGTTGGGCGGAGATATTCGCCGCCGGCGCTTGCGCCCGGAAGGTGTGCCGCACCACACGGGGGAGGAAGGAAGGAGCTCCCAACTCGCCGGCCTGGCCACGGGATGGCCCCCAAATTCCCAGACTCTGTGGAGGAGCTCCGCGCCGCCGGCAATGAGAGTTTCCGCAACGGCCAGTACGCCGAGGCCTCCGCGCTCTACGGCCGCGCGCTGCGGGTGCTGCAGGCGCAAGGTACGACCCCGGCCCCCATCTCACCTCCGGGCCTGCTCCTCCAACTCCCGCAACCACCGCCCGGGCCTCGCGCGGCGGCCAGCAGTCCTGCCCGGCCCTCCCACCCTTCCAGCCCCTTCCGACTCCGGCATCCTACCAGAAACTTCCTCGGCCCTTTCTTTCCACCTGCTTGTTAACTGCCCTGTTGGCCCCCATCCTAAGTTATTTAGGCCTCGTTCTGAGCCCTGAGAAGAAAGCTAAACCCTCCTCCCCCGCAGCAATTCATTTTTCAGTTAGTATTTGTTGAGTAGCTGTTATATACCGCCTGTGTAACAAGACACAAAAAGTCCCTTCTCTCAAGGACAGCGCATTCTTGTGGGGGCGGTGGGGAGGACGTGAGTCTTAAGCGAGTCAGTAAGTAAACGAGACCTGTGGGATAATCAGGGTTAGGAAGAAGACAAATAGGGTGATGTGATAGAGTTGACTGGAGTGGGAGATCAAGGGCAACATCTGTAAAGAAGTGATATTTGAGGTGATGTCTAAATGATGAGAAGCCAAGCGCACAAGGTTTTCGGTCCTGAAGTGAACTGCAATGAGAAAGGCCCCCCCTCCAAGACGATATAAACATGGTGTGTTTCAGGGGTCAAAGCATAGTGAGCCAGGGCAGGGAATAGGAAGACATGAGGTCAGTTAGGAAGGCAGACCCTTATTTATTGTGGAGGTGTTGTAAACTCTGCTAAGGAGTTCGGATTTCATGCCAAACTGGAAGCTTGGCATGAAAGCTGCTGGATGGGAAGCTACTGGAGAGTTTGAAACAGAAGAATAGCATATTCTTACCAGTTCTCCCAGCGTCCAGCTTTCGTCAGCATACCGCAGACCTTTGCCCAAAGCCCCTTCTCCAGGGTGACTTAATCAGAAACCCTCATTGGTTAAAGCCTTGACTTTTGAAAGGAGCCTTGGATCCTGGTTTCTGTGAGTCACCGTTCAGTACCTATTTCCCTTTGCCGCCTTCCTTTTTTTCCTTTTCTTGGCTAGCATCTCTTGAGTGATTTACCATGTGCTAGACATTTTAGACACGATCTCCTTTGATCTTTATTATGGCCCTGTGGATAAAATGCTTAGAAAGGAGGAGTCCAAGAGAGTTAAATTGGCTCCCTCGGGGTTACATAGTGAAGACATGGAAGAGCCACGATTTGAATATGGATCTGTTTGACTTTGATGCTAAGTCCAAATTTTTAATCATTTTGCTAGACCTCTCCTCACATCCTCTCCAGATTTCATTCTTTTTTTTTTTTTTTTTGTCTGCACTTTTTGCAGTTTCAAGCCACTCCTTTGCCCCCTTCTTTGTTCTAGAAAACTCTCCTTTAGGCCCACTTCCTCATGGCAGCCTTACTTGATGAAGTTGCTGAAGAAGCTGAGGTATTGATGTTGCTGCCATTTTCATTCATCTCACCCCAGCTGGTCTGGAAAAGCTTGTACATTTGTATGGGTTAATTCTGGGTCCATAGAAAAGCTAGCCTGGTATCTAGATTTAGCAAGGACCGGAGTTTGGTTCTGCTGCTGCTACAGATTTCCTAGGTAATTTTGGGCAAGTCTCTTGATTTATCTGATCAGTCTTCTTGATCACGAAGAGAGCTCAGGGAACAGGCTAACACAATGAACCCTTCCAGCAAGTCTATGAAGTGATATCCTCATGTGGTAGGTGGGCACGCATGATCAGAGGGATGGAGTGACTTGTCCGGATCGCAGGGTTGATGCCCTTTCCACCGCACCACTGCTGTTTCTGAGCAACCGTACTCTGGTGACTCAAGATGGATTACAGGTTTTGGGTACTTAGCTCCTTAAGGGCAAGGATGTATTTTACTAGTCTTTGTACTTTCCGTCTCTGGGCCTGGCAAAACAAGAGGGGAAAACGCTTGTTATTGTTGGTATTGAATGAAAGATATCAAATATCAACATGGCAACAGGATACTGAGTGAAAAAAGTAAGTTGCAGAAGGATAGGCAATATGATGCCTCTTAGGAAATGCTTTAATAGACATAAAATGGTATCTTTCCTGTTAACACACACACACACACACACATATATATACATATACATATATATACATGTACATGTATACATATATACATATACATATATACATATATATGTAAATGTAGAACATGCTTGAAAATGTTACATACCAACTTCAGGATTGTACTGGCCTCTGTGAGTCTGGGGAGGGAGCACAGGGATAAGGATGGGGATGGCTGGAGTTTTAGCTTATCAAAAAAATTTTTAAGGGTTGGGTGCCATAGCTCATGCCTATAATCCCAACACTTTGGGAGGCCAAAGCGGGAGGATCACTTGAGGCTAGGCATTCAAGACCAACCTGGGCAACACAGTGGGACTCTGTCTCTACAAAAACTTTAAAAATTAACTGGGCTTGGGGGTACACACCTGTAGTCCTATCTGCTTGGTAGGCTGAGCTGGGAAGATCACTTGAGCCCAAGAGTTTGAGGCTGCAGTGAGCTATGATTGTGCTACTACACTTCAGCCTGGGCAACAGAGGGAGACGCTGTCTCTAAAAATTAAAAAAGTTGGGAACTAATATAACGTGCTAAATCTAGTGGTGGATTCTGAGATAATGGTCTTCTGTATGTTTCAAAATTTTCAAAAAGAGACCCTGTTTTCAATTCTTTTTAAAATAATGGCCGACACTAGTGGGTATGAAGTGGTTGAAAATTATCTTTAAAAATAAAGATCATTGTTGGTTGGGCACGGTGGCTCACGTCTGTAATCCCAGTACTTTGGGAGGCCGAGGCAGGCGGATTGCCTGAGGTCAGGAGTTCAAGACCAGCTTGGCCAACATAGTGAAACCCTGTCTCTACCAGGCGTGGTGGCGAGTGCCTGTAATCCCAGCTACTCAGGAGGCTGAGGCTGAGGCAGGAGAATTGCTTGAACCCAGGAGGTGGAGTTGCAGTGAGCGGAGATCGCTCCACTGCACTCCAGGCTGGGCAACAGAGCAGGACTCTGTCTCAAAAAAAAATACGTAAATAAAGATCATGGTGGCCACAGTGAAGGACTTGAGCCTCTGCGATTCCTGAGGGTAAGGACTGCCTTAGAAGAATGTCTAATAATTCTCCCCATGGGGTAGCTTAAGACTTTTTCCTGATTAAGTTCTCTGTACTCCCATCACACCCAGCTCAATTATCATTTCCCTGACAAAGTCCTCCCTGGCTTGACCAGGTAAAACTAGTCTCATGTCTTTCATGGGTGTTTTGTGCCCCTACAACTTTTGGTCAATCCATTTATCATACGTTTATCATCTTGTTCCCTCCCTCCCTCCCTTTCTTTTCTTTTTTTTTTTTTCTTTCTTTCTTGGATTTAAATGCTTTTTGTAATAAAATACACACCTATCCATCCATTTATCCACCCAAACCCAAGTAGTTACAGCATGGATTTCTTTGAGGCAGAAGCTAGCTATTTCTTGTTTATCTTTTGTCTGTTATCAAGTTCAGTGCTGGAATGAGTGAATGAGGAAATACTTGGTTCCCTTTGAATGGCAAAAAGCGCAGTGTCCTTCTGTCACATAAGAATGACAAACACGCCAGCCCAGCAGACCAACAAGCCTGAACAGGTTATAGTTATCTCTACTGCCTTAACACAAGGCCCAAAGAGCTCTGAGTTTGAAATGTATCCTAATGCCCTGAGGCACCCATTTTCCAAACTGATCATCTTCCCCACTCTATCTGGGCAGGTTCTTCAGACCCAGAAGAAGAAAGTGTTCTCTACTCCAACCGAGCAGCATGTCACTTGAAGGATGGAAACTGCAGAGACTGCATCAAAGATTGCACTTCGTAAGTGGCCAAGGGTAATTTTGGGATGCCTGAGGGTCTCAGAAGAGGAGGCTGGGTTAATCTGGCTTGTTTCTTCTTTGGAAGGATCCCATCAATTACATCTGGGACAGATATTAAGAAAGTGTCACTGAGTTTCACCAGGTCACTGAGAATGGGAGTCTTTATTTGGTCCTTATGGCCCGTGACTTGCATCTTTGGAGTCTTGGCTCTGCTGCCGAAAAAGGAGTGGGATGGGCAGTTAGAAGCAGGCCGTAAAGTCTTTGTGCAATTTGAAACCTGGGAATAAGGTGGAGTGGCAGACCAGTAACTGGCTTGCCCAGGTGCTTTTCTGGGATGGGAGTATGTGAGGGGAAGGGAGCGAAGGAAAGAAGGAGGAATAGAGGTTAATAGATTGTCTCAGAAGGAGAAAGGAAAAAAATGGTATTCATGAATGACCAGTTTTAGAGGACACTGAACAATGTTTCATATCTCTTTTTCTTCAAGCCAGTCTAATATTCTTTTATCATCATTAAACTCTCACATTTACCTGAAATGTGTTCTCAGATCTGATGTCCTCTGACATTGCTTTAGATTCCTGCCCTGGTGATAGCCAGGAGAGCAGGAGGGGTGTGAGCATACTCACAGAGCCTGTGCTGAATTAATTTGTGCCATGCCTTGTGCCAGATTTCCCTCTTTGAGTGTTCACAACCAATCTGTGGGGTACGGTTACCATGTGTCCCAGGCCAGAACTTGGTTGCTGAGGGTTGGGGCAGTAAAGTGATTTACCTGGGTCACATAGTTAGCAGCAGAGGTGGAATTCAGACACCACCCCATCTGACTCCAAAGCTTGTTTGTTATTCCCACTAGACCACAACTGTAAAAAAACATAGTAGCATGAAAGCCATGAGGCTTTTGTTCTTGATTTTGGGGGAACTGAAACTATGAAAATTGATGCATGTGCACACACATTTAACAAAATTCATGTTTCTCTGCCTTCTTTCTCCTCCTCACTTCAGTCTACGTTGAAAAATCCCTGTTCTGAGGTTTGGCGTTTTTAGCCATGTCTCTCGGCCAGAAATTACTTCCTGTACGCTGAGTGCTCCAGATAACCCTGCCTGGAAGAAACTGTAGGGAAACCCTGGTGGCTCAGCAGCCAGCCAGTTGACATTTTTGCCTCCTATTCTAGAGCACTGGCCTTGGTTCCCTTCAGCATTAAGCCCCTGCTGCGGCGAGCATCTGCTTATGAGGCTCTGGAGAAGTACCCTATGGCCTATGTTGACTATAAGACTGTGCTGCAGATTGATGATAATGTGACGTCAGCCGTAGAAGGCATCAACAGGTGAGCTCCATTCCCAGCAGGTGGTCTCCACGGCAACTCCCTGTCCTTCTTGATTGGCTGCGGGCCATTGCCTTGTCTGTCTTCTGAGGGGATCCCTTTGGCTACACTTAAAAAACTCCCGATGGGCATGTAGGGGAAGCTGAGAAAGGAAAATCTGCTTTTTTATTTAGCAGGTTTTCAGGGAGTCAATTACTAAGATTGATTGATTGATATTTGCCTACATGTGCCTCACAGTATCTATGTACACAGTAATATTTATTGTACACTGTTTAAGGTGTTGTGCCCGGTTCAGTGGGGGATACCAAAATGAGAAAGAGATACAGACCCCACTTACCTTCAAAGCGCTAACGCTAATTAGAAGAATAAGACACAAGCCCAAGCAGCTATGACAAGCCTAAAAGGATATGGTTTGTGGACATGGTTCAGTATATTGCACTGTGACCAATCCAAGAGGTTCCCCAGGTGCAATTCCTTTCTGGTCTCTGAGCAGTTATTGGCTTTTATCTCATGGATATTGTCATTTGTATAACTGATCATGTTTCCCCTCTGCGTGTGCGGCTAGAAAGCCAAACACTGCACTAATAGCAAACCCTTAACAGGGACTTCATGGTATGTATTTAGTGCTTTATTTCTGGCTTGACTTGTCTGCCAGCATTCTTTGTTTTCTCTTTGCCTCCTTTTTAACTTATCTGATTCCACAAAATCTACCAATTATGTGACAGACTTTGCTCTAGGACCTGGGCTGATGACTGAGACATACCTCTTCCTGCCGTCATAGAGGTCCCGGTCTCAAGGAAGACACCAGTCAGTAATAGGCAAGCACAATACAACATGATAAGCGCCATGGTAGGAGGCAGCACAGGGGGCTCTGAGGCCAGAAAGGAGCCACCTAGCTAGCTGAGAGGGAGAGGGGGAGGCCAGAGAGAGCTTTTCAGAGGAGGTGAGCTAAGAATGAGAGATATGGGGTAGGGGGTTAGCCAGAAGACAGAGCAGCGTGTGCAAAGGTGAGCAAGTGTGACAGATCACAGGAATTGTAAGAAGTCGGTTTCACATGGTGCTGCAGGCAGGAGCTCAGCTTGGGACAGGTTGGTGAGGCCAAGTCACACAAGACCCAGGGTTCAGGGCTTGGACTTAATCCTGAGCAAGTCAGCCTTTATGAAAAGGTCTTTAGCAGTGGAGCAACATGAGCAGATTTGTATTTTAGAGAAAAGCTCTTTGCTGCCATGTTGAGGGATGATATGAAGGGCAACAGAATAGAAAGGAGTCATGCAGCAATCCAGGGGAGAGGGTGGAGAGAAAACAATGGGACCAGTCAGGGGACATGTAGGAAGTATATCAACAAGCTTTAGTGGTTGCGGGGTATCGAGAAGGGAGGAATAGAAGAAGACACTCAGATTATTGACATTCAGTCGGAGGTGACTGTGGGACATAAGACTAGAGATCTAAGTAGGACGGTTGGGTATTTACATGGAACAAAGGAAGAAAATACAGGCCAGACATAAGGATTTGAGGGTCATCAGCGCAGAGGTGGATTAGGGCTGTGAGAAAGAAAAAGAACATCACAGCTAGTGTGAAGAGGATGGAGCTTTGAGAAACTCCAGCATTTGAGGGACTTACAGAGGAACAGCAGCTAGAGAGGTGGGAGGAAACAGGGCATTGATGTCCCAAGGGAAGGAGTATTTCAAGAAAGATGGAGACATCATTAGTGTCAGGTGTTCCAAGGAGCTTACATTAAAGGTTTGGCAATGAAGTCACCGGTGGCTCTGATGGAAGCTGGTCAGTGGGATCAGGAGCCAGAGGGCAATGCTTTCAGAAAGTCAGGCTTGAAGAGAAGCTGGGGAGTATACCTGTGATGGCAAGGGGTGTCCAGTATGGTTTTATTAGGTGAGGAAAGAGTTAAAGGGACTTAAATGCTGACGGTTGGAGTTAGTAGAGAGGAAGGATGAAGATGTGGGAGAGGGAGGTGCTGCCTGGGTGTGGTCCCTGAAAGAGGCAAGAGGAGATGGGATCCAGAGCTTAGGTGGGTGGATTGGTCCCATTGTCTCTTCTGTTGTGACAGGAGAGAAATAGGAAGGATTGGGCACCCAGGCAGGTAGGTTTGTATTTGGGGTATGAGGAAGTTTGCTCTAAAAAAGGGGAAGGGCCAGGGAACAGGTTTGAGGAGAGCAGAGGTTTGAAATAGCTTGGCCGCCAGGAAAACAGCCTAGCCAGAGACATCTTGGAATTTGTAGTGATACAGTCTGTGGTTTTTATTCTTGTAATATAGGAAACATGGTTGTAGGAGCAGAAAAAGTATACAGTTAGCATTATTCACTCATTCAACACATAACTGATTGGGCCTTGGTGGTTGCTAGGTGACATACCAGGTGCTGGAGATCAGTTGACAGAATGAACTTGGTCTCTGGGTGGCATTTTAAGCTGAAATCTAAAGAATAAGTTGGAGTTAGCCGGGCCTGGAAGGTGGCAATCTTTTTCCAAAATGAAAATGGTTGTTCTGGGTAGAGGAAAAAGCATGTGCAAAGTCTTGAACAGAAGGATCAGAAGAGAATGTGGCTCACAGTGAAGGGGGACAGGAAGGGGTGGGGACCAGATCTCACATGCCACATTAGCCTAGGGAATTGGGAACCCCTGAGGAGTTGTAAGATTTGAGAATGACATAAGCTTTGCATTTTTTAAAAAGCCTGAGCATTAAACAAATGTCAGGTGCTTGCATGGTTGTGTACTTGATTCATTGATAAAATATGAAACAAAATGTATGATTCTTTCTTGGAGAAACTATAGTCTTTTTGGATCATGGTTTAAGTATCCTTAACAAGCAACAGATCACCACTTTAAAGGTAACATAGTTTGACCAAGCTCAAGGAATGTCATGGGGACTGATCTGAGATGGTGTTTATGGGTTCCTGTATTGCACGTGTTGGAGGAGCTAAAGAGGTGGTTCCGACCAGGGGGAGGGTGGCAGCTCTGGCTCTTCTGAAAAGGCCTACCTCCCATGGGTGTGTGAAAGGAGAAATATCTTCTTGACCCAGCTGGAAACCTCCCTGCAATCCTGCCTTCTTTTCCAGAATGACCAGAGCTCTCATGGACTCGCTTGGGCCTGAGTGGCGCCTGAAGCTGCCCTCAATCCCCTTGGTGCCTGTTTCAGCTCAGAAGAGGTGGAATTCCTTGCCTTCGGAGAACCACAAAGAGATGGCTAAAAGCAAATCCAAAGAAACCACAGCTACAAAGAACAGAGGTGAGCTGTGACTCCCTGCCCAGAGTCTTGCAATCTCCCACTATCCATTTTCTTTAGAGTAGTCCTGCAAAAATTGGCATTGTTTAGCTGAGTTATAAAAATAATCTTAGGAACAAAGTATAAAACAAAATACAAGTCTTCACCTCTTAGAGACTGTTTTCTCAGCTGTATAGTGAGGGTGATGATAAAGTCTTCCTCACAACCATGAGGACTGAATGACATAAGACATGTAAAACTCCCAGCCTGGCACATAGGCATGCAGTGTGAGTTCCCTTCTCTTTCCTCTGGTAGCACTTGGGATGTAGTACTTAGGATGTTTTTGGTTGCAAAAACAGAAAGCTCAACATGGTAAACATAGTATAGGGAATTTATTGGCTCATAAAACTGAAAAATCCGAGAGAATTCAGGCAAGGTTTGCTCCAGCAGCTCAGTATATTAACAGACTAACTCCATTTTTCTGTACTTATCACAGCTTTATTTTCTGTTGTGCGTCAGCTTTGTCTTTGGCAAGCTTCCCTCCTAGTAGCAAAATAGCTATAGCAGTTCCCGGCCTCACATCCATACCCCATGCCTCATGACCCAGAGAAAGAAAGTCTTTCTCTGATAGCTCACTAGGAAAAGATAGGATTTTTTTCCCCCAAAAAACTCTAGCTCACATATTTTCTCAATCATTTTCTCAATCTATTCTGGTCTTCATGGTCACAGGCCATTCCCTGAAGTACACACCATAACCGGCGGATGAGATTTTGTGATTAGGTCACCCTGAGGCACCTGCCCCACCTCCAGAACTAGAGGGTGATGCTTCCCAGGAGCATGTACACTGTGTGAATCCCTGGAGAAGCATGAAGAAGAGAAAGGAGATCCAAGCAGCCAAAAACAGGAGATTCCTCACCTCAACTGTATGAAATGAAGAGGCCATTTGTCAGGCACTAGGAAGCTCTTTTAATGCTCCAGGGGAATGGTCCCAGCCCAGCAAGCTAGGGATTCAGGCTAGAGGTGCAGAAGGGATCAGAGATGGAGCCCTGCCATGTGTAAGTGACCTATAGGTGTTAGGGGAGGACAAGAGTTACTCACCTTCTACAGGAGAATGCCTCTCTGGTCATGGGTAGCATTCACTCTGGTTTGTGGGAGCCTGGTAAGTGTTCCCCACTCTTCTCTAGGATGAAAATGTGCGGTGCTAATGAACCTGATGGCATCAGTGCCATTGATTTCATTCTTTCAATCAGTGCACCTACCATTGATTTCATTCTTTAAATCAGTGCACCTACCATTGATTTCATTCTTTCAGGGTCACTGAGCCATGTGTTCCAAGCCATGTGTATGCTAAGCAGTGTGACACAGAGGACAGTCTTGGCCCTCAGGGAACTCTCCCTCAGTTGAGGGACTGAGACATGTAAACAGTGTCTTAAAACACAAGGAGGAGGAACATGTGCTTTAGAGTCTTAGTGTTTGAGGACTTCAGGATAGAAACTGACTTAAGTGCATGAGGGAGTCGGGGAAAGACTCAGAAGGGGTGGCAATGGAGGTGGAGCCTTGAGCTGGACCTTGAAGAAGGTCATCAGGTGGGAAGGAAGGAGAATCCTTGGCAGAGACAGTGGAGAGAGTTGGAGAATGAAAGTGCATGGGGGGAACAGTAGGAATAAGGATGACTGCAGAGTGGTGTGTTGCAGGGTGCCAGTGAAGCTGAAGCCCTACTTCAAGAGAAACCTGTGTGCATGTGCACAGGGAGATGTACCCACAAATGTTCGTAGAAGACTGTAATAGCAAAAAACAACTGGAGATAACCCAGATCTCCATAAATGGGAGAATGGACAATTCAGCTTTGGTATTGCAGCAATGAAAATGAAGGAGCTGCAGGTCTGTGCATCAACACAGATGAATCTCAGAAATATAACATTAAGGGGAAAAAGAAAAACCAAGTCATAAAAGAATACACAGACTTATTCTTCTGTATGAAGTTCAAAAACAAAGTAAACAGCAAATGATCTGTGGGTACTGTTGTATATAGTTATACTGTTTAAAAAGGTGGGGAAGAAGCACAGAATTGGGGATAATAGTTTCCTCCAGCAGTGGATTGAATTGAGGAAGGTCCCCCAGGACTTCAAAGGTCCTAGTTATGTTCTTTTTCTTAAACCAGGCAATGAATTCAGGGTGTAAACCTATAATCTTACCCTGGTCATAAATATTTAGTATTTTATAAAGATAGTTTTAAAAATTTTTGAAAAGCAGATGATATGGAGCTGAGGCTGGAATAATTAATTGGGGCCAAGCAGTGAAGGGCCTGAACACCAAGTTGAGCAGCTTGGATTTCACCATGTTCCCTCTGCTTCCTCTCCTTGAAGGCTGGAGCAGAGCTGCATGTGTTAGATGAGGGAGGATACTCACAGGCTCAGCCCAAACCAGAAATGAGGAATAGCAGGCTCTTCTCCCCTTTTCTCATAGCCCAGAAGCTATACCTTTTCTTTACCAGATATTTGTTTATTAGTATTTATTTACTTATTGTCCTGCTTTAAGTTTATAGTGTGTTCCGTACTTTCTTACATACTCTCAGATTTGACCCTGAAAATAGCCATCTGTGGAATTAGTATTGCCCTATTTTATTGGTGAGGAAATTGAGGTCCAAAAGTTAGGTAGGTCACACAAGATCTTCCAGCTACCAAGAGGCAGTGCCAAGGCTAGAACCTGGGTTGCTTTTTATCATTTATATATTTTTATGTGCATGCAAAAATGTTTTTATATCAGGATTCCCCAACTTCTTGATGAAAAACTGTTGAATTGCCCAGAAGCTATTAATTGGGGGAAGTCATTAATCAGGAAGGATGATTTACAGCAGGGGAGGAAATCTCTGGGAGAGAGGATTGTAGTCAGTTTGGAAGGGACGATGCTGAAGAGACCTCACTGATCTCAGTTGGGTGCTGCTCCATGGTTTTTTTCCTCTTCTGAATTTGTATCTAGTGCCTTCTGCTGGGGATGTGGAGAAAGCCAGAGTTCTGAAGGAAGAAGGCAATGAGCTTGTAAAGAAGGGAAACCATAAGAAAGCTATTGAGAAGTACAGTGAAAGCCTCTTGTGTAGTAACCTGGAATCTGCCACGTACAGCAACAGGTATCTCCTATACAGCTGCTGGCCTGGGGCATTTCAGGACATTTGTTCCATAGTCTTCTCTTGGACTGCAATGGGCCCTTCATCCCTAGCATTTAGTCAAGTATGTTATGGCTGAAAACATGCATCCACGTTGTGAGCTAGCCATGACCAGTGGCATTCATTCTCTCAAAAGGGTAGAAACTGAGGGATGCCAAATGGTAGCCTGGGCTTTGTTGGCCCCTGTCCCCAGAATTTTCATAAGCATGCAATGTAACTAAAAGCAGTGTGCCTGCTCTGCAAACACAACCCTAACACAAGTCTCTTAGCCTGTCCACCCCACCACGCTACGCTGCTCCCTACCCTTCTCCAAGACCCTCCTGTTAGAAATTCTGGCACCATTTCTGTCTGAGAGTACTGGCCCAGAAGCCAAAATGTGAAGTAACCATTGCCTGGCATGAGAGCAGGAAGGATGGGTACAGTCTAGCCTGAAAGGTTAGACTTGTGGGCCTGTAGAAAGTCCTGCACCAGGAGCTGCCGTCAGTGACCACTGACTGAGAACCTGGGAGCCAGGGTGCGGTCCCTTCACTGTGTAGGAGTGATTGTTCTCCAACAATGCTCGTATAGGTGGTCTTTCTGTTTTAGTGTTTAGAAAATTGAGGCTCAGAGAAGGAAGGGTTTTGCTTTAAACTCAGCCAGCCAGTAAATGTTGGCACAAGAATTGGAATCTGACTTCAACAAGATCTTCCTGTTACTTTTACTCTCAGAAGCTTGAAACATTCAGCAAGAGACCATATCAAAACCAAATGCTTAGTATAAAACATTATAAAATGTTAGAAATCTGTTTATCCTTCCCTACCAGCATACACATATCACTCTCTAGTTCAAAAATCTTGGATCTAATATAGACACATTGTTCCTTATTCCAAACTCTTGAGATAAAATGTGTTTTCCAGCCACGGTGGCTCAATGCCTGTAATCCCAACACTTTGGGAGGCTGAGGCTCCGGGAGGATCACTTGAGGTCAGGAGTTTGAGACCAGCCTGGCCAACACGGCAAAACCCCATCTCTACTAAAAATACAAAAAATCAGCTGGGCGCTGTGGCACATGCCTGTGATCTCAGCTACTCAGGAGGCTGAGGCAGGAGAATCACTTGAACCCAGGAGGCAGAGGTTACAGTGAGCCAAGATTGTGCCACTGCACTCCAGCCTGGGTGACAGAGCGAGACTCTGTCACAAAAAAAAAAGAAGTGTTTTCCATTTTAGTGAGGTAATATGGTCTGAATTATGTAACACCCCAGCAGTGTCTGGGGCAGCTTGCAGAAGTTAATTATTAGTATTTCTGCCAGTGAAACTTGAAAATTCCATGTTCACATGGGGTGGAATAGAGAAACTAAATAGCTTCATGTCAGTTCAGATCAGGTTTTGCTGCCCAATGAGTTGGAAAGAGAACTTGTAGTTTTAAAGCTTATATTTTGGAATTTTGCACCTGTGGTTTTATGTGGTTTTATTGCTGATTGGACCAGAGGGGCCACAATTTGCCAGGCTAATTTGAAAAAGAAGCCTGCAGCCTATTTGTTCCATATTTGTGTGGCATCTTCTAACTCCTCTATCTCTGGACCCTCTTTCACATTGCTTACCTTATGCTGCTGGACACCTCCATTAACTCATTTTTCTGGATCATTACCATATTTGGAGCTGTGTTTTGTCTTGTTTAGATACTGTTCTTCATGCAGGTGTCTGTGCCACACTGTTTTAATTGCTTTTGCTTTATAATATCTTATAGGGCTGGTCTTTTCTTCATTCTTCTTAATCAGAGCATTCCTAGTATTTTCCCATGTTTGTTCTTCTAGCTAAAGCTTCGGATCATTTTGGCAAATTCCAAAAAATGTCTTGTTGGACAGCTTTTGGTTGTGATTGCATTGGATTTATAATTTAATCTAGAGGACTAATGACAAAACAACTTTCAGCCATTGTGGCTAACATTTTATCATGTCCTGGAACGTCTTGGACATAGTCTAATGCTCCACCTCATGTACGCCCATCTGAATGACACAATGCCCAGGCTTTGGCTTACTTTGGCTCCCTTTGTGCAGGTGACATCTGAGTGCATAGCACCTACAACTTGCCAGCCCTGAAACAGCTGTCATAAGAATCTCACTTGTACTCACAACAGTTCTTCAGCTTAGATCATTGTCCTGTGTTACCTAATCAGGCTCAGAAAGATGAATTAGTGACCACAAAGTTAAACAACTAGTACATGGTGGCTGAGATTTAAGCCAGATCTTTGTGACTCCAAAGCTTATTTCCCTTTCACTCACTTGTGTTATTTCCCAACCCCTTTGTAATTAAAACCCTTCTGACTGGATACAGTTACTTCATTTACCAAAAGTCAAGGGGGTTTATTTTATTGCCTGAAGTTATGCATTTTGTTCATCTTAAATATAGTCTTTAGAAGTCTCACATGACCCTATTAATCACATTTCTATTCTGAAGTCACGATACACGGTGGTTCCTCTGCTTCCCAGACACTTGGCTATTTCTTTAAATTGCCAAGCCCATTGGGAGGAAACTTTAATTTCCTTAGAATTCCTCTATGTTTAGAGGTGGCTCATGCCTGTAATCCCAGCACTTTGGGAGGCTGAGGTGGGCAGATTGCTTGAGGTTAGGAGTTTGAGACCAGGCTGGCCAACATGGTGAAACCCCATCTCTACCAAAAAATACAAAAGTTAGCTGGGCATGGTGGCATGCACCTGTAATCCCAGCTACTCGGGAGGCTGAAGTAGGAGAATCGCTTGAACCCAGGAGGCGGAGGTTGCAGTGAGCTGTTATCATGCCACTGCACTCCAGCCTGGGTGACAGAGTGAGACCCTGTCTCCAAAAAAAAAAAGGAATTCTTCTGTGTTCAAAGTTTAAAACGGGCTACTATTCTAAAACTTGGTGATTTACAACAACCATTTTATTTTGCTTGTAATTTGTGGAGTCAGGAATTAGGGAAGGGCAGTTCTCATTTGGGGTCTCTCATGCAGGGTCAGCAAGATGGTAGCTGGGGCTGGAATCCTCTAAAGCCTTCTTCCTCGAATGTCTGGCAGCTGGGCTGCCTGACTCAAATGGCTGGGTGATGGAACTGCTAGAGCAAGCTGGCACCTCTTTCCACTTTCTTAGCAGCCTTTTCATGTGTGCTGCTGTGAGCTTCCTGAGAGCGTGGTGGCCTCAGAGTAGTTGGCTTCTTCCCTGTCAGTTCAAGGCTCCAAGAGCGAGTGTTTCCAGAGACCAAGGTGGAAGCTGCAAGGCCTATTATGACCTAACCTTGGAAGTCACATCGTGTCCCTTCCTCTGTCCTCTGTTGGTCAGAGCAGTCACAGAGCCTGCCCGAATTCAAAGAGAGAGAGCAGATACACCTCCGCCTCTCAGTGGAGGATTGCCAAAGAATTTGTGCCTGTCTTTTAAGTTGTTACAAGAAGATTTTTCTCTCCGTTAATTTATGAATTCCATGCAATCACAAAGGACTAGTAGAATTTTCTTCTTTAAATTCATGATAAGTCAGAAAAAAATGAGAACAACGACATGAGAGAATCTGGTGTATAATAAAGTCTGGGGCAAAGAGAGATTATTTAATAAGAGGTGTTGGGTTGGCCAGGTTAGAGTTAAACTTGAATCCTACCTTGCTTCTTATTTTAAAGTAAGTTCTGAGTGGATCACAGTTTGGAATGTAAAAAGCGAAACCATTAAGTTCTAGAAGAACACATGGATTAACTATCTTGCAGTGGGGAAGGTATTCTTATGTGAAGGGAAAAAAATGTTACAGAAGTCGTTAAAGGAAAAGTTAGAGAAGTTTGATTTCAAAAGATTAAAAACCCTTATTAAAGATGTTCAGCTTTACCCACAACTAAGCAGCTAAGGCAGTGAGATAGTGTTTTATTCCATATTGGCATACATGAAAATTTAAGACCCAAAGTTGGTACAGTTGTAGGAAAATAGGCTCTGTCAATAACTATTCAGCTTTTTTGGAAAGCATTTTGGCAGTAACAATCAGATTTTATTTCTTTTTTTGTTTTGTTTTGTTTAAGAGATGGGGTCTCCCTATGTTGCCCAGGCTGGTCTCAAACTCCTGGGCTCAAGTGACCTTCCCACCTTGGCCTCCCAAAGTGCTGGGATTATAAGCATGAGCCACTGCACCTGGCCAGTCAGGTTTTAAAATGCATGTATCTTTGGATACAGCAGTCCCTTGCACAAGGATGTTCATCATGGCATCACTTATTTACAAACTGGAAACAATGAAAAATACCTCTTGATAGGAAATTGGTAAAATAAATTATGCTACATCCAACTTAGTGAATACCCTGCACCCACTGAAAACAGTGAGGTGGAACAGATGAACTTATGTAATGAGCGCCCAGACATCTGACTGTTTTGTTTTTAGTGACTGTCTTTGGAGAGAAGGACTAGATCTGAATGAGGAAGATATATACACACATGCACTTTTTTGAACCCACAGATGCAGAATATATTGTATGGATGCACATAACTTTTTTCCAACATTTTATTATGAAAATGTTCAAAATATAGGAAAGTTGAAAGATTTGTACATTGAACACCCATAGACCTACCATCTAAATTCTACAATTAGTATTATTACATTGCCTTATCACTATTTAGCCATCTGTTGGTCTGTATTATTGTGTTTGATGCACTTAAAAGTAAATTGCAAACGTCTTTACATTTCACCCCATGTCAGCATTATATCATTAGAGTTCAGTAGTTGTTGGGTTTTTTTTTCCCCCTTAAAGTAGATAATTTTTTAATCTGTCAAGGGAAAAGTTTCAGGAAACCTTTTCTTTGCTTGAAAGAGCTCAGTATAGGAGAGCGCAGTACAGCATGATAGAACTAGATGAGATCAGGATCTGGAGTCCCATGAACGAACGCCCGCCTATTTGAATCCTGGGTCTGCCCCTTAATACTGGCGGTACCTGGCCCAAGTTCCTTTACCCTTCTGAGCCAGCATGTTTCATCCATGAAAAGGGCTAGGATTGTTGTGAGGATTTAAGAAGACATAAAGTAACCAGCACAGAGTAGGTGTTCAGCAAATTGGAGATCACTTCTCAAACTACTGCGTGGCATGTGGGTGGCCCATAAGACGTGACTGAAACCTCTGAAATGGTCTTTCCCTTCAGAGCACTCTGCTATTTGGTCCTGAAGCAGTACACAGAAGCAGTGAAGGACTGCACAGAAGCCCTCAAGCTGGATGGAAAGAACGTGAAGGCATTCTACAGACGGGCTCAAGCCCACAAAGCACTCAAGGTAAAAAAAAATCCTGGCCAAAAGGTCCCAACATAGCTACAGAGATTTATGCCAGTGTCACCATTTACAGGGTGTAGCCAAGCTGAGACAATATCTGCAGCTTTTCCTTCTCATCCTGGGCCCAGGATAACTCAGAGCAGGCCTGTGGGCTGGGGTTTGAAAACACTTTGCTGCCTCAGCAGCTATCCCCACCCCAGTCCGGGAACCTTCCCCCACACTCCTGTCTTTTCTTCTATTAGGACTATAAATCCAGCTTTGCAGACATCAGCAACCTCCTACAGATTGAGCCTAGGAATGGTCCTGCACAGAAGTTGCGGCAGGAAGTGAAGCAGAACCTACACTAAAAACCCAACAGGGCAACTGGAACCCCTGCCTGACCTTACCCAGAGAAGCCATGGGCCACCTGCTCTGTGCCCGCTCCTGAAACCCAGCATGCCCCAAGTGAGCTCTGAAGCCCCCTCCTCAATCCCTTGATGGCCTCCCACCCTGTAAGAGGCTTTGCTTGTTCAAATTAAACTCAGTGTAGTCAAACACAGACATGGTTGTTGCACCAGAAAGGTCCCCACTAGAGCTAAGCGTGAAGCTGAAGCTCTGTCCCTATTCCCCCAGCCCAGCTAGCTGATCACACCAACAGATCCTCATCAGCAAAGCATTTGGCTTTGTCCTGCCCAAGTGGGCTGCAGACTGAGTGCTGCCCTTGTAGCTTCCCCAGACCCCAACTCACTGCAGTTCATCTGAACAACCTGAGCTCCTGGGCCGGGGTGGAAGGAGGGGGATAAACCTAAGGCCCTGATCCAAAGCAGCCTGTTGAGCTGGTTCTCCAGGGCTGCAGTCTCTCCAGGTGTACAGCTGCTGTCCCTGCCCTGTCCTGTCCTTGCACAGTCTCCTATGTCTGAGCCCCAGTGCCTTCTGTTCGGGCCCTCCTTTGGTGGGAAGGCAGAGCCCTGACCCTTGAATGGTTGTCCTTGACTCTGTGCTGCTGCCTTCTGCAGAGAGGCACCTAAGCTGTTTAAAGAGCCCAGTGATTGTGGCTGCTCCTCCTAGAGGTGGGAGGGGGCAAGAGGCCTCCTTGGTCAGTGTCCATGCTTTCTGGGCAGGGACTTGGTTTTTTGTTCCAACAGTGGCCTTCTCCGGGCTTCATAGTTCTTTGTAATATGTTGAAGTTAATTTGAATTGACTGATTTTGTTGAACTGTGTGTTTAAGCTGTTGCATTAAAAAGCTTTCTTCTACATCAATATCTGCTGTGCTTTCATTTATGCCTTTTCAGCTTTGCACCTGGAACTCTGTAGTAATAATAAAAGTTATTGCTTATTGGGCATTCATTCATTTGTTGAACAAATTTATTGACATGTCTGCATGGGCCAGGCACTGTGAATAGTGCTAGGGAGATAGATAGATAGCAGTGAATAGACACAGCCCCTGCTCTCAGAGGGCTGGTAGTCCAGTGGGAAGGCAAGAAGTTAATCAGACAACCACACACATGTAAAATTGCAGCTTGCCTGAGTGTTGTGAAGCAGTCGTCAGTGATTTCCCTGCCCAAAAGGGGAAATTTGATGCAGTGGAGGGAAGGGGGTCCCTGAGTAAGTAAAGCTTGAATTGAGTTCCAGATGGGGAGGTTAACTAGTGAAGAGGGGAGGGAAACACCGTGGACAGAACGGCCATGTAAGGCCCTCATTGGGAGCACAGCCAGTGAGTACAGGGACCTAAAAGGGCTGATGAAATTCACAAAACATGGTATGGGGTGAGGCTGGAGAGTGCTCTAGGATCTAGCTAGAATCAAGGGCTGCCTCCCTTTCCTGGGCTGGTTTTCACCTAATGGAAGTAGAGTTTTAGGATTCCACAGAGCAGAGTAGACAAAGGGGTCTGATCATCCCTTGGCTCCCATCACATAGTGCTAGGCAGCACTCGGCGTTAAGCACACCACCTCTGAGCTCTCTTAAGGATGAGTCTGTTGTCTGAGCCATCACAGACATCCAGGCTGAAGCAGAGTTAGAGTCAGACAAACCCCATCGGCACAGTCAAGGGACAGTTTCAAAGTGGGGCACCGTACCCCTTTTATTGCCTCATAAGCAGGCAGGACTGATGTGAGGCAGGTTTCGTGACATCCAGTCACAACTGGTTTACATCATTCTGAGCTCTAGAAGGCAAGCAACTTGATTTGCTAGTGAAGACACAGAGGGTGGGGCCGGCACAACCCGAAGAGACTACTCATTTTGTACTTCAAAAATGTCTGAAGAACACAACATAAGCTTCCTCATCCCCATCACTCATCTTTGAAATTTAACATCATTCAGTCTTTTCCAGAGATGCTTTGAGGAATAAAACTTCTGCTTCTCATAGGTTAATGTTTCTAGGAGAGGGACACACAGCTATCAATGTGACTGTCTTAATGGTCATGATGGAATTCTACCCCGACTCCCAGAGAAGGTAAAACACCGTTACGTGGGAATGACAGGGCAGAGAGCAGATCATGCAGGGTCTCCTAGGCTGTGTAAAGTAGTCCTTATTCTAATGATGGGAAGCTACTGCAGGATTTATGCAAGGATGAGACATTAGAGAGGCATTTTGAAAGAAGCCTTAGGACTGCATGGTGGAGGACAGACTGCGGGAGGGCCAGGGTAAATGCAGTTAACTGGCAGAAGGCAGTGAGCGCAGGGGTTGAGCTTAGCTCAAATTAGTGGATTTATTCCACTAGGTAGTGGTAGTGGATTTGGATCTGGTAGGAGGTCATGTTGGTGGATTTTCTCTGGAAGAGGGGAGGAGAGAAAGTGGTGTGGCAGCAGGGCTGGGGAAACCCTCTGATTTTGGCTTTTGCAACAGAATGGTGGGGCCATTTATGGAGACAGAACACTGGAAGAGAGAATCAGAGAATAAGACCGGGCACGGTGGCTCATGCCTGTAAACCCCACCCGAGGCGGGTGGATCACCTGACGTCAGGAGTTCGAGATCAGCCTGACCAATATGGTGAAACCTCATCTCTACTAAAAATACAAAAATTAGCTGGGTGTGGTGGAGTGCACCTGTAGTCCCAGCTACTCTGGAGGCTGAGGCAAAAGAACTGCTTGAACCCAGGAGGTGGAGGTTGCAGTGAGCAGAGGTCACGTCACTGCACTCCAGCCTGGGTGACAGAGCGAGACTCCGTCTCAAAAAAAAAAGAACCAAGGAATGAAAAAGAAAGAAACTTAGTTAAATCATAAGCTTGAATTTAGACATGAGTGTTACCAAGATAACCAGGAGCTGATGGCAGGTAGGCGGTGGAATGTAAGAGAGGTGACTCAGGTGCTCTTAAGAGTTGACTGGGCTGAAGAAAAAAACAGGGAGTCATCCTCGACTGGGTACAAATGGAAGATGCGCTTGTAAATTAGATAGCTCAGGAGAACATGGCATGAGAAACCGAGAGGGCCCAGGACTGAGAGTAAAGAAATGCCAGCAGTCAGGATTTGGGGAGAAGACGATGGAGCTGCACAGGGAACAGATTAAAAGCAGCCAAAGAAGTGGGCAGGACATGGTGAAGACAGGTTGGAGGTCTGTGGAGCGGAGAACAGGAAGAGTGAGTTGCTGAGAGTGGCAGAGCAGCCTTGAGGACTCGGTCAGATTTGTTGCTGGTGAATTTTTAGCAGAACCCAGTCTGCTTGGGTCATAGTAGCCACTTTCACTGGGCCGCTCCGGTACACGAGAGGGCAAAGACCTGGACTGTACGTCCCTGATGGGAGGTGAGCACTAACTGACACAAAGAAGCTTTTCGAGAGACTTCTCCATTAGGGGAGGAAAATCCTGACCTGGGAAGGTACCCTAAAACGTTCCTACAAGGGTTAATTATGTTACACAACCCCTTAGCCAGCCGAGAAGCAGCTGGGTGTTTGCCCTGCAGGGTGCCCAAGCCAGGGGCTGCATGCACATCAGATGGGGGCCCCTGTAGCTCTGGTCCATTGTGTGATATCCATGTCATCATCCACTGTACTGTTGATGGGTCAGTTCCTAACACTTCTCCTGCTCTTGTGTATATGCCCTCTGTGTACTTCAGCACTCCTTTAGGGTTTCTGTTTCTTAGAGCCTGAGCCCCACCCCAGTCATGTCTACCGTTTGCTCTGTCCCCACCTCCCTCAGACACAAAAGGGCCTCCTGGGAGGCAAGGCAGATTTTGCAGCACTTTTAATACACAAAGCAAAAGGTAATAGGCTGGATGGGTGACCAACCTTCATTCACATACAGAGCCCAAGTATAGATACAGACTAATTGGGAAATAAGTTAGAGTTTGCAGGGCCTTAGGGCTGAGAGCCAGAAACACTGTCCTTTTGGCAGCCATGGAAGCGAGGATTTCCTTTTCTGAGGACAAAAAGGTAAAAATAAGTGTTTTTAAAGTATGGCAGACACCCAGTCTTCAATAAAGAAGGTGGTTACATCCTGGCCAGGCCTTCAGGCAGGCAGAATGGAGCCAGGCAGGGCCCTGGGAAAGCCCAAACTATTCTGCATGAAGCCAGGCAGGGCAGCTGGCAAGAGGGCACCTCCTTCACCCTCCACCACCCCCCATTCCGATCACAGTTAATCATCTCCTCTGATTCTCACAACTTCCTCCAAACTCTTTGGTGCTTCAGAGAAAGCCAGGAACACGGCGCAATTCTCAGTGTTTGTGAAAGTCAGTCCCTGCCTATTTCCTTACAGCTTCTCCCGGGCTCAGCTGCTTCTGTCACCATTCCACCCACCTGGTTTCAGTGCATGTACGCCTTCGGCTGCTCCATAGCCTGGTGTGCCTGCAGCACGGCCACTGCCTCGTCTATCTGTGAGACATGAGTGGCGGGGGGGCTTAGTGCAGCTATCTTAGCAGGTCACAGAAGAGCCTTGATCTCCCCCTCGCTCACCATCCTGGATACAGGATCCTCCTCCATCCACAGGGTTTCTGTGGAACCCTCCCATCCACCACTGCTTGCAAGATCCCATGGCCCTGTCTGTCACCTTTGACACAGAGGTACATTGCTGGACAGCTGGAAAAATCTTAACCCTTACACTGAGTCACAACACACTTCCTTGTACCAAAAGACCTACCTACAGAACAACACAGAATTAGTCTACGGAAGGGCTGAAGTAGCAAACCCTTACCTAAGGCCCCTTCCACTCTTAAGATTCAGCAGGCCTTCAGGTATTAGCAAGAAGAAACACTTTATCTGGCCAAACAGCTATCCACTGGCTCCACTAGGAGAGCCCTTGTCGTTAGCTCTCCTCCTGCCCCCTCGGGCTCCCTGCTGCCCAGGCTCCTGCTTACCTTGGCATGGAGGGATTCTGGAGACTCCAGCATGAGCAACAGCTCTGAGTTGTCAATCTCCAGCAGCATGCCCGTGATCTTGCCAGCCAGCTGGGTGTGGACATCATGGATAAGGGGGTAGAGACGCTCCCCTGTGTGGAACACCTTCTAATGGCTTGTGCACGGCCTAGCTCACACCCCAGCATCCCAGGGCTCGTATGGAGTGGAGCACTGAGGACATCTGGGTTCTTCTCCCAGAACTGCTCCTTCTAGGCTATGACATTTAACACTTGATCTTCTAACATCAGGTACTTTTAATGACTGGGCCTGGTATTGGTGGTCAGCCCATCTCAGCAATGTGTCCAGGGCCCAGCCAGGACTGGGTGCCTTAAGTGGGGGCGGAAAGGATCGTCCCATGAAGAAAGTGAAAATGTTTACAGAGAACTACTAACAAAGACTTCTACTTCCATTAAGCTCATTCAAAATGTTTCTGGGTGAGGCCAGGCATGGTGGCTCACACCTGTAATCACAGTACTTTGGGAGGCTGAGGTGGGTGGATCACCTGAGATCAGGAGTTTGAAACCAGCCTGGCCAACATGGTGAAACCCCATCTCTAATAAAAATACAAAACTTAGCTGGTCATGGTGGCATGTGCCTGTAAGCCCAGCTACTCAGAAGGCTGAGGCAGGAGAATCACTTGAACCCGGGAGGTGGAGGTTGCAGTGAGCCAAAATCGTGCCACTGCACTCCAGCCGGGGCAGCAGAGCAAGACTCCATCTCAGGGAAAAAAAAAAAAATTTCGGGGTGAGGGGAAGGGGTAATGTGGCAAAACCCTAAGTAAGCTGAGGAAACAATGGGGCAGTGGTAATGGGGGCCTTCAGTAAAGGGTCTGGAGGTCTCGGGGGCCATGCAGTAAAGAACCTGCCAACCAGGAACAAGCTTGTGTTCACTTAGTGGCATTTTTATCAGGGCCTGCCATGGACACTAGGGGTGAAGATGAATTGCACAAGGAATCCAGAATCTATGGGAAACATCATGTATTTACCAAACGCACAGATGCCCCACCTGCCCGCATTGAGCACTGGAAACTGGTGAACAGCAGCTTCCTCCCGTTCAGGAGAGGTGTGAGGAACTTTAACCCCCCACCTACAAGCCATTTCTCAGCAGAAACCCAAGACCATACCCCTACTCCTCCCTTTGTCCCCTGATCTCCCCACATCTGGACTGTCTCCCAACCTCAAAGTCACAGGACAGCAGCAGTGGAAGAAAGCTCAGGACCATCCAGTCTGACCAGCGTTTTAAGACAAGATAACAGGTGCCTAGAGAATAGAGCCAGCTTGGCCACGGTCACCCAGTAGGGGGGTCGGTGACAAAGCTGGAATTTGACCTCACGTTGGACCACCAGGTGAGGTGTTTCCCAGCAGGCTAGCCAGCTCGCAGCCCTCCTCTTCTTGCTCCACAGTAGGAGAACCAGCCACTCACCAATCATCTGCTTTTGCTCATGCAGGGGCGCCGCAGCCAGCATGGACGCGGTCAGGGGCTCCTGTCCTGGGATGTGCACAGCCGGCTCCTGGACCTGCATGGTGCCGGGGACACATCCCTTAATCACCATGGACAGGCATGTCCTCAAAATACTTACCCTGGCAAGTGAGCAGAAGGCCAGGGAGGCACTGGAGGAGGGGAACAGAGGGCAAGGTCTGGATGATCAGGTGGGGTGGAGAGTCCCCAACAAGGGCAAAGTGGATTAGAAGACAAAGTCATGCCTCTAGCTTAGACGTTTCCTGTAGTGCTACGAACTTATAAAGGTCCCTGATGAACGTTGATAAAGGAAAGCCCTGTGTTACCAATAACTTTGTGCCAAATAAAGCACTTTTTATCAAGTAGATTTATGGACATGTCCCCGGCACACCTCTCACCCTTTCACATCTTGGTAATTTTAAAACATTTTGGCCAGGTGTGGTGGCTCACACCTATAATCCTAGAACTTTGGAAGGCCAAAGTGGGAGGATCGCTTGAGGCCAGGAGTTTGAGATCAGCCTTGGCAACATAATGAGACCCCTGTCACTACAAAAAAATACACAAAATTAACCAGGCATGGTGTCACATGCCTGTACTTGGAGGCTGAGGTGGGAGGATCACTTGAGCCTAGGAGTTCAAGGCTGCAGTGAGCTATGATCACACCACTGCACTCTAACCTGGGTGCTGTCAAAAAAAAGACCCTGTCCAAAAAAAAAAATAGACATTTTTGCTGTTTAAAGACTGTTCTCATTCATTTTGCAGGAAATAGTTCAAAAGAGACACATTGAAATTCTACACAGGATATGATAATGCTGAATTTTAGGCCTTTT
This sequence comes from Homo sapiens, assembly GCF_000001405.40. NCBI lineage: Eukaryota > Metazoa > Chordata > Mammalia > Primates > Hominidae > Homo > Homo sapiens. The sequence goes on along the minus strand of NC_000020.11, from coordinate 44,935,864 downwards.
TTAGGGGAGGGAGATAAATACACAGTCTTTGATTACAGTAAGTATTTTCTGTTTTGAAGATTAAGTACATCCCTTCAATAATCAGCATATTCTTAGAATACCTTTCCTTGGTGTTCATCACAAATACTAAGGATATCCAAATTAATTTTGGTAATAACCGAAGCAAAACAAATTGTAAATAAAACGTAATGCTGGCCCTCTTTCCCCTTCTCGCAGTAAGGGTGATCTCTTATTGATTGTACACATTAATAAACGAAACTTTACAAGCCAAGAAAAGAAAAAAAGCCAAGGCCCAACACCTTAGCTAAGGTTCTGAGCCAGGCGGCCAGGAGCCCAGGCTAAGAGCAGGCAGCTGGGCTGGCCTTACCCGATAGGTGCTATGTGCTGCTGAGGAACATTTGCACGGCAGGAGCGGCCGGCCTGGTGTACAGCATCCTACCCCACTGGGTCCTGTGGTCTGAGTACCAATGTTGGCTGCAAAACAAAACAAAACAAAACAAAAAAAGCAGAGTTCAAATAGCTGCTATCCAAAAACAAAACAAAACAAAACAACACCAAAACAGAAAATAACAAGCGTTGACAAGAATGTAAAGAAATTAGAAGACTGTGCACTGTTGGTAGGAATGTAAAATGATGTAGCCACTACAGAAAAACAGTATAGGGCTTTCTCAAACAGTTAAACAGAATTACCATATCATCCATCAATTTTACCTCTGGGTATATACCCAAAAGAATTGAAAGCAGGGTTTCAAAGAGCTATTTGTACAAACATTTTCTTTCTTTTTTTTTTTTTTCCTGAGACAGAGTCTTGCTCTGTCACCCAGGCTATAGTGCAGTGGTGTTATCTCGGCTCACTGCAACCTCCCCCTCCTGGGTTCAATCAATTCTCTTGTCTCAGCCTACCAAGTAGCTGGGATTACAAGCACATGCCACCACGTCCGGCTAATTTTTGTATTTTTAGTAGAGACAGGGTTTCACCATGTTGGTCAGGCTGGTTTCGAACTCCTGACCTCATGATCCACCTGCCTCAGCCTCCCAAAGTGCTGGGATTACAGGCGTAAGCCATCACGCCCAGCCTGCACAACCATTTTCACAGCAGCATTATTCACAATACCCAAAGGGTAGAAAAGTGTCCATTGATAGATGAATGAATAAGTAAAAATGAGGTCTATACATACAATGGAATATTATTTAGCCTTAATAAGGAGATTCTGACACACGCCACAACATAGATACATCCTGAGACATGTAAAGTAAAAAAACTAGCCACAAAAAGACAAATACTCTATGATTCTACTTACATGAGGTACCAAGCAAGAACAGTCAAATTCACAGAGACAAAGTAGAATGGCAGTTGCCAAGGGCTAGCGGGAGGAGGAACGAGAAGTTATGGTTTGATGGGTACAGAATTTCGGCTCTACAAGCTGAACAGAGTTCTGGAGAGTGGATGGTGGTGACAGTGCACAACAGTGTGAATATACTTAATGCCATTGATCTGTACACTGAAAAATAGTTAAGTGGTAAATTTTGTTATGTGTATTTTACCACAATAAAAAGGAATAAGCAGGGGTGTCAGGGCCTGGCAGCAACCTAAGGCCAGAGACTGAGTATACCTCGTTCACGCAGAACCTCCAGTGCTGAGCTTGGGGCCCCAGCACACTGTGGATGTGAGAACATTTGCAGAATGAAAGAACAGATGTGCTTGCTGTACAGCCAAAACCTACACCCTTGTTTATAGTCACTGCAATACTTACCAGGCTTTAGGCCCAGTGCTAAGCCCTTTCATGCATGATCTCATTGATCCTCAACAACAAGCCGGGCATGGTGGCTCATGCCTGTAATCCCAGCACTTTGGGAGGCCGAGGCTGGTGGATCACCTAAGGTCAGGAGTTCGAGACCAGCCTGGCCAACATGGTGAAACCCTGTCCCTACTAAAAATACAAAAATTAGCCAAGTATGGTGGCGCATGCCTGTAATCCCAGCTACTCAGGAGGCTGAGGCAGGAGAATCGCTTAGAACCCCGGAGGCAGAGGTTGCAGTGAGCCGAGATCACACCATTACTCTCCAGCCTGGGCGACAGAGCAAGACTCGATCTCAAAAAAAAAAAAAAAAAAAATTAAGGCTGGGCACAGTGGCTCATGCCTGTAATCTCAGCACTTTGGGAGGCTGAGGTGGGCGGATCACCTGAGATCAGGAGTTCAAGACCAACCTGACCAACATGGAGAAACCCCGTCTCTACTAAAAACACAAAATTACCCAGGCATGGTGGCGCATGCCTACAATCCCAGCTACTTGGGAAGCTGAGGCAGGACAATCGCTTGAACCTGGGAGGCGGAGGTTGCAGTGAGCAGAGATCATGCCATTGCACTCCAGCCTGGGCAACAAGAATGAAATTCTGCCTCAAAAAGAAAAAAAAAAACATTTAAATTCTCTACAATAAAATGGGGGTACTATTTTTGTCCCCATTTTAAAGATTAGGTGACAGATATAGTAGTCAGCAAGGGCCTCATAGTCAGTTGGTCCCAGGAACTGGAGGCCAAGCTAACTACCACGCTACAGTCTCCAAAGTCAGCTTTGCTCACCGAGAGGGCATATGGCAAGGTCACCATGGAGGCTGGTCCTGACTCCTAGTGCCAACTTTGCCCCACCCCCATTCCCCTTGGCCCTACCCACACTCACCTACTCTCTGGGTATGAGGCACCGTGCGTGGCACCTGGGTGGAGGCCTGCCTGACACTGCTGATGTGGGCCGGGGGGCGCCGAGGCACAACTGGTGGCCGGACCATTGAGGCACCTGGAGGGTAGGCAGCTTGTGGTGCAGACACCACAGAGAGAGAAAAGTTGGATGGAGTGGTGGGAATAATCAGGGTGGCACACTGTGCCTAGAAGCTTCCAGGGCCACCAAGAGAATGGGAAGGGAAACTACAACATTCACAACAGAAATAGGAGTCAATTCACTTAGACCCAGAACTCCAGAAAGGGGGAGTGTAGGAATCTACAATTTCAAAGCCAGCTCGTGTCTACCTAGAGCCCCAAACTGCATAAGCACCAGGATTGTACACCTTAGTCCCTCAAGATAGTTTCAAGTGAGCGTGCAATTCACTCTTACAGAGGAGGGCCTTTGGTCAACAATATAGCCAGAGGAATTTCACCTTCTCAGCTTTGCAAGAATTTTCAGAGTCACAAATCAGAGGCATCTTTGGTGATGACTGCTGGTGGCTAGCTGCGTGTCTTCCATTGGCTCACCACTGTGCTTGGTACTTTACACACGTCTCATTCAGGCCCATGCTCAGAAGAGGAAACTGAGGCTCAGAGAAGTGAAGTCACCCACCTTGGGAAGTGGCAGAGCCAGGTTTCATCCCTGTGTTATGACTGCCTCACGGGGCCCACACCAATAGGCCAGTCTGAGAGTGGAAGGGGCTGGGTCACTCACAGGAAGGTCTAGGTGGCTGGGATGTCCACCTGGGGGCAGGCTGGGTGGGTGTCACTGGGCCACAGCCATAGTATGCAGCCTGGGCTGGAGGCTGCATGGGAAAAGAAGACCCAGACTGAGGGGCTTGGCGGCAGGGTAGGTGAGAAGCTACACCTCCTCAGGGACACCATGGCAGGAACTCCACTGGCTCCTGCAGGGACTGGTGAGTCAAGACCCACAAGGCTGTAATGAAAGCTCCTTCCTCCCATCTCAGGATGTCCATTAGCCCTGAATCCTGCAGGGCAAAGATCTTAGATTTCAATCTTGGCTCCCTGTCAGCTAACCCAATGACCTGGATAAAAAGGGTGACATCTTACTCCAACTTGTGCAGCTTAAGCAACTGCTAAAAGGAGAGGAATGTTCTTACCGTGGTGGCCTTTAATGGGTGACATCTTTCTACTTCCTGTAAGTCCCACGAGGTCCTTTCCCAAACCATGCTCCTCAGAACATTAACATCCAGGGGAGATGTTAACAGGCATCCCACAAAAAAATGACCATCTAAGCTGGGGAAATGCTGGATAATCTGTGCCTGTTTTGGAGAGTCTCAGTAGACATTGGCATCTTAGGGTAGAATAGTGTAGATAGTAAAGAAATTTAGGGCCGATCATGGTGGCTCATGCCTGTAATCCCAGCACTTTAGGAGGTCAAGGAGGGCACATCACTTGAGGTCAGGAGTTCAAGACCAGCCTGGCCAACATGGTGAAACCCCGTCTCTACTAAAAATACAAAAAATTAGCTGAGTGTGGTGGCACGCACCTGTAATCCCAGCTACCCGGGAGGCTGAGGCACAAGAATCACTTGAACCCAGGAGGAAGAGTTTGCAGCGAGCCAAGATGGTGTCACTGCACTCCATTCTGGGCAACAGAGCAAGACTCTGTCTCCAAAAAAATAAAAATTTAATTTTTAAAAAAATGTAGGGCGGGGGACGGTGGCTTACTCCTGTAATGCCAGCACTTTGGGAGGCCAAGGCAGGAGAATTGCTTGAGCCCAGGAGTTTGAGACCAGCCTGGGCAACATGGCGAGACCCCTTCTTTAAAATAAACAAAAAAATTAGCTGGGCATGGTGGCACACACCTGTAGTCCCACCTACTCAGGAGGCTACAGTGGGAGGATCACTCAAGCCCAGGAATTCAAGGCTGCAGTGAGCCATGATCATGCCATTGCTCTCCAGCCTGGGTGACATGGAGACCCCGTGAAGGAAGGGAGGAAGGGAGGAAGGGAGGGAAGAAGGAAGGAGCCATGATCACGCCATTGCTCACCAGCCTGGGTGACATGGAGACCCCACGAAGGAAGGAAGGAAGGAAGGGAGGGAGGGAGGGAGGGAGGGAGGGAAGGGAAGGGAAGGGAAGGGAGGGAAGGGAGGGAAGGGAGGGAAGGGAAGGAAGGGAGGAAGGAAAAATGTAGGTCTTGCTTAACGCAGCATTTCCCAAACTTGCTGGATCATTAAGAGTCTTTTTCAGCACAACATTCACGAGCTTCTCTCACTGGGAAATGCCATTTGACTAACACTATCTCTCCCTTTTATAGAGAGGGAAACAAAGACTTCCTAATGAGTCCTCGGCAGAAGCAAGTTAGAAACCTCCATTTCCCTAGAACTCTAGTCTTCATGCTCTGCCTTGCTGGGGCAGGGGGGAAGGCTGCGGTGGGAGTTGCGGGCAGGCCGTCACCTGGGGCATGGCAGGCAGGAAGTAGCTGGAGGGCTGCTGAAAGGAGCCCAGGAGGGGGTTGCTCAGGGTCCGCATGGTGGAGAGGCGCTGCATGTACTGGTTGGTCAAGATGGCCTTCCGCTCCTCTTTGCGCTGGGCCAGTGCCACGTAGAGTGGCTTGGTGCCCACGATGCGCCCGTTCATCTCTGTCACGGCCTTTGTCGCCTCTTCTGGGGAGGAAAAACACACAAAGCCAAACCCCTTGCTGTGGCCACCCTCTGTCATCACCTAAAAGCAAGACAAGACAAGAGCTGCTGGGGTGGGGAAGGAAGGCTCCTGGGGCTGCGCTGCCTCCCTCCTCCCCATGGGCTAAGCCCAGCACTGGGCAGGCCCGCGAGAAAGCTGTGATGGAGGGATGTAGCGTGCACCCCTGTTTACTAAGCTGTGTTCGAGGGATGTAGTGTGCACCCCCGTTTAGCAAGCTGTGATGGAGGGATGTAGCGTGCACCCCCATTTACTGAGGAGTGATGGAGGGATGTAGCGTGCACCCTGTTTACTGAGCTGTTTGAGGGATGCAGCACGCACCCCCATCTATGAGGCCTGCTGCATGCCAGATACTTTACATGTCTTCACACCTCACATGTACAACCTCCCGATGCGGGAGGCATCGCGGCTCCCACTTTACAGCCGGGATAAGAGAGACTCGAAAGAGTGACTTGTCTGGGGTCACTCAGCCTGTGGTTCATACGTTAGCCAGGACTCAACCCAACACATTGTTCTGGTAAGCTTCTATCGCCTCTGCTAAGTACCAAGCCAAGTTCTTTAGGAATTTGGGGAAGAGGTTCTTAGCCTTTTTGTTAAAATAACCTTTTTACTTTGGAGTAACTTTAGATTTACAGAAAAAGTTACAAAAACAGTACAGAGGGTTGCTATATATCTTTTTTTTTTTTTTTGAGACATAGTTTCACTCTGTCACTCAGGCTAGAGTGGAGTGGCACGATCTCGGCTAACTGCAACCTCAGCCTCCCGGGTTCAAGCAATTCTCCTGCCTTAGCCTCCTGGGTAGATGGGACTACAGGCGTGTGCCACCACACCTGGCTAATTTTTGTATTTTCAGTAGAGAGAGGGTTTCACCATGTTGGCCAGGCTGGTCTCAAACTCCTGACCTCAAGTGATCTGCCTGCCTCAGCCTCCCAAAGTGCTGGGATTACAGGCGTGAGCCACCATGCCTGGCCTGCTGTATATCTTTCACCCAGTTTCCCCCAATGTGAACATGGTACATTTTTCAAAACTACAAAATTAACACTGGTGCAATGCTATTAACTATTTTATACCATTAGCTCCTATTAACTACAATGCTATTAACTGAACTCCAGACTTCACTGGAATTTCACTCTTTTTTCCCCTAATATTCTTTTTCTCTTCCAGGATCCAACCCACATGGCATTTAGGGTTTGTCTTTTTGTTTATTTGTTTGTTTTTTAAAGAGATGGGGTCTCACTCTGTCATCCAGGCTGGAGTGCAGTGGTATGATCATAGCTCACTGCAGCCTCAAACTCCCGGGCTCCAGGGATCCTCCTGCCTCAGCCTCTCAAGTAGTTAGGGCTATAGGTACATGCCACCACACCCAGCTAATTTTTTTTTTTAAGTTTGTAGAGATCAGCAATCACTATGTTGCCCAGGCTGGTCTCAAGAGATCCTCCTACCTAGGTCTCCCAAGGTGCAGGGATTACAGGCAGGAGCCACCACACCTGGCCCTGGGTTTTTAACCTTTTTTTAGGGTGAAGACACCGGCCTGGCTCATACAGCCCATAAGGACTAGAGTTATTTTTAAAATCTTCTTTTTTTCCTTTTTTTTTTTCTTTTTTTTTTTTTTTTTTTTTGAGTCAGGATCTCACTCTGTCACTCAGGCTGGAGTGCAGTGGTGCAATCTCAGCTCAACTGCACCCTCAACCTCTCAGCCTCAAGTGATCCTCTCAACTCAGTCTCCCAAGTAGCTGGGACTGCAGACAAGCACCACCATGCCTAATTTTGTTCATTTTTTGTAAAGATGAGGTCTCATCCTGTTGCCCCGGCTGGGCTTGAACTCCTGGTGAGCCCACGCTCTTAATCAGTAATTTTGAAACTGTACTCTGCTACCCTTCAGTAGAGGGGTCTTAACCTGAGAGTCCATGGATCCCCCTCAGGTAGGTCATGGATACAATTTAGGGGGAAATTGCATGGATTGGGGAAAAAGTGACATCTTTATTTTCATATTAGCATTTCCTTCTATTATGAATATGGGCAACAACAAAAAAATCCTGGCAGTATTAGCCATGAATTTGTCATGAAGAAAAAGAAAATATTTTCATATCACATTAATTATTGCTAATCTCAGCCGAGCGCAATGGCTTATGCCTGTAATCCCAGCACTTTGGGAGGCCAAGGTGGGCAGATCACCTGAGGTCAGGAGTTCGAGACCAGCCTGGCCAACATGGTGAAACCCCATCTCTACTAAAAATATACAAAAATTAGCTGGTTATGGTGGCGGGTGCCTGTAATCTCAGCTTCCCAGGAGGTTGAGGCAGAACCCAGGTTCTTGAACCTGGGAGGCAGAGGTTGTAGTGAGCCAAGATCATGCCACTGCGCTCCAGTCTGGGCGACAGAGTGGGACTTCGTCTCAAAAAAATAAAAATAAAAATAATAAAAGAAGCACATACTGCTTTCACTTTAGTATTTTGACCATTATATTTTTTCAGTATGATTTTTTTGTACACCTAAGAATCTTATTTTATGCATTTAAAAATATTCTTAGGGCCAGGTTTGGTGGCTCATGCCTATTTTTGGGAAGCAGAGGCGGAAGAATTGCTTGAGCCCAGGGGTTTGAGACCAGCCTGGGTAATATAAAAAATAATTATCCAGGCATAGTGGTGCTCCTATAGTCTCAGCTACTTGGGAGGCTGAGACAGGAGATCACTTGAGGCCAGGAGTTGGAGGCTGCAGTGAGCTGTGATGGCACCACTGCATTCCAGCCTGGGTGATAGAGCGAGACTCTGTCTCAAAAAAGTTTTTAAAAAATATTCTTAGAAGGGTTCCACAGGCTTCATCAGATAGCCAAAGGGCCGGGCACAGTGGCTCACGCCTGTAATCCTAGCACTTTGGGAGGCTGAGGCAGGTGGATCACCTGAGGTCAGAAGTTCGAGACCAGCCTGGCCAAAATAGTGACACCCCATCTCTACTAAAAATACAAAAAATTAGCTGGGCATGGTGAGAGGCGCCTGTAATCCCAGCTACTCAGGAGGCTGAAGCAGGAGAATCACTTGAACCCAGGAGGCAAAGGTTACAGTGAGCTAAGATTGCACCATTGCACTCTAGCCTGGGCAACAAGAGCAAAACTCCATCTCAAAAAAAAAAAAATATATATATATTGTTAAGAACTTCTGGCAGTCGGTAGTTAATAATGATAAAATTTAGCAAAGCTAACACTTATGCAGAGCTTACCATGAACTTGATAGTGGTATAAGTATTTATATCCATTAATTCCTTTAATTTTCATAATTATTTTTATATAAAACAAAATACAGGCCAGATGCAGTGGCTCATGCCTATAATCCCAGCACTTTGGGAGGCTGAGGTAGGAGGACTGCTTGAGCCCAGGAGTTCAAGACAAGCCTGGACAACACAGCAAGACTCCCAATTTCTACCAAAAAAAAATTTTTTTTTAAATCAGCTGGGCATGGTGGCACATGCCTGTGGTCCCAGCTACTTAGGAGGCTCAGGTGGGAGGATCACTTGAGCCCAGGAGGTTGAGGTTGTGGCGTGCCATGATCACATCATGGCCCTCCAGCCTGGGCAACAGAATAAGAACCTGCATCTAATAAAAAATAATAATAAACCAAAATATATAAAATCGCATAACATAGGCCAGGCACAGTGGTTCACGCCTATAATCTCAGCACTTTGGGAGGCCAAGGCGGGCAGATCACCTGAGGTCAAGAGTTCAGGACCATCCTGGCTAACATGGTGAAACCTCATCTTTACTAAAAATACAAACATTAGTAGGGCTTGGTGGCGGGCGCCTGTAATCCCAGCTACTCAGAAGGCTGAGGCAGGAGAATTGCTTGAACCTGGGAGGCAGAAGTTGTAGTGAGCCAAGATCGCGCCATTGCACTCCAGCCTGGGCGACAAGAAGGAAACTCTATCTCAAAATAAATAAATAATTGTATAATATATATATATATGTAGGCTGGGCGTGGTGGCTCATTCTTGTAATTGCAGCACTTTGGGAGGCTGAGGCGGGCGGATTACTAGGTCAGGAGTTTGAGACCAGCCCGGCCAACACAGTGAAACCCCGTCTCTACTAAAAATACAAAAATTAGCTGGGCATGGTGGCAGGTGCCTGTAATCCCAGCTACTCAGGAGGCTGAGGGAGAAGAATCACTTGAACCCGGGAGGCGGAGGTTGTAGTGAGCCGAGATGGCGCCACTGCACTCTAGCCTGGGCAACAGAGCTAGACTCCATCACACACACAAAAAATAGATATATTTATAATCCCCATTTTATACCGTTTGTCCTGTTAAAAAGATGGTCACCCCAGGTGTGCCTTAACTCTAAGCAATCCAAATTTACACATTTCCTTTGTTCGGGGAGTCCTCAAGAAGGTCCATCTCCTGAAGCTGTATGCAAGGTGTATGATGAATCATTACGACAATCACTATTTCACTACTTATTGAATGCAGATGCTGTACATGCAGCCTCTTTAGTAGTTCTTAGGACACCTGGAGAGGTGAGAAATGTTGCTCCCACTTTATAGGTGAGTAAACAAGGTCCGAAAAGCAAAGCCACTTGCCTCAGTTTCTACAGCTAGGTAATGGTAGGACTGGGGTTTACATTTAAACCTGATTAACTTTAAAATTCCAGCTTTCAACCATGTTTCTACATCAAATGTATATGCATTTGCTTGGAAAGAGGACCTATAGCTTTTTATGATGTGTAATCAAATTTACTGATGCCTAATTTACATGTGCCACAGCCTTCTCTCGCATTTTTCAAAAGGATCTTAACCTAAAAGACAACCTTTTTTCCTCCAAACACAAGGCTCCCTGAAGGATGTTTACAACTGGACTCAGTAGCCAAAAGAGAACTTCTAGACCACTTCCTCAGAACCCAACATCACATCATTCAGGCGGGTCCCCCCATCCTGTCACTCACACTGATCTCTTTGGAAAATTCCTCATTCCCACTCCAGCTCCCTACCTCCTCACAGCCAAGTCAAACACTGCTGCTACTGCCACTTCTTCCAGGCAGCCTTCCCTTCTGTTCCACTGAACTCCTGTAGCTTTGCCTCCCATACTGTCCCCCATCTTATAATCCATTTGAGTTAGTGACGGGCTGACTTCCTCACTAGACTATAAGCTACTTGAAAGCAAGGATCACATCTGATTTGCTCCTGTTTCCCACAGAGCCTGGTAAAACAGCAGGTATTTAAGTATAGAATGAAGAAACACTGGATCATCATCTTAAAAACCATCTGGGCGCTTTTTTTTTTTTTTTTTTTTGAGACAGAGTCTCGCTGTTGCCCAGGCTGGAGTGCAGTGGCACGATCTTGGCTCACTGCAAGCTCCGCCTCCTGGGTTCATGCCATTCTCCTGCCTCAGCCTCCGGAATACCTGGGACTATAGGCACGTGCCATCATGCCCGGCTAATTTTTTGTATTTTTAGTAGAGATGGGGTTTCACCGTGTTAGCGAGGATGGTCTCGATCTCCTGACCTCATGATCTGCCTGCCTCAGCCTCCCAAAGTGCTGGGATTACAGGCGTGAGCCATATTGCCCAGCCTCTGGGAGCTTTAAAAAAAAAAAATAAAAAGCCCAGGCCCTACCCCGGGGATCCACATTCTATGCCTGACTGAGGTGTGTGTATTTAAGAATTGCCCAGGGGGTTGTAATGAGAAGCCAGGGTCGGAAAGCCATCCAGTGAGCCCAGTGTCCTTATCTATAAGACAACATCTGCTAAAGCTCATAGAGCTGCTGATGGGCCAGTTGCCACATCTCAGGGGCCTAACAGGGTTGGGCACACAATTGGTGCTCCAGAAATAGGGAAGAACAAATGAAGAATGACGAAGTCCAGCCCTCTCACTTTCCAGATGGGAAAACGGAGGCCCAGGAGGGTAATGTCACTGGCAGAGGCCAGACAACAAAAGTCAATGGAAATACTAAGATATGAATTTCTGGAATCTGGCATACAGTAGGCACTCAATAAATGCCAAGGTGACAGTGAGCCCCAAGTCCAGCTGTGTGACTGGGACTATATTTCTACCCTCTTCCCCTCCAGCCCAGACAAGGCTGCAGATGGCTACAAGCTCCAACGGGGTCAGCAGAGCCCCAGAAGGGGTAGCCGGCACCAACCCCCTGAAGGCTGCTGGGCGAGAGGGTGGAGGGGTGGGGTTGTGGGGGGATGGTGGTGAGAGGATGGAGGGGAACGCTGTCCCCCGGAGGTGCCCCCAGTCCTCACCTTCGCACTGGTAATTACTCCATAGGGAGAGAACTCTTTCCTCAGTTTGTCGTCATCAATGGAGTCGTCCAGATTCTTCACATACAAGTTCACACCCTGGGATGGAAGGGAAACTGCTGGATGTCCCCTTCTCCTCCAAGCCCCAACTGCCTTGGGGAGATCAGGGAACTGACGCAGGTACAAGGGGCATGGGGAGCCCCACCAGCCCAGCCTCCTGCTCCCCGTCTCCCTCAGCACCCAGGTACCCCCATCCCTCAGCGTGCCCATCACATGCAAGCTGTAGCCCCCACATCCCAAATTCCCCTGCAGTTCTCACACATCTGCACTGGTCCCAGCCTCACCACAGCTATTCCCCATTTCACAGATGGGGCCCACGAGGATGTCCCAGGTCCCGTGGCAGGCTGAGGTGCAGAGCATGCCCAAGCCAAGCTCTCCAGATGGTGGATGTCGGGCAGCAGGAGTCAGAGCTCCTCCCTGGCTGGCCCATGACCAGAACCCTAACACAGGTGAGCTGCCCCTCCATCCCCTGCCAGCCCAGGAACCTCGGGCACTTACTCATGTTGGTGCCAGGTGCCACTCTAAGCTTTCCCATACATTTTGATTTTTTTTTTAAGACTTTTTTTTTTTGAGATGGATTTTTGCTCTTGTTGCCTAGGCTGGAGTGCAATGGTGCAATCTCGGCTCAGTGCAACCTCTGCCTCGCGGGTTCAAGTGATTCTCCTGCCTCAGCCTCCCAAGTAGCTGGGATTACAGGTACGTGCAACCAGACCCAGCTAACTTTGTATTTTTTAGTAGAGACGGGTTTCTCCTTTCTCCATGTTGGTCAGGCCAGTCTTGAACTCCTGACCTCAGGTGATCTGCCCACCTTGGCCTCCCAAAGTGCTGGGATTACAGGCACGAGCCACCACGACAGGCCACGTTTTGATTTTTAATCCTCACAACAACCCTGCGTGAAGAAAACTTTTATCCTTGTTTTACAGACAAAACTGAAACACAAAGAGGCTAAATAAGTTGCCCCAGATCATACAGTAGCTAAGTGGCAGAGACAGGACAACCCAGGCAGACTAACTTCAGAGTCTGTGCATCTCACTGTTGAGTGACAGCTGCCTCTAGCACCTTGACTTTTCTCCTTCCAGACCTCCCAAACACAACAGTGTATGAATGTACAAGAGAACAGAGACCGCACAATTGTACAGCATAGCATCCTGCTCTTGCAGATTATGTGATGAGTATTTTGTTCTGCAGGTATGAAAGCCCCTGGACACGCTGTATGTACACAAGAGGATGTATGTGTTTCTCAGCCTCAGATCTAGTGACATTTTGTGCCAGACAGTTCCTTGCTGTGGCATTGTCCTGGGCACTGTAGGATGCCTGCCAGCATCCCTGGCCTCTACCCTGTGGATGACAGTAGCACCCCACCACCCACACGACAATGAAAATTCTAGACATTGCCAAATGTCCCCCAGGAGGCAAAACTGCTCCTCACTGAGAACTACTGAGTATGTGTGCGTGTTTTGTGTGGATATGTATATTTATATGCCCCTCTCCATGAAGGATCTAGAACTTTTATGAAAAATCTTAGAGGGGGCCAGGCGTGGTGGCTCATGCCTGTAATCCCATAACTTTGGGAGGCCAAAGCGGGCAGATCAACTAAGGTCAGGAGTTCGAGACCAGCCTGACCAATATGATGAACTCCATCTCTATTAAAAATACAAAAATGAGGCCAGGCGCAGTGGCTCACACCTGTAATCCCAGCACTTTGGGAGGCTGAGGCGGGCAGATCACAAGGTCAGGAGTTCAAGACCAGCCTGGGCAACATGGTGAAACCCTGTCTCTACTAAAAATACAAAAATTTGCCGGGCATGGTGGCACGCACCTGTAATCCCAGCTACTTGGGAGGCTGAGACTTTCTTGAACCCAGGAGTGAGAGGTTGCAGTGAACCAAGATCATGCCACTGCACTCCAGCCTGGGTGACAAGAGCAATACTCTGTCTCAAAAAATAAGTAAATAAATAAAATCTTAGAGGGGTTCACTTCCCAATGAAGTTTTAAATTGCACTGATCCACAATATTCACTTTAATTATTAACTCCACATAATTCAAAGGCTGTCCAACATTCCAACTTTTGGATGTAACATATTTGGCCTGATTATTCTCAGCCAGGAGTAGGATTTCCTCTAGGGGCATCTGGCAATATGCGGGGTACTTTGGTTGTCTGAGACTAGAGGATGCAACTGGGATTGAGTGGGCTGGGTGGGATGCTAACCAGTCCCACGTGAAGGATTATTCTAACCAAAAGGTCCCCAGCACCCCTACTAACCCCTATGATGGTTGGACAGTTGGGTTGTGCGCAGTTTCTCACTGTTATACATTAGGCAGTGGGGGCCATCCCATGCTCATTCAATTCCCGCCTTGAGCCAAGTGCCCAGAAGTAGGATCACTAGAAGAAACAGTCACCACTCAGGGCCCCCGACACACAGCTGCTCTCACACAGAAGTGGCTGCCACCAGGAAGCCTGACCTCACCTGGTAACGCCTCAGCCGGTCCTGCTTCATCTGCTCAAACCTGCGCTTCAGTTCATTCTGCCGCTCCACGCGCTTTTGGGCCCGGCCCGCGTACAGCAGCCGCCCGCTCACCTCCTTCCCGTTCATATGGACCACGGCCTGGGGAAAGGAGGAGGGAACATGCTTGGTAACCACTCAGATGTGGCCCTGGCCCAGGCTCATCTTCTGGATCTAGAGGGGCCACCTGCAAACCAGGCTGGCCACACTAGCTGAGAATAATCAGTACCAGGACAAAGGCCATTTAAGTATACCCACTTTGGCTCATGCCTGTAATCCCAGCACTTTGGGTGGCCGAGGGGGACGGATCATCTGAGGTCAGGAATTCGAGACCAGCCTGACCAACATGGAGAAACCCCGTCTCTACTAAAAATACAAAATTAGCCAGGCATGGAAGCACATGCCTGTAATCCCAGCTACTCGGGAGGCTGAGGCAGGAGAATCGTTGAACCTGGGAGGTGGAGGTTGCGGTGAGCTGAGATCACGCCATTGCACTCCAGCCTGGGCAACAAGAGTGAAACTCCATCTCAAAAAAAAAAAAAAAATTCGGACTGGGGCTGTATTTTAAGAAACAAAATTGATGGCCAGGCACAGTGGCTCACACCTGGTAATTACAGCACTTTGGGAGGCCAAGGCGGTTGGATCACTTGAGGTCAGGAGTTCGAAACCAGCCTGGCCAACTTGGTGAAACCCCATCTCTACTAAAAATACAAAAATTAGCCAGGCATGGTGGCAGGTGCCTGTAATCCCAGCTACTTAGGAGGCTGAGGTGGGAGAATCCCTTGAAACTGGGAGGTGGAGGTTGCAGTGAGCTGAGATCACGCCACTGCACTACAGCCTGGACGACAGACAGACTCCATCTTAATAAAATAAACATAAAAATAAAATTGAGATTTGCAAATTTTCCCATATTTACAATGTAAATATGGCCGGGCATGGTGGCTCACGCCTGTAATCCTAGCACTTTGGGAGGCCAAGGCGGGTGGATCACTTGAGGTCACGAGTTCGATACCAGCCTGGCCAACATGGTGAAACCCCTTCTCTACTAAAAACACAAAAATTAGCCGGGCATGGTGGCGGGCGCCTGTAGTCCCAGCTACTCGGGAGGTTGAGGCAGGAGAATTACTTGAACCCAGGAGGCGGAGGTTGCAATGAGCCGAGATCACGTCACTGCATTCCATCCTGGGTGACAGAGTGAGACTCTGTCTCAAAAATAAATAAATAAAAATAAAATAAAATGTAAATATTTATATATTCCCATATTTTAAATGCGTATTACTAAGTGAAAGAAGCCAGTCTAGGTGACATAGTCTCTGTCCCAGAAAAGGCAAAACTATGGAGCAAGCAAAAAGATCATTGGTTGCCAGGGGTTAAGGGGCATGGAGGAATGAACAGATGGAGCACAGGGGATGTTTAGGGCACTGAAAGTAGTCTGCATGATACCATAATAGTGGATACATGTCATTATGCATTTGTCCAAACCCCTAGACTCTACACCAAAAGTAAATCCTAATGTAAACTTGGGACTGTGTGTGTTAATGATGTGTCAAAGTAAGTGAATCACTTGTAACAGACGTAACCCTTGGGAGCAGGACATTGATAATGGCAGAGGCTGTTCATGTGTTGGGGGAATGGGGTATACAGAAAACCTCCATAACTTCCACTAAACGTTGCTCTGAACTTAAAACTACACTGAAAAAAGAACTTAAAGAACTTAAAAAAATTTAGGTTCTAACTGCAACTACACATGGATAATTTGAACAAAGTAGCAAGCATAATTCTCTCATAATGGCATGACAGCATCATCAACATCCTTACTTTGAGTTGGATTTCAAGGCACAAAATAATCCTCTTTGCTAACTGTGAGAGCCTTTTTGTGTGTGAAGATGGCATCTTGCCGTTTTGTCCAGCTGGTCTCGAACTGAACTCAAGCAGTCTTCCCACCCAGCCTCCCCAAGTGCTGGGATTACAAGCATGAGCCATCACATCTGGAGAGTTTTTAAAAAATTAGAGACAGGGTCTTGCTATGTTGCCCAGGCTGGACTCAAACCACTGGGCTCAAGGGGTCCTCCTGCCTCAGCCTATCACGTAGGCTGAGACTACAGGTGCACACCACCACACCCGGTGGAAACTGATTTAAGTGGTCAGTTCATGAGTAAATATTTTTATATAATAATGACTTCTGCATCCCTACCTAAATATTCAGCTCTGCGGACATCAGGGCTTAGAAGTGACCAAAGAATGAAGCCCTTGGCCTTTGACCACAGAAGGAAGGGCTTTGCCTGCACACAGGACTCTCCCACCCTCTTGGCTTAGGCCGGGGAGGGACTTTCTTCCCCTCCACAGGCAGCTGGGACCCTCTTCTTAGTCCCAGCTCGGTCCCCCTGCTGCAGAACAGAGCCATGGGGAGGCTCCTACCTTCTGGGCTTCCTCATGCTTCTCAAAGTTGACAAAGCCAAAGCACCGCGAGTGGCCGCTGTTGTCCCTCATCACCTTCACACTCAGCATTTTCCCTGCAAAGGACCAACCTGGCTCAAAGGGGAGTCTGGGAAGTCCTCAGGAAACCCCAGGAGAGCCCCTCCTCCCTACCAGACTTTGGAAGGGAAGAGGAAAAACAGTGATCCCCCCGCTCCCTTGGGGACACACCCACCAAACTGGGAGAAGAGGTCCTGCAGGCCTTGCTCGTCCACATCCACCGGGAGGTTCTTCACGTAGATGTTGGTGAACTCCAGGGCCCGCGCCCCCAGCTCCGCCTCCCGCTCCCGTCGAGACTTGAAGTGACCCACAAAGCTGTGGACATGACACACTGGCTCATGGCTGTGGACAGCTACCAGCCATCAGCCACCCCCATGCCAACTCCTGCTCAACTGCTGCCCTTCTCCAGGCTTACATATCCCTCATCAGGAAACTGGGCAGGACAATACTCCTTAGAACATCCCCAAGGCCCGGCTACCTCCAATAGCCAAGATATTATATTATGTTCCAGAGCTTGTCCCCAGCAGAAGGTTAAGAAGATTTCATTCTTGCGACAAATGCACACATAATTACTATTATATACCAGGCAGCTGAGAGCACAGAAGAATGAGCCTGAGAGTCAGACAGACAAGGGCTTGAATCCTCGCTCTGCAGTTGCCTAGCTGTGTGACCCTGGGCAAGCTACTTAACCTCTCTGAGCCTCAGAGTTCATTGCTGTAAAATTGGGACTCAAATTCTCATCATGGGGCTTTGCTTATTAACATGTATTGGGTGCACTGGGGAAGCAGGGGTAAGTGAATTAGACGCAGTCAATGCTAGTGTTGCTATGGGGGGCATTGACTAAAATCACTTAAATACAAGATTAATTTTATTTTTATTTATTATGTTTTTGACACTGAGTTTCGCTCTATCGCCCAGGCTGGAGTACAGTGGTGCCATCTCAGCTCACTGCAAGCTCCACCTCCTGGGTTCAAGCGATTCTCCTGCTTCACTCAGCCTTCCAAGTAGCTGGGATTACAGGTATGTGCCACCACGCATGGCTAATTCTTGTATTTTTGGTAGAGATGGAGTTTCACCATGTTGGCCAGGCTAGTCTCAAACTCCTGACCTCAGATGATTCACCCACCTCTGCCTCACAAAGTGCTGGGGTTACAGGTGTGAGCCACCACACCCAGTCACAAGATTAATTTTAAAAGTTCATTTCCAAGTTCATGTAAACACATCTAGGAAAGCATCCCAGATTAAAAAAATAATAATAAATTCTGATGGTATCTATAGCACGTTTAGCACAAACAAAGTTGTACCAGGCACCAAAATTTGAAGAAAACTGAGTGGCAAAGGTGAACTTGAGTAAATTGGAGCTAACGAAGAGCATTCTTCTGAGAACTGGGAAAAGCCCACCAAGATTTGTTTGACAGGTTGACTGGACCCTCCTCTGAGTAACCCTGGACAAAATGACTCTCAGTGCATCCCCCAGCTCAAAGCCACCTTCTCTCCATGGCCCTGACCATGTGAGCTGGCCTCTCAGATGAACAAAATCAAAATTCTGGGCAGGGAACAGCCAGAGGCAGATTCTCTCTATTATCTGCCTCTCAGTTTTCCCATCTGTGTAGTGGGGATGATATCGAAGTTAACAGTATGATGAGGGCAGGCTTAGCATATGCCTACTTTTCTTTCTGCCAAAATCTCATGAAACACAAAAGGTTTAAAGAAAAAGTCAGGCGCAGTAGCTCATGCCTGTAATCCCAGCATTTTAACACTTTAGGAGGCTGAGGCAGGAGGATCACTTGAACCCAAGAGTTCAAGACCAGCCTGGGCAACAAAGTGAGACCCCATCTCTACAAAAAAAAAAAAAAAAATCAAAAAATTAGCCAGGTATGGTGGCATGTGGTCACCTGTGGTCCCAGCTACAAAGGAGGCTGAGACAGGAGGATTACTTGAGCCAAGGAGGTCAAGGCTGCAGTGAGCTGTGTTCATGCCACTGCACTCCAGCCTGGGCTACATAGCAAGACCCTGTCACACACACATACACCCCATACTGAGAAGGCTGGAAAACAGATGAAAACACTGAGTCCATTGATGATATGACCATTAGCCAGTCCCTCTAGAGTTTTAAAATCACCACTTCCTTTACCATACTCTAATGCAGATCATCAGCTCCATCTTTATGTGAGGAAAGAGTCCCTGAGAGGTTGAGCAGCTGCTCCGGGCTCACACTTCTAGGAGGGCTGCCTGCCGCTCAAGTGCCTGGTGCCCATTAGCAGCTTGAGGGTAGCATCGATTCCTAGTCGGTGGTGCCATGCTTCTGTCCCTGCAGCCTCCGCCCCTCCCTCGGGCCCAGCCACTCACACTTTGCGGTCATTCAGCAGCATCCCATTCATGGTGTTGATGGCCTGCTGTGCGGCCTCATGGGTCTCAAAATGGACAAAGCCGAAACCCCGGGAGCCATGCTCGTCACACGCCACCTGGGCCACAGGGAGGAAGGACAGGAAGAGTACTGACAGAGGGTTCAGGTAGAAAGGAATGGCAAAGGTGATCACGACCAGTCTCTGCATGCCTGCTGTGCCTGGAAAAGGCAATCCTGCATGTTAGGGATGGGGTATGGAAGCTCAAAGAGTGTCACCACTCAAGTTAACGGATTAAGGAAGGCTGGGTGCAGTGGCTCATGCCTGTAATCCCAGCACTTTGGGAGGCCGAGGTGGGCATATCACTTGAGGTCAGGAGTTCGAGACCAGCCTGGACAACATGGTGCAACCCTGTCTCTATTAAAAATACAAAAAATTAGCCAGATGTGGTGGTGGGTGCCTGTAATCCCAGCTACTCAGGAGGCTGAGGCAGGGGAATTGCTTGAACCGAGGAGGCGGAGGTTGCGGTGAGCTGATATTGCACCACTGAACTCCATCCTGGGTGACAGAGTGAGACTCTGTGTCAAAAAAATAAAAACAGAAAAGAAAAAACAGATTTAAGAGGGAGAACGAAATGAACACAGGTTTCATCTATACTGCATACTGGCTTTTAATTGTCTTCCTAAGGCAATGGGCAAAAGGGTTAGATTCAAACCCCCATATCTGCATCCTTGTTTCTATCAGCAAACTAGAAACAACCGGGGTATTCATCAAGGGGGAGCCTCAATTGTACACCAGTCTACTGTATGTGCACAGTTGAAGAGAATGTGGTAGGTTACATGGCCTGACAGTCTTGTTAAGTGAAAAAAAAAATCCATTCAGGCTAAAGTAGGCATCTACACATTGGAAATTTTGAAAAAGACACATAAAATGTATTCATATTACTTTTGGGGACTAGGGCTGAAAGAAATGGAGTCTTGTTTTTCACTTTCTTCCCTTCCACATTGTTTAAACTTTGCCAATACATGAATTACTGCAACAACAGACTCATTTCAATTTTTTTTTTTTTTTTTTTTGAGATAGAGTTTCACTCTTGTTGCCCAGGCTGGAGTGCAATGGCACAATCTTGGCTCCCTGCAACCCCCGCCTCCCAGGTTCAAGCGATTCTCCTGCCTCAGACTCCCGAGTAGCTGAGATTACAGGTGCATGCCACCATGCCTGGCTAGTTTTTTGTATTTTTAGTAGAGATGGAGTTTCACCATGTTGGCTAGGCTGGTCCTGGACTCCTGACCTCAGGTGATCCACCCACCTGGGCCTCCCAAAGTGCTGGGATTAGGAGCATGAGCCACTGCACCCCGCCTCAATTTTTTTAAAGATGCACAATATCCTATTCCCATTCTGTAACCCTCCTGACTCAGGCCAGCAGGACAGAACTTGAGAACAAGGAAAGACCTTCTAGTTCACATAGCCCCCATCCCTCTTGTTGAACTCGCAGAAAGACCACTAACCCCCCACTTCAAGGTGACTGTGGCTCCACTCATCCCTGTGGCTACAGGCTCAGCTCAGCTAGTGGCATTTTCTGCCTGGATGACAAGCACTGCCTCCCAGCCTAGCTTGCACACTACCACTGTGATGCTCTTTCTAAAATGTAATTCTGACCACATCCCTTCAATCTCTAGTAGCTTCTATCCACAGAACTATATCAACTTGGCATTTGAGGCTCCCCAGTGGGTGTTGCACAACAGATCTTGCTTCCAAACCCATGCCTTGCACATACCCCTCCACCTCTCATCCTGAAACAGGGGCCTTCCACTTTCAACTCAAGCCTCAGCTTGGATTTAACCACGTTGACTGGGTCCCCACTGTGGGTCAAGAACCTGCTAAGGGCATTACATACTTCCCTTGTTATCTATGCCAGTCATAAGAGAATCCTTTCAGTCATTTCTTAACCTCTGAGCCCCAGAGGGAAAATGAGAATAAATGACTTGTCCAAGGTCAGCCAACAGAAGTAATTCTTTGATTGTTACAGTTATCACTTAGAAGCTTAACAGTATGCCAGGTACCCTTTTAAGGAGTATACATGTATGCAGAAAACCTAACACACAGAAAGTACATGATAAATCTGCCATTATTATTGTGAAGAACTTAATACACAGTTAAGAGTCTTTCTTCCTTTGATCCTCAAAGACAGGAAACAGCCCCGTCTCTCTGTCACAGATAACCCTTAGTGCATTACTACATCTCCTCAAGTCTACCTGCTCCTCTGAGCCACAGGGATAGCCTCTTATTGACTGGGAATTTGAGAGCCCTCGTTGAGAACTTAAGGATTATGCTTGGCACACAGTAGCACTTGATAAAAGTTCTGACATGCCAGGTGCAGTGGCTCACGCCTGTAATCCCAGCACTTTGGGAGACTGAGGCGGGCGGATCACAAGGTCAGGAGATCGAGACCATCCTGGCTAACACGGTGAAACCCCGTCTCTACTAAAAATACAAAAAAAATTAGCTGGGCGTGGTGGCGGGCACCTGTAGTCCCAGCTACTCAGGAGGCTGAGGCAGGAGAATGGCGTGAACCTGGGAGGAGGAGGTTGCAGTGAGCTGAGATCGCGCCACTGCACTCCAGCCTGGGCAACAGAGTGAGACTCCGTCTCAAAAAAAAAAAAAAAAAAAAGTTCTGACACATAGGCTACAAAAACTGTCCCCATCCTCCCTAGAATAGCAGACACTCCAAAGGCTACGGGGTAACTGATCAACTATCCTTATAAAATCTAGAGACAGAACACCCAGGTTTAAGCCCTCTGTTCCAGACATACTGACCTGCTATATGGCCGCTGATCCTCAACATCCTCATATAAAAAGTCAGAGAAATAATCAGAATCCTTCTCAAATGACATACCTCCACTGGCTCAACATATATTTATTGAGCACCTAATATGTTTCACATCTTATTCTAAGTATTGGGATACAATAATGACTAAGAACAAGATCACTGATGGAACTTACATCTAATGTAAGACAATCTTAAAAACAAGATTCAATAACTTAATTGCCTTGATGGCCCCAATTAATGGCCTTCCTGTAGCCACACCCTTCATCCTATAATTTCTACTCCCCTCTCACTCTGAATGTGGGCTGGTCTTGTGACTTGCTTTGGTCAATAGAATGTAGTGAAAGAGGCCAGGTGCGGTGGCTCATGGCTGTAATCCCAGCATTTTGGGAGGTCAGGAGTTCGAGACCAGCCTGGCCAACACAGTGAAACCCACCCTGTCTCCACTAAACATACAAAAATTATCCAGGCATGGTGGCTCGCACCTGTAATTCCAGCTACTCGGGAGGCTGAGGCAGGAGAATCGTTTGAACTCAGGAGGCTTGAACCCAGGAAGTTGCAGTAAGCTGAGATCATGCCACTGTACTCCAGCCTAGGCAACAGAGTAAGACTGCATCTCAATTAAAAAAAAAAAACGTAGTGGAAGTGATGGTTCCAGTTCTGCATTTAGTTCTCAAGAGGCCTGGTGTGCTTCCACTCTTGTCTTCTGAGCCCCTGCCATTGCCATGAGAATACCATGAGAATAGCCTGGACTAGCCTACTGGAGGACAAAAGGCCATAGGGAGGAAAGCCAAGATGTTCCAGCTGACAGCCAGTCGCTCCCTCATATACCCAGCGAGAGCTCCCACTCAGCTTTCAGTGGGCATAGGAGGGAACCCAGCCAAGACCAGAAGAACTGCCCAGCTGAACTTTGCCCATTGCCAACTGTGGAATTATTAGCTAAATAAATGATTGTTGTTGACGGCCACTAAATTTGAAGGTGGTTACACAGCGAGAGCTGACTGATACACAGGTAATGTCTGGTCATTCACGGAAGATGAAACTGAAAGAACGGCTGTCATTCAGGTGCTTGCTGTACCTGAAACTTGACTGAAAGGACCTTGTAAACTGTAAAGTGAGGTGTTGCTTGTCACCCCTCTACCAGGCAGGTAGTTGACACCGATCTACCCAAAGACGTACACCCTTCATCCTCTACCTTGCAAGAGAGGATGTTCCCAAAGGTGGAGAAGGTATCATATAAAGCCTTGTTGTCAATGGAGTCCTCCAGGTTCTTGATGAAGATGTTGCCCACACCTGACTTGCGAAGTCCTGGGTCTCGCTGGGACCACATGATGCGAATAGGCTGGCCTTTGAGCATCTCAAAGTTCATTGTGTCCAGTGCCCGCTCCGCTGGACAGAAGGAAGAGGAGAGAAATTAGCAAGTTTAGGGAATTTTCTTACCTTGATCACCCACCCCTCGAGGTGCTTAACTGGGAGCCAATAAAGAGAAAGTCATTGTCTGGGTCCCAGACAATAAGCCAAGATAAGAGCCCAAATAACTGAGATAAGAGCCCAAAGGCTCAGGAAGGATAAGCTGAGAATTAGTGTGTATGGTGCTCCCCCAACCTTCCAGTTATGATCTCATTCAACCAACTCCCTGCAGCCACATGAGCATGGATTCCTGCCCCTCATTTTACAGATGGGAAAACTGAGAATAAGAAACATGAAAGGTCTGTGGCAGCGTCAGGTCTATTCTGGATTCTAAAGTACACTGAGTGGATAACAATGTCCATATGACAAGGGGTGGCAGCACTTTGAGGAAATTAAAACTCAGAGGTGCTGCAGGGCAGAGCTGAGGTTAGATCTCAAGCAGTCCGGCTCTGGGGAAAGTGGACATTACCTCTCTGAGCCTGTTCCTCACCTGTAAAGGGGGAATGATGGTAATATTACCTACTTTTCCACACCTAACAAAGGGAGATACTACCAACTACCAGGTTGTTGGAGGGACTGAAAAATAAAGAAGGTATGTAAAAGTGCCTTGTTTGTAACTTTGTGCCTGACACAAAATAATGTCTCAAAACAGCAGCCGATGCCCAGCCTCCGGCCACTGCTGCAGCCTGTGTCTCTCCTGGGTGATACACGTGACCTGTTTCAGGGAGTCTGCTAGTGCAGAGACATGGAAGGGGGCTGTGGGGAACACAGTGGAGCAAGTTTCAGGAAGCCCGGATTCTCCACCTAGTCTTATCATAAATACCTGGGGCAAAACCCTTCTCTCTGCAGCACGGTTTCCAGGCCGAGTCCCACTTCATTCACAGGGCTTGGAGGAAGATGGGAAGAGGCAGGAGGTGGAGCAAAGCAGAACAAACAGAAAAGTGCCCAGGAATCCAGCCCAGTAAGGGGCGGGGAACAGGCCCGGCGGAACAACCCCTTCCCTAGCAAACCACCCACTCAGGCAACCACCAGGTTCACCCAGGCGACCTGGCGCAAGGGATCCCTCTAGTGGACGCCGGCCATTTTTTGGGTGAGTTTCTGGAGTCTTACATCAGAATGTTAAAGCCACTATTTTCGTTGTTGTTTCTTTTTTGTTTGTTGTTTTGTTTTGTGTTGAGATGGAGTCTCGCTCTGTTGCCCGGGCTGGAGTGCAATGGCGCAGTCTCGGCTCACTGCAACCTCTGCCTCCCGGATTCAAGCGATTCTCGTGCCTCAGCCTCCCCAGCAGTTGGGATTACAGGCGTCCGCCATCATGCCCAGCTATTTTTTGTATTTTTAGTAGAGAAAGGGTTTCGCTATGTTGGCCAGGCTGGTCTCGAACTCCTGACCTCAAGTGATCTGCCCACCTCGGCCTCCTAAGATGCTGGGATTACAGGCGTGAGCCACTGCGCCTGGCCTTATTTATTTATTTATTTATTTATTTATTTATTTATTTATTTATTTTAGGTTACCACTTAAGAGCGTTTACGAGGTAACAAGCAGTTACCATTCTTTATGCATAGACAGCAGTTCTCCATTCTTTATGTTATTGGAGAATACGCCTTAGCCCCATTTTGCAGATGAAAAGGTGCAGAGCGTGAAGGCTTGCCCAAGCTCACTCATCCTCTCCACTCTCAACAGAAGTGCAGGCAAACTCATCGGACAAGCTCTAATCAATGCTATCAGCTCTGAGAAAGCGGCCTTGCGGCCTGGAGGCAGCGGTTTTTCAGAGCCCGTGCAGGTAGAGGCGCCCAGTGTGGATCTCACGTCGCGCTGGGAAAGGCCTGAGCCCAAGGCTGGGTTCTCCTGCCTCCCCTGCTCACCAGCTGTGTTGCCTTGGGCATCTTCCTCACCAGGTGCTTTGAATCTCTCATCCTCACAAGCACTCTATAAGGCAGCTAGGACCCCCATTTTCCAGACACGCATCTGAAGCTCAGAATGGTCGAGTAACTTGCCCAGAGTCACACGGCTGCTGGGCTTCTATCCCTGGTCCGCCTGACCCCCACCCCCACCCCCACAAAGCCTGTATCTGTTTTCACTCGACCCTAATCTCTCTCCTCTGTAGAGGAATAGCAGTAAACCACACTAATTACCAATTCCCGTCTCAGGGGCCAGGCCTCTGCCAACGCCCTGTTATCTTTGAGCCTCAGTTTCCCCGGCTGCAAAGTGTAAGATGAAAGCGCAAGCGGCCCAGTTCCGGCTTCTGTCTGTCCGCCTGCTTGTCCGTCGGTCCTTCCCCTCCCGCCCCATCCCCGGGGCTCACCGTCCGCGGGCTGCTGGAAGTTGATGTAGGCGTAGCCCAGCGAGCGCCGGGTGGCTACATCGCGGCACACGCGGATGGACAGGATGGGGCCGGCGGGAGAGAACTTCTCATAGAGCATGGCCTCGGTCACGTCGGGGTGCAGATCGCCCACGTAAAGCGAGGCAAGCGGGTAGCCAGAACCGCTGGCGTTCATGGTGGGCAGGGGGCCGGGGCTGCGGGGCAAGCAGGAGCCGGGTCACCCAGCAGCCCCGCGCTCACCCGGGCGGAAGCCCTCCTTCCTGGGCGCGGGCCCGCCCCTTCCCTTTACCGCCCCCGCGTCCCTGCGCACCAATCGTGGGCGCGCTCGGACGCCCCTCCCCCGGGATCCCTCCTGGGCCCACCCCCCACCTGCGAGCACTTGGGGATCTAAAAGCTACAGGTGGGGACACCTCTGACCCCGCCCTGGGAGGCGGAAAAAGCCTTCAACCTGGCCTTGAGCAGGGCTGCTGGGACTTGAGTGGAGCTCTCAAAACCCCCAGCTCTTTTGAAAGAGCCGAGGACTGGGACGGAAAGGACGCAGGGGACTGAGTTCTAACCCCGGAACAGATGATCATCTTTCTGAACCCGTTTCCCTTCTCTGTAAAATGGGAATGATTCCCTCCTGACAAGAATGAAAGGAGACCCAAACCGCGCTTTTTGCGTTTCACACACAAACGGAATTCCGAACAGGCCACTGTTTCAAAGCTTGTGTAGAGAATTTTACCCTGCTCCATTGAAGATGTCTTCCTCCAGAGAGCCTGATCCAGTCCCACCGTTTCGCACCAAGGATGGAAATGGCTTTGAGACATGAGAACTGGAGACCACTAAGGCCTTTCTTGGTACTGGCTCATATTACCAAGACCCCTTTTCCTGGGATATTCCCTGTCCCTCTGCTAAGCCATTACACATCCATTACACCAGGGAGGTTCACTGAGTTACTTGTGGCTCAGCCTAAATGCGGACAATTGGGAACTAATAGCAGAGCAAGACCTAAACAGAGCAAGACTGTGAATCTGAGCTTGCAGCGTCAATCTGTGGTATAGGGACATTAAAAACAACACAAAAACAAAACAACTACTCCACTGAGCACCAATACTTCACTTTTCCTCTGATAGGACTTTCCTGGTCTCACTGATCCAACAGAGCAGGTAGGCCCCCACTGACTTTTGGTTGAGTGTGGCTTCAACAGGTGGAACAGCTCCTAAACTAGGGACAGAAGGTGCCCATCTGGCTGTCCAGCCTCAGAGTAGCAAGGAAGCACTAATTCTAATCTTGGGCTAAAAAAGACCCCTCTATCCTGATATTTTTCTCTCCTTGTGGTAATGTGGATGTTTTCAGAAGGGGCAAATCCTGTGAGGAACCAGCTCTGCAGGCCACCATACAGTGTGAGGACAGGTGAGACGCCAGCTTGGTGATGACCAAGACTTATGCAACCATAGGTTACCTATTTCACTGGCTTGGTTGTATCTCAGAGTTAAAAAATGGGGAAGGGATGGTGGGCTCGAATACAATGCAAAATAACTGTCCATACCAAATCTTAGAAGTCACTAAAGAGGACCTAATACCTGCATGGTTTGTTGTGGAAGGTAGAGAGGTATCAAGTAACGGGTGTAAAGAGGCTGTTTAATTAATGGTAATTTCTTCCCCTGGATAACACCTTGACTTCTGGTCCTAAATAATGAAATAAAACTGTTTGCCTATTTTTAAAGAAAACAGAGTTAAAAATAAGTGTGATCAGAATAGTTAGCTAGGTCTGGTAACAACAGAGATGGTGGTGACACATCAATTCACAGGCAACTAACTGATAAAATTTTTATTTCACTTTTGAATTTTTACACTTTTCCTGATTATTCTGTGTAAGGTGAAACTAGAACTGTTTAAAAGACATACACAAATCTAGTACATCAATAACCGGGGATTTTTCTTTTTTGCTATACTATTTTCACAACCACGGGTGTGCTTGCTAGGCAATATAACCATCACAGAAGCAAACGTTAGGCAGAATACTGGTAAGAAAAAACAAAGCAAGAAAAGAGCTACCAGATATACAGACAGGCTTGGTTCCACATTCACTACTGCATTTTCAAGCGCCAAGTATTAACTGCACATTTTTGTTCAGCTAGAAAGGAGGGATTTTTTTTTTTGTTTTTTTCTTTTTTTTTGGTTTGTTTTAAATCAGTGCATAAATTTTTCTTTTCTCATTTCAGCAGATGGACAAACAGATGGACTCTACAGCTAAGTGGAATATCAAAGGTAGAGGGGTGATTCTGTGAGACTGATAGGCCTGACTATTCTCAATTCTCCCCACTGCAGTGTTCACGCAACTTCCCTGAATATAGGGTCTCCTTAAACACATCTGAGCACTGACCTGGATGAGTGCACTTGGGAGACCTGGTGACAGGCACAAAAAGCATGATCAGGGCTAGCCTCAATACAGGGAGAAATCATGGATATTTAAAAATACTTTTTTGATTCAGATTCCGGTATGACTGAAGAGCAACACCGTGTTGAGAACTGGAGGAAGACAGGGTTCTGGTGCCAGAAGCTCTTCTCCAATCTTTAAAGCCAGGCTTGCTCACCAAGGTGCTCAGTAATGTCTCTCACCCCTGCCCATATATAGCATTAAAAAGTGAACAAAAGACAGATAAAGATAGAATTCAAAAAGGAAAAAAAGTAAGGAAGCAGAGGGACAGAAACTTAGAAGAGAAAACCAAGGTCAACAGTCAAAAAGGATGGTGGGAAAGAATGTTTAGATTTCAAAATTTAAAAGCCCCGAGCTAGGAAGAACCTGAAAACTGAGTACTCCTCAAGTGAAAGGCCATCTCTACAGAACATCATTCCTTTTTTTGTTTTTTGTTTTCTTTTTTGGAGATGAGGTCTCGCTATGTTGCCCAGGCTGGAGTGCAGTTATTCACAGGTGCAACCACAGGGCACTGCAGCTTTAAACTCCTGGGCTCAAGCGATCCTCCTGCCTCAGCCTCCCAAATAGTTGGGACTAGATGCACGCACCACCACGCCTGACTCAGGACATTATTCTTAAAGGTATTATCCAGGAAACAGATAAGGTCATTCATAAAACACACGGCTTTTTTTCTTTAGCTCAGTGTTAACAATGAAAGTAGATTCCACTATTGAAGCACAAGTTGCAAATTGGTAACATAGTGAACATATTGCTGTAGGAAAGGGGGTTCAGTGTGGTGTGTTATATGAGCACTTGAACTTTTCAAGGTGTCATAAGCCAGTTATCTGCCACAAAGAATTTCCATTTCAGGATTCGAGTTTCCTCAGAGGAAGACACTGTGGACATTTGTGGTCATGAACTTTTAAGTGGCAACAGCCCAAACAGGTCAAGTGTCTTTAAGTCCCGAACAACGGCAGCATTACTGTGAATTACCATTCAACTCAAATGCCAAATGATGTGTGTCTCACTCCAAGTTCCAGCATCACAATATAATCTCTATAACTTTCTGTACAACTTTACAATGGAATTGTATTTCAATGATTATTTTGATATCAGATTAAACCTTCCAAAAAGTTACACATAATTCAGGTCTATTTTTTCTACCAGTAAGAGTTCTGCTAAATTACAAAACCCCATAATCACAGTGTTCAGTTTTTAAAAAATTAAACACACAGTAATCCTGTCAATGTTAATCAAAATCAAAACTTCGGAATGCCGTGGCATTTATGTGACCAATCTGAGTTTTAGATACAAATACCAGCTGTTTATCCCATGAACCATTTTTCCTAGGCTGAGGCTGTGAAAAATCGAAAGTCGACGTACGATTCTCTTTTTTTTTTTTTTTTTTTTTTTATCGCACAAGGGATATATGTTGAGGGTACAGAGTGACACTGAACAGATCACAAAGCACGAGAAACATTAGTTCTCTCCCTCCCCAGCGTCTCCTTCGTCTCCCTGGTTTTCCGATGTCCACAGCTGCAAGAGAAAGGAAGTATAATCAAAGCAGGGCTACTAAAAGTTCCCTAGGTAAGTGGCCCAGTATGTATAATCTTATCTCACTCGACAGTTTAAAATTATTCCTGTGTCACTGCAGACAGGGATGATTGCAAAGGTCAAAACTTCAGCAGTCATTTATAACAAATTTAACAACTTAAAACTGTAACTACATTTAATGGTACAAATCCCCTCTTGAAGATAACAGTGAATTATTAAGTAGGTGAATAGGAAAGAGACTATAAACCCTGTGGAAGTAGTACTTACAGTGAGATTGTCCCTAAGTAACTGCATGATCAGAGTGCTGTCTTTATAAGACTCTTCATTCAGCGTATCCAATTCAGCAATTGCTTCATCAAATGCCTAAAACAAAGAGCCTTTAGCAAAGAATTCACAAGTTCTCTGGAGCTAGTTTAGCCCACTTTTTTTCCCGCTAGGTGAATATAACTTATCTTCTTGTACAGTACTTTGGGGGAACCTAGGCTATTATTACCCTGTCTGTTAGCTGTTTCCAGCAGAAGTATAAGGCATATTTACAAAGCACCAACCAACAATGACAGAAACTCCAAGGTAAGAACTTTGCTGTACCTAATAACTAAGCAGTATTACTGCTAACCCTAGCACAGTCATTCTGGGCAAACGCGTGTGATTTTTTAATTACCAAAGACTTTTCTAGCAATCTTCTATTTAAAATTATTTATTTATTTAAACTAAAACTCAAAATGTCTGGAAACTCACATCACTAAATCTGATTTAAGTGACGGAACTTTAAGGCACCTTTCCCGAATAAAAATGTTTTTAAAAAGTTGTGTGCATGTTGAGGGACTATAAAAAATATGTAGAGAAGGCCAAAGGAAGAATATGGAAGGTAATCCAACACACAACAAGAATGTGCTGTGTATTTCTTTTATACAACTATAACCTCAAATCTTGGCATGAGAATGACAATGTATAACCAAGGCCCAAAGCTTGGTAAGAAACAACTAACTACATTCACCTGGAACTTTCTACAACCACCCGCAAAAAACAGTAATCAAACAAAGTCAGCAGAAGGTATTGAGAATGAATTAAAAAAGTAACAGATCTGTATTTATCTCATAAAAGATACACTCCCACCCCCAGAAAATCTTTCAAAAAAAGTCCAAGACAATGAGTATGTTCAGGAATAAAATGAAGTTAATAACACAAGCACTGTTTTGCTATGGTTAGATATCACAAAGGGTCTTTCTCACCGTTTTTGCCAGGCTACAGGCCTTTTCAGGAGAGTTTAGAATCTCATAGTAAAAGACTGAGAAATTTAGTGCCAGACCAAGACGAATTGGGTGTGTAGGCTGCATTTCTTTCTTACTAATTTCAAATGCTTCCTGGTAAGCCTGCTGGGAGTTCGACACAGTGGCTGTAACATAAAGATGAAAATATTAAAGGCTCGGTTCTTTCATAGGTATCACACATTGGACCAACTATCAAATTATTTTCTCAGTCCCAAACTGGGCAGGAGCAATGACCTATCAAATGAAGTGTCAGTGTCTCTGCCATTCAATTATACATTTGTTAGATATTTATTCTAAACCAAGTTGTATATTAAATGCTTTGGGGGAAAACAATTATGACAAAGTCTACTAAAGCAGTTAAATACAGCTATAACCTTTAACAATATAGAATGTGAAAAACCATACATTCTAGTGCAAACATCACAGGCTTTAGAGTCGATAGATCCAAACTTTAATTCCCAACTCTTACTCCCTAGGTCTGTGGCTTGGGGCAAGTAGAAACCTCCATAAACCTCAGTTTATATGAAAAATGGGCAGCCTGCCACCTAACTCGTAAGGCTGTGTGAAGAGTAAGTGAGACTCGGAAGTACTTGGCACAGAAGCACTTAATAAAGTGTGGTTAAGATTACCACCATCACGGTAATACATGTGATAAATGCAATGCATCACTAGGGTAGTTTCGTACCACCAAGTATAAAAAGTTCACTGCTAAAAAGAGAGCTAACAAATAATACTCAAGATAAGATCTTTTTAAATACACTGCGCACCAGGTTTGTAATGCCCTCCATACTTCCCTGTCAGATAAATTTTTATTTGCCCGCCCATGACCCCGTTCGTCACAATGCTGTGGTCTTTTAAATTCTTAGTACTGTGACATTGGTGTCTATGGCGAACAAAGCAAAAATCGTTAAAAAGTCCCTGTGAAAGAAGACTGGCTCCATTACTGGTCGAATTTCTTTTTAAAGATATTACTTACTTTGTTTGTTGTCTCCAGATGCCACTTCAGAAAGATACCTAAAATAATCTCCTTTCATTTTCAAGTAGAACACCTTACTTTCTGGTTGTGTAGCATTGGGAATAAGATATTTGTCCAACAGCTCCTAAAAAATGAACATTGTTAAGAATTTAGAATTATTCACGAGATGTTAAAACTATGTTTGAGATTCAAGATATACACTACTGCTTCTAAATAATTTTTTGGAAGATTAAAAAAACACCAATTTTTCATCCAAGCTACTAAATGTTGTTTAGCCCAGGTCATAACAGCAGATGCCTGTATTCTTCTGTTAAAAATCACTTTGACCATCCATAGGGGATAATTAAAGTATAGCCATATAATGAAATGTTTTGTAGGCCTTTAAAATGATGCAGAGCTAAACAGATAATGGAAAGGCTCTCAAAAGAAATCTGAGTGGAAAAAAAGCAGATTATAAATACCACAAGAATCCTATTTTAACATTAAGATACATTTGTGTACATGCTCACAAATATATAAGGGAAAAGCCTGGAAGGAGTATGTTAATAATGGTTCTCTGGGTGGTAAGATTAGAAGTGATTTTTACTTTCTTATTTATATTCTTCTGACTTGTTCCCCCCACCATTTTTAAACCCACAAACTGGTATTACTTCTATAATTAAAGGGGAAAAAATATCTTTCCTTAGGAGGAAAAAGGTGATAATAGAGCAAAACTGCCAAGAACTAAGTTTAAAGTCAATCTGACCTGGGTAGAAATCCCTCTTCTGCCACTTATTATCTGTATGACTCTGGACAAATTACCTAATCACTTTGAGCCTCACTTTCCTCAGCTATACGAAGGGTCATCTTCTAGGGTATAGCCATCTTCTAGGGTAGTTATAATGATAAATAAGTTGACATACATAAAGCGCTTAACACGTTGCCTGGCACGTAGTAAGCACTCAAAGAGTAGCTAATACTATTAATAATAAATTCCTTTAAACATTTATGCTTACAACAAAAGTAGTTCTGAAGGAGTCCAAGCTTCGTATACAGAGCAATATTTTCGAAGAGTTGTTTTAGAATGTGGCATCCTGAAAAACTGGTTAAGAGGCAGTAAGTACCAAGCTCTTCTTCACATTCTTTCAGATGCTCTTAAAAGTTGGTCTACATTTCATGAATTATGGAACTTTCTTGCCCTTGGAATGCATGACATACTTCATCTGAATACCAGATGTACCTAACATTCAGGAATTAGTGCACCATTAACAAACCCCCAAATTACCAACAGGCAACAAATTTAGTCATGACACTCTTACGCCATGAGTCTAATAAAAAGAGAAGCTCAATGCAAAGCTTAGTTATAAGGGGATTTAATCAACCAAAGTGAGAAGATGCAGGGGGCGGCAGTCGTTTTAATATTCTTTGTAGACAGACAGTGTGTAACTCCTAATAGGTTAGGGATAAGGGGTGCTGCCTGATGGCTGACAAGCTTTATACTGGTTTTCAAAAGAAAGGAGTCATGGGCAGTAATTTAGAAAGGCAGCCAGCAGGGAAGGTGGTAGGTCCCCAAGTGTGAATTCCTTTTCCCTTCAAAGCAGCCCTCGCTGAGTTCATTTTTACCTGATTTCACCTGGAAGAAAAAGAAAGTTCCCAATGGCTCAGGATGTGCGGGAAAGACAATATGATTATGATTTGTTTTGGAGTACGTACCCCTCCCATTCAATCCCAAGTGGCGGCCAGAGGGAATCAATCATCTGACTAAGGGTTTATGTAAAATACAGGAGAGGAGAATGCCCAAAACACTTTGAATTTGGCTCTGGAATGCATGCCGAACTTGATGGATGTGCCTAACTTTCAGACCAAAGCAGGACTTTACAGTGTGAAGGCATGACTGGGGAGAGGCTGAAAGGCAGCTCAGCTTTTTCATCTCCCTCCCCTACTGGCGATGACATCACTACTCTGACTAATATACACAATAGCCTATCTGTAGCTGTATCTATTAAAATCCTGTCTATCTGGCCTCAATTTTAAAAGATGGAGGGAGGCTGAAAAAATGTCACTGTTTTTCACAGGTCTTTTTGATAGGAGAGGAAAGTATCTCAGAAGTGATGTACAACCTCTGATCAGGCAATAGGTGACACAAATTATATCATATGCTTAAAAATTAGTTGTAAATACCTGGCAGCTTTCCAGTATATTCAGACACCTCTCTCTCATAAGCTGTTTTGAGAGTCTGCATTTATACATTAAATTAATACTATTTAGAAACCACTGTTCAAAACAGAAGCACTGGCCTCTTACCAGAACATCATTGCAGATGTCCTGCAGTTCTGCCTCTATCTTCTCACGGTACTCTTTGCCCATCTGCTGCTTCTTCTCATTCCTCTCTGTTTTCTGCTCAATGCTGGAGATGACACGCCAGGAAGAGCGGCGGGCGCCTACCACATTCTTGTAGGCAACAGAGAGCAGATTTCTCTCTTCGTTGGAGAGTTCATGCCCCTGTTCTGTGACTGCCTTCATGGCTGCAGCCATATCATCATATCGCTCAGCCTGCTCAGCGAGTTTGGCTTTCTGTACCAGCTCACTTTTATCCATTGTCATTCCCTAGAACAAGAGCAAGAGAAAAAGAAAGAGCAAATGTCAGGTTTCGGGGCCTAGGAAACGTGTGTGAATCTTCTTCCAACCCATCTGGAAAGCAGCATACTAAATGTGAAACATCTCATTCCAAATGCCATCAACAATATTGATGATATATCAAACACCTCTAGGGTTAAGTACTTTGCTAAGGCCTTTATATTATTTTGGTCCAGTAATCTTCCCAACAGTCCCAGAGTAGGTATGTTCATAACAACAACTTTCCCCTTCTTATGGGTGAAGAAATGGAGGGTCAGGGAAGGCAAGTGATATGCCCAGAGCAACATGCAAATAGATGGTGGAGAGCCAGAACTCCAGCTCACATCTATCTGGCTCTAGAGCTTTTGTTTTCTTCCATTAGCCTAATTCACCTGCCTGGCACATACAGACTGCTTAATAACTATTTCTTTAGAAGTTTATGCTTACTAGCCGGGTGCAGTGGCTCACACCTGTAATCCCAGCACTCTGGGAGGCCGAGGAGGGCAATTCACGAGGTCAGGAGTTCGAGACCAGCCTGACCAACACAGTGAAACCCCATCTCTACTAAAAATACAAAAATTAGCCAGGCGTGGTGGCAGGCATTTGTAATCCCAGCTACTGGGGAGGCTGAGGCAGGAGGATCGCTTGAAACCAAAAGGCAGAGGTTGCAGTGGGCCGAGATCACGCCACTGGACTCCAGCGTGGGCAACAGAGTGAGACTCCATCTCAAAAAAAAAGTTTATGCTTACTATATATATGTCCTTGACTTCTCTCAGTAATTGTCTGGTTTGTTTTAATGACCTTAATCCAACTGTATCCTGTAATACAGGAAGTCCTCTCTTCACTGTCCTGTAAGCAACTCTGGTTTTGACTAAACCTGTTTTTTCCATAGTACAGGAAAGAGTAAGTATGATGTTTGTTTCAACCAATCCTGAAGCAAAAGATATGATTTTAAATGATCTATTTGGCTGCACCCATCAAGCAGTAGATAACTGAAGGATGGGAAAGATTATATCACATCTTCTGTAATCTGCTAACTTTGTTACTAGGACACACTGCACAGGAAGAACATAAACTAAGGGCAGTCAGACTTGGGCTCTATCTAGCACTAGCTCTGCTACTTACTTACAAGTGGCATGACCTTGGTTAAATCACTTAACCTGAGAGCTTCGGTCTCTACTGGGCAATAAGAACACTACCCAGGGCTGGATGTGGTGACTCACGCCTAGGATCCCAAGAGTTCAAGATTATCCTGGCAAATCAGTCTCTAACATAGTAAGACTTCATCTCTACAAAAGAAGAAAAAATTGGCTGGGTGTGGTGGTGTGCACCTGTAGTCCCAGCTACTCAGGAGGCTGAGGTGGGAGGATCACTTGAGCCCAGAGTTCCAGGATGCAGTGAGCCGTGACTGTGCCATTACATTCCAGCCTGGGCAACCAACTGAGACCCCTGTCTCTAAAAAAAAAAAGAAAGAACACTACCAACTCTTTTAGTGGGCCTGTTATGAGGAACAAAAGACCTGATACATGTGAAGGCACCTTAAAAAGTATAAAGCATTATATAAAAATATCAGGCACTAATTTTGTATATGGTATAGGTTGCAAGAGAAAGGGGTGTATAACAAGATGTACAGCAACATAACTTGAAACCATAACTGAATTCATCTGAACCATAACTGAGTTCATTTAAAGTTTTTCTGAAATAGACAAAAATCCTAGTGACTTCAGTTTATCAATTTATCAAATCCATATGCCAATCAGTGAATATCTCTTATCAACTCACCACAGTCAGTTCCCCACTGCAATAATCACCATTTACAGAGTGCGGTAATTTTAATAAGTAATTTTTGGATAAAATAATTGAAAAGTTATTTACTAAACAAGAAGAGTTAATTTTATGTACTGTTGGTTTAAATATTGATATATCAATCTGTGCCACACAGTATAAAAATACACTAATATCCTGAGCTATAAAAACATGAAATGCTACTTTAAACAGTAGTAGTAATGTCAGGTTTTTTTGTGTGCTTTGTCTGTTTGTTTGAGACAGAGTCTCACTCTGTCACCCAGGCTGAAGTACAGTGGTGGGATCTCGGTTCACTGCAACCTCCACCTCCAGGGTTCAAGTGATTCTCCTGCCTTAGCCTCCCAGGTAGCTGGGATTACAGGCACGTGCCACCATGCACAGCTAACTTTTGTATTTTTAGTAGAGATGGGATTTTGCCATTTTTGGCCAGGCTGGTCTTGAACTCCTAAACTCAGGTGATCTGCCCGCCTTGGCCTCCCAAAGTGCTGGGACTTACAGGCGTGACCCACTGCACCTAGCCAATGCCAGTATTTTCAAAACAAATTCTTTCATTACTACATACATGGTATCACAATTTAAGGCTCTGAAAATGATTATTTGTTTGGAGACGGAGTCTCATTCTGTCACCCAGGCTGGAGTTCAGTGACGCAACCTCGGCTCACTGCAACCTCTGCCTCCTGGGTTCAAGCGATTCTCCTCAGCCACCCGAGTAGCTGGGACTGCTGGCATGCACCACCACACTCGGCTGATTTTGTATTTTTAGTAGAGGTGGGGTTTCACTACATTGCTCAGGCTGGTCTTGAACGCCTGACCTCAGGTGATCTGCCTGCCTCGGCCTCCCAAAGTGCTGGAATTACAGGTGTGAGCCACCGCACTTGGCCTCTTTGCTATTTTTAAATTAACCATTTTCTGCTGGGCGCAGTGGCTCATGCCTGTAATCCCAGCACTTTGGGAGGCCGAGGCAGGTGAATCACGAGGTCAGGAGATCGAGACCATCCTGGCTAACACGGTGAAACCCCGTCTCTACTAAAAAAACAAAAAATTAGCTGGGCACAGTGCACGTGCCTATAGTCCCAGCTACTGGGGAGGCTGAGCAAGAGAATCGCTTGAACCCGGAAGACGGAGGTTGCAGTGAGCAGAGATCGCGCCACTGCACTCTGGCCTGGGCAACAGAGCAAGATTCCATCTCAAAAAAAAAAGGAAAAAAAAAACAAGAAAGTATGACCTCCACTCACAAAATGATTTTGCCTCAAAAGTCATTTCTGTATTTTCAAGAGAGAAATTCTACACACAGGGCCTTATCACCTAAAAATGTTTTAGGGAGCACAATAAGATACACTCAAAATCTAGGTGATTCAGAAAGAATTGATTCTCCAGTTCATAACTATAATTTTTCTTCCTACTGCTTATTATCTAAATCACATGCAGAGCTGTGTCTTATATAAGGCTCACTAATTGTAAGCTTACACTCAGTGAGGCAAGTCTCACTTTGATCCATCTGACATCTTCACTCACAACACTAGAATAAAACTAAGGCAGAGAGAGTAATCCTCAAGAAACATTCCATTTGTTCCCTTCTATTTCCCAGAACCCCCACAGCAGTCAGAAGAGGCCACATGGTAGTTCTGTCCAATGAAAGATAAGTAGAAATGACGCTACTTCCAGGCTAACACTGTGAATATCCTACGTGTGCCTCCCCAGGCTCTTTTCCCTCACAGCAGCCACTGAGAAGGCCATGTATTCTAGGTGGTACAGTCATGCAACTGTAGAGTTTTTGTCAGCCTGAGTCCCCGGGTGACTGTATAGTGCAAGACTCCTGCAGACCTGCATTGGACACGCAGGGTGAAAACAAAAGAAACTTTTGCTGGGTTAAAACATTGAGATGCTGGAGCTGTTGGTTACCACAAGACAACCTGTTCTACTCTAATACAAGTACATCAAAAATACTCTACCATCTTAAAAGTATATATAGTTGGCCCTCCATATCTGCAGGTTCCAGATACACAGATTCAACCAACCGTGGTGGAAAATAAAGAAGGAAAAAAACACAAAATAAACAAGTATCTTCAGATTTTGGTATCCCCAGGTGTCCTGGAACCTACACCCCCTGGATACCAAAGGATGACCACTGTCTTCATATATCTAACTTTCTTGACCATAAGGTCTTTGAGATCAGGACAATAAATATCTTCATCATTAAATAACCCTACTTCATGGTTTCTAAAAGTGCCAGGTACACCAGAAAGAAGCCAACTTTCAATGACCCAACAACCTTCAGAAAATTTCCAGTCTGTAGACTAACTCAAAGTTAGAAGTCACTTAGAGGCCCACTTCAAAGTTCATAGAACAGTACCTATGCAACTCTACCTGTGGATTACTCCAAATCATAAAGTACTGGCCAAAAGCCAATTCAGAGCTAAGCCATCCCATGTGGTATCATAATGGAGTAATAAAGGATTGCCGTTGCTAAATAATGCCATCAACCTCTTCAGCTCTACTAGGCCCCAAAATTAAGCTATCCCCCTTTTACTTCTCTCCTTCTCAAGGATTAAAAGTTAAATCATACTACTCCAAAGAATCTGGACTATTCAGTGGGACCTCCCAAATATGCCTTCCCTATTTCCCAAAATAAAATGCACCCTTTCTGTTTGGGGTCAGC
The DNA here is from genome assembly GCF_000001405.40 of Homo sapiens. Lineage (NCBI taxonomy): Eukaryota > Metazoa > Chordata > Mammalia > Primates > Hominidae > Homo > Homo sapiens. The sequence continues at coordinate 44,897,056 of NC_000020.11, read as the reverse complement.
TATTTTAAGCTTCTCCGAGATTACTGCAAGATTTCTTAGAGATTGAGAACCATCATGGCAAGATAAGGACTGAATGCACACCTTTTTAAAATCTGTATCCATTTATCTGTTTCAAATATTTTTAATTATACACATACAGAAACAACTTACAACAAACAAAATCCATAGCTAAAGGTCCTGATGGCTACTGCTTACATAACTTTTGACTTATATAACATGGATTTTGAAGCAACTAGACCAATTTCAACAGGAAATGGGTTACACAACACCCAGCAGTTTGGAGGAAGGCAGCAAAGGAGAAATGAAATTGTTCCTATTTCTACATCTACAATAAATCTCCCATCCAAAATCTTGCCCTAGTGGCAATGCTTTCAGTCACTCATTATCTACAGCCCCCTCCATGCCTTTGCTGTAAGACCCATTTTCCTATAACTCTGCTCAAGTCACTTCCCGCTCAAAATTCTTTAAAGTTCCCTGATGCCAAAAGCAGAGTCAGATTTCCTCCCCTATCAGTGAAAGCTTGCCAACCTATCTTCCAGACCCCCACATCATGCCTTCCACATCATATGTGCTTCTGCCAAAATGGTTTTCTTACATACAAAGTATGCTTTTCTATCTTTGCTCACCAAGCCACTCCCTCTACCTGGAATGGCTTTTCCCAAATTTACTCTGCATACAAGATTCTTCACAGTGTGGCTCAGATACCATCCCTTCCATGAAGCCTTTCTTAAGCTGTTTAAGCCATAGCCATAGCTACATGTGGCTATTCACTTAAAATGTGGCTAGTGCCACATATTGAAATCATATTTTGTTCATAATGGGTTAAGTAAAAACAGATAGAATCAATTTCACTTTAAAAAAATTTTTAAATGCAGCTACCAGAAAAATTTAAATTACATGTGGCTTATATTCTATTCCTATGGGACGGCATTGCTCTAATGAATATATTCTCACAAAGCATTTCGCTGATACCTGTCAATGTCTTACCACGTTTCTTCAGTACTAAAATTACTTACATAGTGTCTCCTATTTCCCTTCCTACACCATAAGCTCCTTTGGACATATCTCCCACAGCATCCTGTACATAATTGGTAGGAACAAATATCTGCTGAATGAACAAACTGATCCTGAAATGTAAGCATAAAACTGCAGAGTTGGTAGAGTTCTCCCTTTTCTCAAATAATTCAAAGCACCTATTAGCCTCACAAGCATATTAAATCTTCATTACATTTGTACCTAGTTTCTTGAATTTCTGTGCCCTCTGAAATTCAAAGAGTAATTCACTCTTCCAGTCAGGCATGGCAGATCAATCTATAATCCCAGTGCTTTTGGAGGCCAAAGCTGGAGCATCGCTTGAGACCAGGAGTTCAAGACCAGCCTGGGCAACATAGTAAGACCTTGTCTCTACAAAAAATAAAATATTAGCCAGGTGTGGTGGCTCATGCCTGTGGTCCCAGCTACTTGGGAGGCTGAGATGGGAGAATCGCTTGAGGCTAGGAGGCCAGGGATGCACTGAGCCATGACTGCATCACTGCACTCCAGCCTGGGTGACAGACACCCTGTCTCAAAACAAACAAAAAATTACTCTTCCTAAATTACCTCTAGTCTTGCCTTTGTCCTTACTCAGTAACTTCCAATGACTCCCTTTTGGCTACTCCATCAAATTTAAGCTCTACCTGGCTTTCAAATTCCTGATAAATTGTCTCCTCTTTACTTGTTTGGCTTTCTCATCCACTGTTCTCCAACATGTACCTTTCTCTCAGGCTGGCCAGCACCACATGCCCTATAAACACAATGCTCAAACGTGTCTGAAACTGCTTTTGTAGTTCCCTTCATCTAGAGTGCTCTCCTATTTACTGCCTGCCTATCTGAACTCCACCCATTCTTCTAGGGCTACAAACCCTTCCCTGACTGCCCTAGCCCTCACTGATTTACCTTGCCTATGACTCTGAATATACTTATAGCCTATTACATGGTCTAGGACTTCTTTATGCCATTCTGTGATACAGATGAGTACTGTACCACTTACAGCTTCACGTGTGTGCCCTCAAAGGAAAGCTTCATGTTTGTTTCACATTTAATGCTTATAACTGTGCTAAGCACAAAACTCATATGCAAATGAATATCAAGTTTTTCTACAAATCATTATTGGGAGAGCACAAGGAACACAGAGTACCTATATGTAGTATAGTCGGAAGGCAGCAGGACTGTGTGTCACAGCGCAATGTGCCACTATACAGCCATGTGAGCATGTTAAATCTCAGCCTTCCAATCCATAAAATGAAGATGGCATCTACCTCAGTAGAGTTGCTGTGAAGATGAGGCGCAGGGAATTAAAGAATACTAAATGTGGAAATCTTCCTTGAAAAATGCATAGTGCAAAATCAAACTGAAGTACTATTATTCTTCTCCACGACTATTACACTGTAGCAGCCCATAAAACCATAAGCTTGAATTTTCTTTTTAAATATACAATTTTGTGAGAAGGAAAAGCAAAAGTCTAGATTAATCTTGTACAGATAGTTAGTATGTTATGTTAAAATGGACATATATGTTAAATGTAACTGAAGTTTATCCATTAGTTTCTAATTGAATTTTCTAGTGATATGCCATGATGGTTTTTAATCAAGACCTACTGTTGTTCCAAGACTTTGAATGAGGTTCCCACTAAAAAAAAAGTCAGCAAGATACTCTTTATTTGTCTCCTAAAAAGTTTTTGAAAGACTATAGTCTCATCGTCAGGCCTGGCACCACTGCAGAAGCATCAAGATACTGGCGCAGGCAAACTCATTAGAGGCCACAAAAGGCCCAACCCTGCAGTAAGCCAAGAGATTTTCCTTGTGCTGGGCATATTTCAGGAAGAGACTGACGTGCTTGAGAACAGGAGCTCTCCAGCACACCTATATGATGATGATGGCTGTCAATCTGTTCTAAGCCACTGGATGCAGCAAGTCAGGACTGGGAAGCATTTGTTGATAAACGCAGAGATTGCTTAGTGAAAAAATGGAAGCAAATCTAAATATCCAACAATATGGGAATGGTTTAAAAAATAAGGAGACTGGCCAGGTGCACTGGCTTACGTGTGTAATCCCAGCACTTTGGGAGGCCAAGGCAGGCAGATCACCTGAAGTCAGGAGTTCGAGACCAGCGTGGCCAATGTGGTGAAACCCCGTTTCTACTAAAAATACAAAAAAATTAGCCGGGGTGGTGTATGACTGTAATCCCAGCTACTCGGGAGGCTGAGGCAGGATAATCACTTGAACCCAGGAGGTGGAGGTTGCAGTGAGCCGAAACTGCGCCACTACACTCCAGCCTGGGCGACAAGAGCGAAACTCCGTCTCAAAAAAAAAAAAAAAAAAAAAGGCAGGGGAGGGAAGGAGATAGATGGTACAAGATTACGTGGCCATCAAAAGAAGAGATTTAATGTCATGAAAAGATTTATTTAAGAGCAATGGGGGCTGGAGGGACGAGGCTGCACAATATTTTATTTCTGTAAAATATCCCCTAAAGAACAAACAAACCCGAACAGAAAGGTTACACCAAATGGTTAACACTGGTTCTGTCTCTGGGTAATAACATTATTATATCCTCATTTTCCTATCTTTTTAAATTTTCTTCAAGTATGTATTACTTTTTTAAAAATTGGGTACTATTTCTTTTTTTAAGAAAAAAAGTGTTTTTCTGTTTAAAGAGAAACCACTAGTGCAGATAAACAGCTATGAAAAATAATTCTAAAGGTACTCACAAAATAGGATTTTCTTCAAAGAAACAAAATCCTAAATCAGATAATAAATGCTGAAAATAGAGGATCTAGGAAACAGCCTAGCCCCTCTATCCCAATTCCTTCCCCAAGGGACATCTTTCTAGTCAGGGTCAAAATACTGAGAAGTTATTTCCCAGTGGCTAGAGCAGATATCCTAGGAGAAGAATCAAAAAAGAAAGAAAGAAAAGAAAAAGAAGACTACCTACTGCTAATCCATTTTTTTTTAAATAAAGGCAGTGCAAAGACAGAAAGGGTTGAAAATGACAGCTGTGGCCTTTAGAAGCACTGGCTTTCAGCTATGTTTTGTTTTCAAGGCAAAGAACATGCTCGATTCGAAAATAATAAGCTTTGAATTTAATAATTTGTTAGAAATTTCAGATGAAGACTCCATTATTATATGTCAGGAATTACCCAAGCTCTATACATATAAAATATACGGTGGGGTCTGCTTTTAGCAAGCCTTACATACACATCTGAGCTTCTAAAGAGAAAGTAGGTGATTTTTCTACATTTCCACATTATAACTTACCTGAATCTGTTTTCTCAGTGTTAAAAAGAGACATTAATAGCTATCAAATAAGATAATGAACATAAAATGCCCATATAGTGCTGGTTAGAGTAAAGGCTCATAAGCCATTCTTATTTTTTATTCTTAAGCTACCTCACAAAAATGTAACACATATAATCCAATGTGTGTTGAAATAACTAACAAAATGAAAAACTACCAAATTTCTAAGAACTCTTTGGATTATTCATTGAGAGGAATTTAAAAGAAAGCAGTGTAGTCCTCCCCTCAGAGAGCTTAAACTCTAGTGGTAGAAACACAAGAAAAGAGCACATGTATATCTATTACACATCAATTAAAAAAAAAAACAGCACACGTTTAAGGGTTACAATGCCTCTCCTTAGAAAGCCAACCAGACAGAACTAGAGGAAATAGGTTTAAAGGTAGCTAGGTCGTGACTTAAAAAGAGATGTTATTAATAAAGTGCATGTATGTTTTTCTAGATGAGATAAAAATCAAAGGCCAAAGCAGATAAAGAAATGAGAATAAGGAAGAAAACTGACAAGAAAATCTGAAAAATCTAGGCTCGAATGTTTCAATGGGGTAAGGAACTGATCACATATTCTGAACAGCATTCACAGATGTACCATTCCAGATAGAGCATCCACAGCACTGTACAGCAGAAGTTTTAGTTCTGGAGTCTCTCTGCTGAAGAAAAATCAGATGCCAAGCTACTGCAGAAGGGACTGAGAAAGTCAGTGGGACCAGGTGGTTAGTGGGTGTTACCCAGAAAAAGTTAAACACTCCTGGCTCTCAGAGAAAACTACTCACTAAAAAACACCCACTATAAAACTGTCTGTGTGCCATTCTACATATAAAATTTAGAGTCCTGTAATAAATTTAATTCCATTCAAACATTTGCAGGTTCTTTGTTAGGAAACAAAACACAGCATATCTGTAATACAAAGTCATTAGCACTAAGTCCAGTGAACACTGAATTTGGAGAGAAACTGCATTTCTATTATTTCAAAATCCCTTCCCTCTTTCACATCAGCTGTTGCATATCATTGCTAATTATGTCCAATTAGCCATGATTAAACTTACTGAGGGTGTTAAGTGACAGGCGCAAGGTTACACATGTGACTTAATGGTAGATATGACAATAAATTGACTTCTTGGCTTAAGTAATCAATCCAAAAGACACTATGTTAATTCTGATCCATAAAGACAGCCCAATTGGTTGACCTTATGAATAATTTCTACAGTTTGGGGCCCACTGACATAATGAAGCCTATCAGTCTGATTTACCAGTACCGCACACCAAGTCCACAGGCTATGTGACCTCTGTGAATTTGTTTTCTCATCCATAATACAGGCAAATCTGGGCTGGGCGTGGTGGCTCACGCCTGTAATCCCAGCACTCTGGGAGGCCGAGGAGGGTGATCACTTGAGGTCAGGAGTTCAAGACCAGCCTGGCCAACATGGTGAAACCCCGTCTCTACTAAATATATAAAAAAATTAGCCGGGTATAGTGGCAGGCGCCTGTAATCCCAGCTAATTGGGAGGCTGAGGCAGCCTGAAGGCAGAGGCTGCAGTGAGCTGAGATCACGCCACTGCACTCCAGCCTAGGCGACAGAGCAAGACTCTGTGAAGAAAAAAAAAAACATAGGCAAATCTACTTACTAGGGTTCCTGTAAGGAGTAAACCTGTTTATGATATAAAACAGTAAGCACTCAAATAAATGGCAACCACAGTACATTCCACACAAAACTTAAAAAACCAATGGTCAGCCAGTGAAGGGAAACTTACTATGTACCTCATTTATTTTACACGTACTCTGCTTTCTTTAAAGACTTTTAAAAGAAAGGCACATAACAATTTCCCTATGCTTATTTCTAAAATGGCCCTTATCACAGTTTACTGCAATGCAAGTGTCTCTGCTGGCTCCCACACCGGATTGTGAGCTTAAAGTAGGAATCCAGCCAGGCGTGGTGGCTCACGCCTGTAATCCCAGCACTTTGGGAGGCCGAGGCAGGTGGATCGCAAGGTCAGGAGTTCAAGACCAGCCTGGCCAAGATGGCGAAACCCTGTCTCTACTAAAAATACAAAAATTAGCTGGGCGCAGTGGCAGGCGCCTGTAATCCCAGCTACTCAGGAGGCTGAGGCAGGAGAATTGCTTGAACCCGGGCTTCAGAGGTTGCAGTGAGCCAAGATCGTGCCACTGCACTCCAGCCTGGGTGACAGAGTGAGACTCCATCTCACAAAAAAAAAAAAAAAAAAAAAAAAAAGTAGGAATCCAGACTTGTATCTTTGGACACCCAATGTGGAGTACAAGGCCTAGCACACTGAGTGACTGCTTGATCAACTGATGCATTCTTAAAAAGTGAAAAAGCAATTATTTCCTACGTGGACAGAGGAAGGTAGCACACATCTGACCTATAAAATACAGACTGTTTTTATTGTCTTAGACTACTTTTTGAAAAAAGCCAGCCAGCTCTCATCAGGAGCAACACTATACATTTTGACTAATATTTTTCAGCTACCAATCATTGTATTTATAGATTCAAACTGACTTTCAACAAGCCTTTGGATTACTTTCTGTCCATCTCCTCCATTCAGAAGTCCAATCAGTTCGCTATACAAAAAGTTCACTATACAGAAACCCAAACCAGCTAACTCGTTTAGTAAATAACAAAAATATCCATCCATCATTTATGGCCTGCAAAGCACTCAGGGATTCCTAGAAACGCATTTGATCCTAAGTATCCTATGAGGCAGGTGACATTGTCCCGTTTTATAAATGCAAAGAGTTAACTCATTCAGGGTCACACAGCTATATATGGCAGATCTGGGATCTAAACCAACATTAATTTTAAAATTAATGCTCTTTCCTTTATGTAACCCTATCTCCTAAAGATCAATTATGAACTCCAATGCTCACTTAAGGAAAAGAGAGAATTGTCAACTTTTAAAAGAACTATACAAGGTTGTTACAGTGAAATTTTAAAACTGGCCTATTAAGCTAATGTTATCTAGCTTTAAAAATAAAAACAAAATCAAGGAGTTAAAAACAGCATAAAAACATGCCAAAGACTTACCAAAATGTCAAACAAATTTTAAAGGAAAGCTCTTAGCTGAGGGCAAATAATAATAATAGACAGGACTCATATCTACTTTATTGTAGCCTTCAATCTTCTTGTCCTGGTCAAGGCCATTCAGAAATAACCTCCTGTTGGTTCTTTTAGGGAAAACAATAAAATAAACTAACCAGTACGGGAAAAACTTACATAATAAAGAACTGGCCAGAATTTAAAAAAAAAAAAAAAGTTAACTAACCTACAATCTGCTAGGAATGACTTGAGGCCACTGATCATTTACATCTCATTACAAGTATCAGATACATATAACCACACCTCTATTAGAAAATCTTTTAGTTGAGAAAGCAGTAAGATGATTGGCCTTCAGCACACATATCATGAGACAGAAAGCACTTTTAGTCTGTTTCCTCAAGTATTCCCCTTAGAAAAATTCCCTCAGAATCCAGCTCCAACCGTTAGTTTCTCCATCATGCAATACAGATGACTGCTAAGATCATATTCACATAGAGATCAAAAGGATTCTAAAGCTTAAAGGTTGCTATTATGTAACCATAATTTCTTGCCCCTTAACTAGTGAATTGTCATCTTTCCCTAGAAAAATGTAGAAACAAGGAACTTAAAAGTATCTCTACAAGGAAATTTTAGTTCATTCTCTAAGGTACCAGCATTTAAAGGAAAACTCAGTTTGTTGACACCGAAAGAGCAGGTAGCACAACAGGATGTTTTAATTTAGAAGTTTCTCTCTATTTACGTAGATATATTTCCTCATTTCCTCCCTGCCAACAAAATGAGAAAAATCTGAACATCTACTGATGAAGTCGTAAGATAAACAAAAATTAATGGTCACAATCAAATTCTATTAGATGAAGAACCTAAAATTCTATGCCAAAGTAACTGATGACTTTCTCCCTAGTATGAAGCAAGTACTAGAAAAACTGGATTGTTCACAAGCTTGCTTCCTGATGCATGCTAGCAATTATCATCCCTACAGGCCAGAATGGGTATATGCTCCACAATAAATTGTCCTGTATCTATCTTCAAAAATAGCTAATATTCCCATTCAAACGTTTACTTTATTAGGATTGGTGTAAAGAAAAATTAAGGACTAAATGGTGTTCACATAAAACATATACATGTGCTGTCTCTACCACATGCAGAAATCTATAATATCATTCCTCAGAACCAGATCACCTGGTTTCATTCCTGGTTCTGGCACTTACCTTGCGCTGTGTGTGAGACCTCGGGAAAATTATCCTTCTCAGTGCCTTAGTTTCCCCATCTGTAAAATGGGGCTAACAGTCTTACCTTTCATTGGTTGTTATGAAGACTGAGCTAATATGCTTAAAGTGCTTAAAAGAAAGCTTAGCACACAGTAAGTACTGTAAGTGGTAACTATTATTATAGACTAATTGTCTGATACCACCTCATCAGTTGGTGAATAAATCACAAATGGATGGATTCTATATAAATGTCCATGAATAGCATATATGCTATGTCTAATCTATACACGTGTATATTCATGCAGATGGTCAATAACATCTATTGAACCCCAACTATATCCCAGATGCTTATTTTCATTATTGAGCTTGTCGCAACAAAAATATATCAAAAGCTGCATTACCATTTGTGCTATATAGACGAGAAAATGATTCAGAAAGACTGGATTTGCCTATATGCAAAATAAAGTCCTATAATAATATACCATTTTTTGAAAGCAACATGTGTACAAAGCAGGGTTTAGTGTCATCAGATGTTAACTGGAGAGAAAAAGCCATTAATAGTGAACTCTGATTAAAAAACAAACCAAAAGCTTATATTTAACAATTTACAGTTTATAAAAAAGGCTTAATGATAACCCTGGAAATAAGAAAACCAAGAACCAGAGATTAACATGCTGAAGATTCAGAAAGCTAGAAAATATTGCAGGCAAGATTTCAACCAAATTTACCTGACTCCAAGTCCAGTGCTCTTCCTGCTTCTCTATCCACAGCCGAATGGGCAAAATGCACTTTTTGTAGCGGCCCAAATCTCTGGAGACTCTGCCTAGAGAACCAGCATCATGGGAATTTGCTCAGCCTGGTTTTATAGAGGCTGCCTCCCTGATCTATAGCGCTCCAATTCTAAAATGGCTTCAATATAACAAGCACTGCAAGATGTGAAATGTACAAAAGATTACAGGGTAGGCGTCATACTCCAGGGGCTGGCAATCCATAAATATTTGCTACTGATGAATGAGGATATTCAGTTTGAAAAAAACTAGGTGTATAGTCTAGGCCAAATCACCTCATTTCTCATAAAGACTTCATCTGCAAGATAGGTGAATGGTTTCTTATCTCATTGGAAGGACAGGCCAGGAAAATAATTCTGCAGTTGCTACAGGATTATTAGCCTTCCATTTTGAAAGCCACACTTAAATTTCTAACTTAGGTCCAATAAGATTGACAGGTTTTACACTCACACACCGTGTGTTGCCAAGGACAGGGATCCAAGAAAAATGAGGGCTCAAACAAATGAGATATCCCTAAGTAAGAAATAGGGTACACTGGAAGCAGTCAAGAAGAAATTCACCAAGAACAAATACTTATACACATTTCCAAATGAAAATGCAAAAGCTGCAGTGTCCAGGTCTACAAACTGCATCTGTGTCTGGCTTCACATGAACTGACAGAATGAGAAATGCAGACAATTTTCATATTCTTATAAGTGCTTCACCTTTCTCTTTTGGTTCCCGAGGCTGATTTTATGTTCATAGCATCATCTTGCCAAATTCCATCTCCCACACAGGGCAAGCAAAATCAGGACCTGATGCTATCTAGCCTTACCAAAGAGAAATGCAATGAAGGCAACGACAAGAAACATGTATTTTACAGAAAGGTTGGCAAATTGCTTACCAAGGCTGCCACCTCTGAAAACCCCATTATATGGGAGTTCTCCATTTGCGGCAAAGATGCACTCACCTTCCCACCTCTTCTTCCCTCCGCTCCCCACCCCCCGACCAGGAAGCCACCGGGCAAATTTCAGACCGAAAAACGTGCTAACACACAATATGGGGGAATTTGGGGTAAAGACACAAAAGAATCTGGCATTAAATGACGGTAAATACTGTGAGAAAATACTCCGATTCTCACCCCCTGATATTTTTTCCTGGGGATCCGGCCTGACTCAGTAACCGGCTCCAACAAACAGATTTTCTTGATTCAAACCCAATTCCCTTCCTAGGGAATCTTGGGTCCTGCCAGGCTCCATAACCAGTGAAGGATGATGAAATGGTTTTACTGCAAAATGGGAGGGGGTTCCCCCACTGCTGTCTCCCAAGGTTAAACCCCTTACTCATCCAGGAGGAGCCAAACACGGGGACTGGGGCTAGAAAACTCATCCGCGTTTGATTAAATTTTAATTTCTGGAAACCAGAAAGCACGGAGCAGAGGTGACAGGGCTGAAGGGGACGTTCTTGCCGACCAAGACGCAGGGAGGGGTCGCGTGGGGCCCGAAGCAGATAGTGAGGGAGGGTCCGGGATCCCCGGCTCCGCTGTCCCTTACGGCACAGTACGGAGTTGCACCCCGCCCGGCCGGCAGGACCTCAGGCGGCCCGAGCCTCTCCAAGAGGTAAAGGGCCCGGCCCCGGAAACAGGGAGGGGCCGCTGCGAGGTCTGGCCTCGCCGCCGGCGGCCGCGCGGAGCGAAAGAGGCAGCGCGCCGCTACCCCACGGGGCCCACCCACTGGGCCGCCGTCGTCGCAGCAGCCAGAGAGGGGCTTCGAGTTTGGGCCCCCGGGGGCCCCGGTCGGACCCCGCGCCGCACTCACCGTGGGAGGGCTGCAGGGAACAAAGACCCTTCCGAGCGAAGCTCCGAGCGAGATGACCTCTTCCTTCCTAAGCCCACTACTCAGGCGGCGGCAGCGGTGCCTGCAGTGGCTGCAGCGGCGGCGGCGGCGGCGACTACCCCGGCTCCGGAATCGGCGGCGGCGGTGGCGGTAGCTCCACTTCCGCTCCGATCGCCACTTCCGCTCCGGTCCTGGCCGCGCCCCGCCCCAAACCGTGTTCTCATTGGGCAAGCGAGGCACGGGGTTGCCACGGCCCCACGGGAGGGGCGCAGACGGAAGGGAGGAGGAAGAAGAGCGAAAGGCAGGGTTGCAGGGGCCGGGGCAGGGCGGATGGCCGGGGGAGGGACCCAGGAGGAGGTGGGCGGAGAAGAAGGAAATGGGGCGGGGGAGCGGGAAAAGGAGGTGGGAGGAGAGAGGGCGGAGCTGGGGGTGGTCAAGATACGGGCTGTGTGGGAATAAGGAGGACTAGGAGTGTGGTCTGGATGGGGATTGCCCTTTCTGCTGGGACTGGAAACGCGCCAGGGCCAGTCCCGGAGATTCGAGGTTTAGCAGTTCCCCCTCCACCCCGAAAGTAATCCTCACTGGGTCGGAGGCCGATGTCAGTCCTCTTACTGTGTGCTTTGGTAATGCTGGAGCCAGGGAAGAACAGAAATTGCTCATCCCTCAATGTTCATTTAATCCTTTCAATCCTTCAGGGTACTTACCTTTTCCTTCTTTGGTAGACTGAAGAGGCCACGTGAAGTGCCAGGAATCCAATGCACAAACGTCTTTTTAAAAAACCTGTGTAGGGTCGAGCGCAGTGGTTCGCGCCTGTAATCTCAGCACTTTGGGAAGCTGAGGTGAGAGGATTGCTTGAGGCCGGGAGTTGTAGGCTGCAGTGAGCTATGGTCATGCCACTGCACTCCAACCTGGGAGACAGAGTGAGACCCTGTCTCCAAAAAAAACCCACAAAAATCTGTGTACATGATTTCTTCTTTAAGATGCCCCCTCGTTGAGGAAGTTCAGGGAAGGAAACAGGCCTCCATGGCTCCCCTCCCCTCCATGACTGCTCTCACAATTACCAACATTCTACTCCTCTGAAGGTAGTTGATTTTGTTTTGTTTTGTTTTGTTTTGTTTTCTGTTTTTGAGACAGAGTCTCTTTCTGTCGCCCAGGCAGTGTCACAATCTTGGCTCACTGCAATCTCTGCCTCCCAGGTTCAAGCAATTCTCCTGCCTCAGCCTCCTGAGTAGCTGGGATAACAGGTGCATGCCACCACTCTCGGCTAGTTTTTGTATTTTTAGTAGACACGGGGCTTCGCCATATTGGCCGGGCTGGTCTCAAACTCCTGACCTCAGGTGATCCACCCGCCTCAGCCTCCCAAAGTGCTGGGATTACAGACATGAACCACCTCGACCGGCTTCAAGGTAGTTGATTTTTAAACTCAGTCCTTCAAAATGCCTCTCGCCTTCCCTCTCTCCTGTTCATTTATTCTTTCAACAAATGTTGAACAGGCTTTTTGCTTAGTGCTGGAGACACAGCAATGAACAAGGCAGGTGGGGCCCTGCTGTCTTGGAGTTTGCAGTCGGGTAGGAGAAAAAGCCAAGTAAATAGGCCTTTGCCGTCTTGCCTTTACCCTTACTTAGCTAAATGACAGACTTCTAATTCACCATTTGGTCTCAGCCTCGCCCGTCAACTGCCAAGTGATCTTTTAAAAATACCATTCTAATCGTGTCCTGTTCTTGCTTAAATTATTTAGTGTGCACTCAGACCTAGATGACAATATATAAGTTCCTTGAGTGTGACAATCAGGGTTCTCCAAAAGCTGCCCTTATCCTTTAGCTGCTATTTCTCCCCCATCGTAAATACCCCAATTCAATTGGATGATTCCTTACCCTCCCAATATGCCATCTCCAGTATTTCTAAGCAGTTTGACTTAGTTGCCAACACTTTTTTAAACTGAAAAGTTTCTGTGTGAACAGAAATCTGCCTCTCTGCCTTGTCTGGTAACACTGTGTCCACATTTCTGTGTGGCAACAATTGGCTGAAGCCAAGGAGTGGCTGCCTGTTCTAGACTGGGCATGGACTTTCCCAAATGCCAGGGACCCTTCTCGACCTGAGTCTGCTTTTGTCACTTATGTTATCTGTCATGTAGGCATGTGTGCCAGTGACCCCTGTACTGTGCCACCTTTTAAGTTGAACAAGATTGAGAACGTGTTGTGTAACGTAAACAGCATGGTTTTGGGTCAAAACCATTGGATTTGAATCCTGGAGAGGTTAGTGCAAAAACTTCCCCATGAGGATCGTCTTTGGCAGACCCTAGACCAGTAATCTAGAGACTACTCAGGCTAAGTAACTTTTAATGTCACAAGACTGTGCCTTATGCCGTCATCCAGAAAATAGCCTAATGGACCAGAGGGCTAATAATGATTATACCACAAATGACATCAACAGTGCATTGAGGGAACAGAAGTGCCCTTTGTCAGGCATTCCTAGGTGCCTGTTAAAGGGTTCAATGGATTAGCTTATTTCACCATCTCTGCATTCTAGGCCAAGCGTCAGCAAACCACAGCTATGAACTGACAGCGATACAGATAAATGTTAAAATACAATGTGGTAGGTGCAACCATAGAAATAAATATATGTGCAGGGTATTATGGGAGCTTGGGAGAAGAGCACCTAACCCATCTTGGGAATATGATGGGAGAGCAGGAAAGATTTCCTTAAAGAAGTGATACTAGAGCCTTATATACTGCAGTGAATCTTTTTTCAAATTATAGACTTAATTTTTAAAAATGTTTTTGTAGAGACAGAGTCTCATTATGTTGCCCAGGCTGGGCTCAAACTCCTGGCCTCAAGTGATTCTCCTGCCATGGCCTCCCAAAGTGCTGGGATTACAGGTGTGAGCCACTGTGCCTGGCCAATAGACTTAATTTTTTAGAACAGTTTTAGGTTTACAGAAAAATTGACCAGATATTACAGAGTTCCCACATTCCCTCTCCCTCCTCCACACAATTTCCCCTATTATTAACATCTTGTATTAGAGTGGTACATTTGTTGCAATTGATGAGCCAGTATTAATACATCATTATTAACTAAAGTCCGTAGTTTACATTGGGGTTCATTCTTTATGTTGTACATAGTTCTATAGGTTTTGACACATGCATAATGTCATGTATATAAATAAAAGTTTTACTGTCCTAAAAATCTTTGCTTCAACTCTTCATCCCTCACTCCCTCCCCTCACCCCAACCTTTGGCAACCGCAGACCTTTTACACTATAGTTTTACCTTTTCTAGAATGTCATATAGTTACATCATACAATATGTTGCTCGCTTTCTTTCTTTCTTTCTTTCTTTCTTTCCTTCCTTCTTTTTTTTTTTTTTTGACAGGGTGTCACTCTGTCACCCAGGCTGGAGTGCAGTAGTGCAATCACAGCTCACTGCAGCCTCGACCTCCTGGGTTCAAGTGATTCTCCCACCTCAGCCTCCCTAGTAGCTGGGACTACAGGCGTGTGCCACCACACCCAGCTAATTTTTGTATTTTTTATAGAGATGGGGTTTTGCCATGTTGCCCAGGCTGGTCTTGAACACCCAGGCTCAAGCAATCCTCTTGCCTTGGCCTCCTAAAGTGCTGGGTAATAAAGTGTGAGCCATTGTACCCAGCACATATGTCGCCTTTTCTGACTGGATTGTTTTATTAAGTAATGTGATTTAAGTTTCCTTCATGTCTTTTTATGATTTGATAACTTATTTCTTTTGATTGCTTAAAAAATCCCCTTGTATGAATCTACCATATTGTGTTTATGCATGAACTTATTCTTTTTTTTTTTCCAGAGAGAGTCTCACTCTGTTGCTCAGGCTGGAGTGCAGTGGCATGATCTCAGCTCACTGCAACCTCCGCCTCCCAGGTTCAAGTGAGTCTTGCCTCAGCCTCTCAAGTAGCTGAGATTATTGGTGTGTGCCACCATGCCTAGCTAATTTTTTATTTTTAATAGAGACAGGGTTTTGCCATGTTGGCCAGGCTGGTCTCAAACTCCTGACCTTAGGTGATCTGCCTGTCTCGGCCTCCCAAAGTGCTGGGATTACGGGTGTGAGCCACCACACCTGGCCCATTAACCTATTCTTAAGGATTGACTTGTATCCTCCAGAAAGATATGCTGAAGCTTTCACCCTTGGAATCTGTGTATGTGACCTTATTTGGAAAAGGGCTTTTGCAGTATAATCAATTAAAATGAGGTCATTCGAGTGGGTCCTAATCCAACGTGGCTGGTGCCCTAAAGAAGGAGGAAAATGCCATCTGAAGACAGGACACACATGGGAAACAACACATGACAATGGAGGCCGAGACTGGAGTGATGAGCTGTGAGCCAGGGAACACTAAGGATTGCTGGGCAGCACCAGAAGCCAGGAAGAGGCATGGAAGGATTCTACCCAGAGTCTCAAAGGGAGCAAGACTCTGCTGTCACACTGATTTTAGACTTCTAGCCTCCAGAATGGTGAGAGAATATGTTTTTGTGGTTTTAAGCCACCCAGTTTGTGGCCCTTTGTTATGGCAGGCTTAGGGAACTAATAGACCTACTGAGAGCTATCTTGATCCAGCTGTTGACAATTATGAAGAAAACCATGATAAACATCTGTGTGCAGGTTTTTGTTTGGGCATAAGTTTTCAACTTGTTTGAGTAAATACCTAAGAGTGTGACTGTTAGATTATACGTTAAGACAATGTTTAGCTTTGTTAGAAACTAGTAAACTGGCCAGGTGTGGTGGCGCGTGCCTGTAGTCCCAGCTACTCAGGAGGCTGAGGCAGGAGGATCGCTTGAGGCCAGGAGTTCTGGGCTGCAGTGCACTATGTTGCCTGGGCGTCTGCGCTAAGTTCAGCATCAATATGATGACCTCCCGGGAGCAGGGAACCACCAGATTGCCTAAGAAGGGGTAAACTGGCCAAGGTTGGAAACAGAGCAGGTCAAAACTCCCGTGCTGATCAGTAGTGGGATGGTGCCTGTGAATAGCCACTGTACTCCAGCCTGGGCAACACAGCAAGACCCCATCCCTAAAAAAACATTAAAAATAAAAATAGGCTGCCGGGCACGGTGGCTCACGCCTGTAATCCCAGCACTTTGGGAGGCCGAGGCAGGTGGATCACGAGGTCAAAAGATCGAGAACATCCTGGCCAACATGGTGAAACCCCATCTCTACTAAAAATACAAAAATTTGCGGGGTGTGGTGGCGCATGCCTGTAGTCCCAGCTACTTGGGAGGCTGAGGCAAGAGAATCACTCGAACCCGGGAGGCAGAGGTTGAAGTGAGCCAAGAATGTGCCACTGCACTCCAGCCTGGCGACAGAGTGAGACTCCATCTCAGAGAAAAAAAAAAAAAAAGGCCAGGCACAGTGGTTCATGCCTGTAATCCCAGCACTTCAGGAGGCCGAGATCGGTGGATCACCTGAGATCAGGAGTTCAAGACAAGCCTGGCCAACATAGTAAATGAAACCCTGTCTCTACTAAAAAAACAAACAAACAAACAAAAAACAAAAAAAATACAAAAATTAGCCACGCTTGGTGGCGGGTGCCTGTAATCCCAGCTATTTGGCAGTCTGAGGCAGGAGAATTGCTTGAACCTGGGAGGCAAAGGTTACAGTGAGCCAAGATCGTGCCACTGCACTCCAGCCTGGACAACAAACAGAGTGAGACTCTATCTCATAAATAAATAAATAAATAAATAAATAAATAAATAAATAAATAAAATAAAAAAAAAGAAAGATAAAGAAACTACCAAATTGTTTTCCAAAGGAGCTGTACTATTTTGTATTTCCACCAACAGTAACAGCTCCGGTTGCTCCATACTCATGCCAGCATCTGATATAGTGAGAGTTTTTTCTTGTTGTTTGTGTTTTTGTTTTTCTGAATTTAACCAGTTGAATAGGTGTGTAATGGTATCTCATTGTTCTAGTTTGCAATTCCCTCATGACATACAATGTTGAGCATCTTTTCATGTGCTTATTTGCCACCTGTATATTTTCCTTGGTTAGGTGTATGTTCAGATTTTTTCACTCATTTTAATTGGATTATTTGCTTTTTTATCACTGAATTTTAAGAATTCTTTGTATATTTTGCATACTCGTCCTTTAGGTGATATGTGCTTTGCAAAGATTTTTTCTTCTTGTCTGTAGCTTGTCTTTTATCCTCTCGACAGTGACTTTGCACTAATTTTGATGAAGTCTAACTTACCAATTTTTCTTTCATGGATCATGTTTTTTATGTTATACCTGTTGAGCTAAAGAAAGAAACTCAGGCAAAATTAATATAGAGTTTATTTGGACCAAAGTTGAGGACTGCAGCCAGGGAAGCAATAGGAAGTGCCCCACAGAACAAAAGAGAGGCTCAAGTTTTTAAAGAAAAAAGAACAAATTAGGAGAGAGCGTGATGCAGCCAGGCACAGTGGCTCAACCTGTAATCCCAGCACTTTGGGAGGCCAAGGAGGGCAGATCACCTGAGGTCAGGAGTTCGAGACCAGCCTGGCCAACATGGTGAAACCCTATCTCTACTAAAAATACAAAAATTAGATGGGTGTGGTGGTATGCACCTATAATCCCAGCTCCTTGGGAGGCTGAGGCAGGAGAATCACTTGAACCCAGGAGGTGGAGGTTGCCGTGAGCCGAGATCACGCCATTGCACTCCAGCCCGGGCGACAGAGTAAGATTCTGTCTCCAAAAAAAAAAAAAAAAAAAGGGAGAGAGGGTGATTACAAAAGTTGTTTTTAATGAATTGTCATTGGTTTACAGAGATAACATTGATTAGTGATTGGCTATATACATTGTTGAACTATAGAGCTGTACTATAGAGCATGCATTATGGTGTTCAGCATGGGGTGTTTTAGGTTAATTCATAGCTCTTGGTGGCAATAGTCAGTCTATAATTCATTTAACAGGCATCTTTGAAATGATTACTTACCTCCAGGTGGGAGGAGACATGAGTGCTGTCACATTTCAATGCCTCTCTGGGCCTGATAAAGGAGCTCACATTCTTCAGATAAAAAGAGTCTTTTCTTTCTCATATCTAAACATTCATTGCCAAACCCAAGGTCCCCTAAATTTTCTTCTATGTTATCATTTAGAAGTTTTGTAGTTTTGCCTTTTTGAGTTAAATTTTGTGAAAGTTATCAGTATCTACATTCATTTTTGTGTGTGCGGACGTCCTGTTGTTCCACCACCATTTGTTGAAAAGGCTATCCTTTCTCCA
Organism: Homo sapiens; assembly: GCF_000001405.40. Classification (NCBI taxonomy): domain Eukaryota; kingdom Metazoa; phylum Chordata; class Mammalia; order Primates; family Hominidae; genus Homo; species Homo sapiens. Next base: position 44,878,650 of record NC_000020.11, on the reverse strand, counting down.
TTGCATTGCTTTTGCTTCTTTTTAAAGATCAGTTCACTATTTGTGTGGGTCTATTTCTAAATTCTCTATTCTGTTCCATTGATTTATTTGTCTGTTCTTTTGCCAAGACCACACTGCCTTGATTACTATAGTTTTGTTGTAAGTCTTGAAGTGAGGTAGTGTCAGTCCTCCAACTTTGTTCTTCCTCAGCATTTTGTTGGTTGTTCTGGTTCTTTTGCATTTCTGTATACATTTTAGAATAAATGTGTCGACATCCACAAAATTACTCATTGGGATTTTTATTGGGATCGTGTTGAATCTATAGATTAAATAGGGAAGAACTGATATATTAACAGTATTGAGTCTTTTATCCATGAACATGGAATATCTATCCATTTATTTAGGTTTTCTTTAGTTTCTTCCACCAGAGTTTGATAGTTTTGCTCACATAGACTTGTACATATTTTGTTAGATTTATACTTATTTTTGTGCTAATGTAAATGGCATTGTGTTTTAAATTTCAAATCCCGCAAGTTAATTGCTGGTATGTAGGAAAGCAATTCACTTTGTGTAATAACCTTTTATCCTACAACCTTGCTATTATTTCTTACTAGTTCCAGGAGTTTTTGCCAAGTTTTGGGGATTTTTCATATAGATAATCATGTCTGTGAACAAAGATGGTTTTGTTTCTTCCTTCTGAATCTGTATACCTTTTATTTTATTTTCTTATCTTATTATATTAGCTAGGACTTTTGTACAATATTGAATTGGAGTGGTGAAAAGGGACAGGCTTGCCTTGTTCTACATCTTAGGAGAAAGCATCTAATTTCTTACCATTGAGAATGCTGTTCATTGCAGTGTTTTTGTAGATATTTTTTATGAAGTTTAAAAAGTTATCTTTCTATTCCTAGTTTGCGGAGAGTTTTTATAATGAATGGGTGTTAGATTTTGTCAGATGCTTGTTCTGCATTTGTCGATGTGATCACATGATTTTTTTCCTTTGGTCTGTTGTTGTAATAGATTATACTCATTGATTTTGAAATATTAAACTAGCCTTTTTATACCCGGAACAAATCCCACTTCATCATGGTGCACAGTTTATTTTATACATTCTTGGATTTGATTTGCCAATAATTTGTTGAGGATTTTTGTATCTGCGTTCATGACAGAAACTGGTCTCTAATTTTCCTTTCTTGCAATGTCTTTGCGTAGATTTGGTATCAGGGTAATGCTGGTTTCCTGAAGTGGGATAGAAAACATTCACTCTGCTTTTATCTTCAGATAATTGGTATCATTTATTTCTTAAAAATTTTGTATAATTCGCCCAGTGAAACCATCTTTGTCTGGCGTTTTCTATTGTGAAAGTTTATTGCATATTGATTCACTTTCTTTAATAGGTCTAGGCCTATTCAGATTATATTTTTCTCCTCTTGTGAATTTTGGTAATTTGTATCTTTCAAGGAATTGATCCATTTTATCCATGGTGTTAAATTTGTGGCCACAGAATTATTTCTATTTCCTTTTTATCCTTTTAATGTTCATGAGATCAGTAGTGATGGCTTTTTTTTTTTTAGATGGAGTCTCGCTCTGTCGCCAGGCTGGAGTGCAGTGGCACAATCTTGGCTCACTGCAACCTTCGCCTCCCAGGTTCAAGCAATTCTCCTGCCTCAGCCTCCCAAGTAGCTGGGACTACAGGCATGCGCCACCACACCTGGCTAATTTGTGTATTTTTAGAGATGGGGTTTCACCATGTTGGCCAGGATGGTCTTGATCTCCTGACCTCATGATCCACCTGCCTCGGCCTCCCAAAGTCCTGGGATTACAGGCATGAGCTACTGCACCCGGCCTTGGCCTTTCTTTTATTTATATTAATTAATTTATATCTTCTTTCCTTATTTCTTCATTAGCCTGGCCAAAGATTTATCAACTTCACTGATCTTTCAAAGAACCAGCTTGTGGTCTTCTCAATTTTTCCTATTATTTTCTAGTTTTTAGTTTCACTGATTTCTGTTTGAATTTTTATTTCTTTTTCTTTTCTTCTGCTTGTTTTAGGTTTATACTGCTCTCCTTTCTTGGGTTCCTAAGGTGGAAGTTTAGATTAATGATATTAGGTCTTTCTTCTTTTTTAATGCACACATTCATTGCAATACATTTGCCTCTAAGAACTGCTTTCCTTACATCCCCCAAATTTTGATTTTCATTTAATTCAAAATATTTTTTAACTTATCTTGAGACTTCTGTGGCCAATGTGTTATTTACTAGCATTTCATTTCCAAAATTTTAGGATTTTCCAGCTTTCTCTTATTTCTAGTTTAATTCTCTGGTGTTATACTTTGTATGATTGCTAGTCTTTTACATTTGTTAAGATATGTTTTATGGTCCAAAATGTAGTCTATCTTGGTTAATGTTTCATAGGAGCTTGAGAAGAATGTGTATTCTGCTGTTTGGGGATAAACTAGTCTATAAATGTCAATTAGATCCAGTTGATTCATGGTACTGCACATCTATATTCTCACTACTTTTTTCTGCCTACTGGATTTGTCAATTAGTGCTAGAGGTATGTTGAAGTCTTCAACTATAATAATGGATTTGCCTGGCTGGGTGCGGTGGCTCGTGCCTGTAATCCCGGCACTCTGGGAGGCCGAGGTGGGGAGATCACAAGGTCAGGAGATCGAGACCATCCTGGCTAACACGGTGAAACCCCATCTCTACTAAAAATACAAAAATTAGCCAGGCATGGTGGCGGGCACCTGTAGTCCCAGCTACTCTGGAGGCTGAGACAGGAGAATGGCATGAACCTGGGGAGGTGGAGCTTGCAGTGAGCCGAGTTCGCGCCACTGCACTCCAGCCTGGGCGACAGAGCCAGACTCTGTCTCAAAGATAATAATAATAATAATAATAATAATAATAATAATAATAATGGATTTCCCTATTTCTCCTTGCAGTTCTGTATGTTTTGCCTGACATATTTTGATGGTCTGTTGTTGTAAGGCACGTACTCATTAAGGATTGTTGGGTCTTCATGGAGATCTCACCCTTAATCATTATGTAATGCTCATCTTTATCCCTGACATTTCCCTTATTCTGAAGTCCGCTTTGGCTAAAATTAATAGAGCTATGCCTGGCTAATTTTGTATTTTTAGTAGAGATGGGGTTTCACCATGTAGGCCAGGCTGGTCTCAAACTCCTGACTTCAGGTGATCCACCCGCCTCAGCCTCCCAAAGTGCTGGGATTACAGGCGTGAGCCACTGCACCCGGCCTGTTGTCTACTTTTTCCATTAGAGACCTTAGCACACTAATCACAGTAATTTTAAATTTCTGATCCAATAATTCCAAAATTTCTGCCACTGGCTTTGTCTCTTCATACTGTGTTTTTTCTTGCTGTTAATGTGTCATAAATTTTGTTGACAGTCAGGCATGATGTATCAGGTAATAGTAACGGAGGTAAATTGGGCTTTAGTGGTTTTTTTGTCTGTCTAGGAGTTAGGTTGTGTTTACTGTTTGCTGTAGCTGTAAGTGTCAGAGACTTCAATTTCCTCAAATGTTCTTGTTTTTGTCTCCCTTGGTGTCTTGCAGTTTCTCTGGAAACTTGGTAATTCTGGTTTGTGTCTTGCAGCTCTTTCAGTTGTAATCCACTGTTTTTACATGGAGCTCTGTTGCTGTGCTGGTGAGGTATTGGTGAGGGGAAAGCTTAAACTTATAATTAAATCTCCATTTTTGGTTATTTATTTATTTATTTATTTATTTATTTTGAGACGGAGTCTCGCTCTGTTGCCAGGCTGGAGTGCAGTGGCACGATCTCAGCTCACTGCAACTTCCACCTCCCGGGTTCAAGTGATTCTCCTGCCTCAGCCTTCCGACTAGCTGGGACTGTAGGCACATGCCACCATGTCCAGCTAATTTTTGTATTTTTAGTAGAGATGGGGTTTCACCATGTTGGCCAGGATGGTCTCGATCTCTTGACCTTGTGATCTGCCTGCCTTGTCCTCCCAAAGTGTTGGGATTACAGGCGTGAGCCACCACTCCCAGCTTTTGGTTTTTTTTTTAACGGGCCCGAGTCCCTGGGCTATAACCTCCAGAAGAATTTCTTTGCTTTTTTTTTCTCCCCCTACATGAGATGGGAAAGCTAAAGGAGGCTGTAGTTGTCTAATTGCCCTTCCTCTAGGCTAGTAAGATGCTGGTAAAGTAGTATCCATTGAGGGCAGGCCTTTGCTACAGAGAACAGAGCACTCTGGGCTTATTTCCACATGGTTTATTTACCCTACTCCTGTCCAAAGTGTGAGGGGATTTTGTTCAGATCTTCACTGTGAGAAACTGGTGGGACTCTGGGAGGCCAAACTCACAAAAATATACCTCTGCCCCCTAGCCCCCCAAGAACGGGCACCTGGGTTTTTTAAACCCTCAAGCTAGTCCACAGTCAGCCTCCAGCAATTCATAATTACTGTTTAAATGTTCCCACCAGTTATTGTTTCCAGCTGCTTCTGCTCCTGGTAAACTGTGATTCTGTGTATTGTCCTGTCTAGTTTTCAGGCTGGCCGTGTACCCTATGACCTCAATTTTCTGAGGATCACTTGAGCCTAAGAGTTTGAGGTCGCAGTGGGCTATGGATCATGCCACTGCACTCTAGCCTGGGTGACAGACCAAGACCTTGCCTCAAAAAAAAAAATCTATTTTAAAAAAGTACTGTATTTCACAGATTCAAAGATATACATATTCTCATATTTTAACATATCTGAAATCATGTGTTTTACCATCAGTGGCATGTCATGGTTTAATTGGCAGCATCCCTCCTCCCACCCACATCCTTAGAAATACATGAAACTATATATATATATATATACACAAAACATCTTATAAAATCAAGAACATCTCAGAGCAATGCAATGTAAATTCTTATTTTTGTCTAGGTAACACTATGCATAATTTCAAAAGCCAGATAATTTTGTTTTCATTATGAAAAAGGGCACTCCCGCACCCATCATCCTTTTGCTAACCTCTCCCAAGAGGTGGTGATTTCAACTCATTTAGCTGTTCCTTCTGCTATGTGCCTCCATATTTCTAAATAACATAAACAGCTGTTTCTTTGTTTATTTCTTAAAAAAAAAATGACAGTTGGGACTACAGGAGGCTGAGGCAGGAAAACCGCTTGAACCCAGGAGGCAGAGGTTGCTGTGAGCCAAGGTCATGCCATGGCACTCCAGCCTGGGCCACAAGAGCAAAACTCTTGTCTCAAAAAAAAAAAAAAGAAAAAAAAACCCCACAATTCCTTCTTAAATTCTCAATTTTGGATAAGTTTCTGTTGACTTCCTACTATGGACCAATCAATTTTGCTCTCTAAAATCACTTTACACATATACCACTGCAGCATTCTTTCAATTTGTTTATATATTACTTGGAATTTTTTTCCCCTGGAGTTAACAATTGCTTTAAAATTAGATTTTATTCTTACTTAAGACTAAACCTGCACGTAGTTGAATAGTTGATAGAGGAAAATAGTTCTTCAAGACCTGCTATATGTGTGTGTTTTAAAAGTCTCTTTTTTTTTTTTTCGTGACGGAGTTTTGCTCTTTTTGCCCAGGCTGGAGTGCAATGGTGTGATCTCGGCTCACTGCAACCTCCGCCTCCCGGGTTCAAGTGATTCTTCTGCCTCAGCCTCCTGAGTAGCTGGGATTACAGGCACCCGCCATCATGCCTGGCTAATTTTGTATTTTTAGTAGAGACGGGGTTTCTCCATGTTGGTCAGGCTGGTCTCGAACTCCTGACCTCAGATGATCTGCCCACCTTGGCCTCCCAAAGTGCTGGGATTACAGGTGTGAGCCACCGCGCCCGGCCTTAAAAGTCTTTAACACCTTTCCCTATATCCTGCTTCTATGAGCAACCACCTTTTGCTACCAAAATTATGCACTTAATTTGTAATTCCCTAATTTTCTTACTTTTAGCAATATCTATTGGGTAATTTTTATGGAATATAAAGACTGTCTCTTTCTCATACACCCTATGCAGCATCTTCTCCAAATCCTCCAAATCCCACAGGTAAATGTCATGTTCTGTCCCTCCCTATGCATCCTTTTTTTCTTTCTTTTCCTTTTTTTTTTTTTTTGTTTTTGTTTTTGAGACAGGGTCTCTGTCACCTATGCTGAAGTGCAGTGTGGCATGATCTCAGCTCATGCAGCCTCAACCTCCTGGTCTCAATCAATCCTCCCACCTCAGTGCCCCTGTAACTGGGACTACACGTGTGCACCACTGTGTCCAGCTAATTTTTGTAGTAACGGGGTTTCACCATGTTGCCCAGGCTGGTCTTGAACTACTGGGCTCAAGTGATCCACCTGCCCAGCCTCCTAAAGTGCTGGGATTATAGGCGTGAGCCACTGCTCCAGGCCCCCATGCATCATGTCAAAATGATTATATCATAATTTTAGTTAAATTTGTATTCAGTGTTTACAGTTTTGTGACCATAAATACACTATTGTCAGCCTTGCCCAGCTGTATTCCATGATGGCTTTCCCTTTATTATAGAACTTCTTGTTTTCCCTAATATTAACAAAGTTTTTGTTTCTTGTTTGTTTGCCAAGTTTTCTATATTCTGGTTGCTAATGATTGTTCTCTATTGCTGCTGTAACAAATTACTACAAATTTAGTAGCTTAAACAGAACCCACTTCTTATCTCACAATTCTGTAGGTAAGAAGACTGAGTATAGTGTGTGTCTGCTGGGATCCGCCACTTAGAGTCTCACAAAGCAAAAATTAAGTTGTCAGCTGGGCTGCATTCCTTTCTGGAGGTCATGGAGCTGAATCTACCTTCAAGCTCATGGAAGTTATTGCTCAGATTTCATTTCTTTCTTTCTTTCTTTCTTTTTTTTTTTTTTTTTGAGATGGAGTCTTGCTCTGTCGCCCAGGCTGGAGTGCAGTGCAGCGATCTCAGCTTACTGTAACCTCCGCCTCCTGGGCTCAAGTGATTCTCCTGCCTCAGCCTCCTGGGTAGATGGGACTACAGGCATGTGCCACCACACCCGGCTAATTTTTGTACTTTTAGTAGAGAAGGGGTTTTGCCACATTGCCCAGGCTGGTCTCGAACTCCCGAGGTCAGATAATCTGCCTGCCTTGGCCTCCCAAAGTGCTAGGATTACAGACGTGAGCCACCGCGCACGGCCCTTCATGTTGTTTTAAAATGTGACACCATCCCTCCAATGTCCTGTAAACTGGTAGTTCAATCTAGAGGCCTGATTAGATTTCAGTTCAGTTTTTGGCAATCATATTTTATAGACAGGACTTGTATTTTCTATGGCGTCATCTCAGGAGGCACATAACATCTAATTGTTCCTCAATGATCTCTCCCAATCTGAAAATATACTTTCTTCAGTTCTGGAATAATTTTCATGAATTATTTCTTTGAATATTTTCTTCCTTCCTCTCCCCATTTTCTATATCTTCACTTTCCAGAACTCTAATTTTTCAGGTGTTTGACCTCTTGAAATGGCTTTCTAATTTTACTGTTTTTTTTTCTTTTTCTTTCCAATTTTTCATCTTTTTGTCTTTGTGTCTCTTTTCTGAATATTATCTTCCAACCTGTACTAAGTCATGCCTCTGTGCAGGAGATAGGAACAGAAACCACTCTAGGTATTGTAGGCAGAAAGGGATTGACTATAGGGAATTAGGTGGTTACAAATTCATGAGAAGAGCAGGAGTTGCAGAAGTCCAGGAGGCTTTTGTTTCAAAGTCACCATAGATGTGATTGAGAGGCCAGAGGTGCTGCTGCTACTCTTGCTCTGGTCACTGTAACTATCTGACACACATGAAGCTGGGGACTAGGCAGTGGATCAGGGAGTCTAGCCACTTTGATTTTGCTCAAAAGTAAACTTCAAAGATAAAGAGGGCTGTTGTTTGGCTTGAATGAGAAGTTGAAATTGCAAGGCAGTCTATGATATTTCAAGGTCTTTGCTATACATGCAACCAATTTTGGCTTTTCATTTTAATGGAACAAGGGCTGAGATCCTAACTCAGAGAGGTCTATAGGTTTAATCAGAAATAGAGCTCCTCAGTGGCTCATGTCTGTAATCCCAGCGCTTTGGGAGGCCGAGGTGGGTGGATCATCTGAGGTCAGGAGTTTGAGATCAGCCTGTCCAACATGGTGAAACCCCGTCTCTACTAAAAATACAAAAATTAGCTGGGCATGGTGGCCAGCGCCTGTAATCCCAGCTAGTCAGGAGGCTGAGGCAGGAGAATGGCTTGAACCCGGGAGGCGGAGGTTGCAGTGAGCCGAGATTATGCCATTGCACTCCAGCCTGGGCAACAGAGCGAGACTCGGTCTAAAAAAAAAAGATATTTTTTGGCATTTAATTTTAAGTAGGGAAATACCTGCTGTATTCATTTTAAAATAATGTATATTTATTACATAGTAATGTGTGGATATATTTTTATTGTAAGAAAACTAAAATATTAAAGATTAAAAACTAAAATTCCCTATGATCGCCACCTCCCAATGCCATTTCTCCTCCCCAGAAGTAACCACATATCAGTTATATATAGCAACATGTATTATCAGTGATGGTAGGTTAGGTTATGCTACAATAACCTACAATAACAACATCCTCAAAGTCTCAGTGTCTTATATTAATAAAAGTTTATGTCTTTTGTTTGTTTGTTTTTTTGTTGAGACAGGGTCTCACTCTGTCTCCCAGGCTGTAGTGCAGTGGCATGATCATGGCTCACCGTAGCCTCGACCTCCTGGGCTCAGGTGATCCTCTCATCTCAGCCTCCCAAGTAGCTGGGACTACAGATGTGTGCCACAAGGCCCAGCTAATTTTTTGTGGTTTTTGTGGAGACAGGGTTTTACCATGTTGCTCAGGCTGGTCTCGAACTCCCCAGCTCAAGCAATCCATCTGCCTCAGCCTCCCAGAGTGCTGGGATTACAGGCGTGAGCCACTGCGCCCAGCCTAAAAATTTATATCTTAATTGCATGTTTGTGATGGGTTGAATTCAGCTGTATCTCTGGACACAGCTGGAAGAAGCAGCTGGAACATGCTGATCTCATGGAATAAGGAAAAGAGAGAATGGGGGAGCCTCTTAAAGCTTCTGCTTGGATGTCTCACATGTCACTTCCACTCAAATTCCCTTGGCCAAAGCAAATCATATGGCTATGCCTGACTTACGTGGGGTGGGGATGTAGAATCCTTCCATAGGGCAAGTCGGTAAAATTCCATCCTTTTATAGTGTATGTAAAACTCTAGAAATAGATATAATTTTTATATAGTTTATTAGGGTACTGAATCTTATTTCTTCATGCAAAAATATGTCTTAGAGGTCTTTCCATATTATACAAATAGATCCATCTCTTTTTAATTTAATTTTTTAATTTTTTTAACCCCAGGGCAGAAGGCACCATCTCCTTTTTATTTTATTTTTATTTTTATTTTTCAGATGGAATCTCACTCTATCGCCCAGGCTGGAGTGTAGTGGCATGATCTCGGCTCACTGCAACCTCCGACTCCTGGGTTCAAGTGATTCTCCTGCCTCAGCCTCCCAAGTAGCTGGGATTACAGGCGCCCACCACCACGCCTGGCTTTTTTTTTTTTGTATTTTTAGTAGACATGGGGTTTCATCATGTTGGCCAGGCTGGTTTCAAACACCTGACCTCAAGTGATCCCCCAGCCTTGGACTCCCAAAGGGTTAGGATTACAGGCGTGAGCCACTGTGCCTGGCCAATTCTTCCATTTCTTATTTGAGAATGTCAAAGAATGCATCTCCAATCAGCCAGTGGAATATTGCATTTTATTTATTTGTTAATGGCTTGCAACCCATAAAATAATCCATACATTATATCAACATGAATGACCCAAATGTATTGGTTATTGCAGCTGGATGGCATGCATAGCCTAGGTCACAGGTGGATGGAAGACAGACAAAACCATTTTTACTCTCTGAATTCCTCCTCCACTACCCCATCACTGATGTTGTCTCCCTCCCAGCCATCTCCCTTATTTGAGGAGCAATGCATGGGGAATAGGTAGTGGGCGCTGCAGTGCATACTGTGGTGTGCCACCCAGACCCCCATCCCCAGGATGGGGCATTTATTCCCCCAGCTGCTGGGAGCATTGGCTGCTGGCAGCTCTCAGCTGAGTCCCTATGACTGTTCGAGGTGGACATTCCAAGGTCCTGTCCTCTTGCCATCCCAGCTCTATATTCCCCATGGCATTAGCCAAGGCCTCTGCTGAGGTTGCACTGCAGTTTGACTTTTCCTTTCCACAGATGTAATCCCGACAGCACTCTGCAATAGACTTCCTGACTTCAAATCTCCATATTGGAGTCTGATTCCTCGGGACCTGACTCACAACAGCCCACCACAGGCTCTGAAGTCAGACAGAACTGGGTTTCAGTCTTATCCCAAACACCAACTAGATATGTAATCCTAGAGATGATAAGTCCACTATACACCTTGTATGCCTCGGGTTTTTAATATCAACTGAATGTTGATAGTTTCTTGGAAACTGCAACTTTAAGTGAAATGATGTATGATGAAACCATTTTTTCCCTCATAATCATAATGGAAGGACATTACTTGAGGACGTGCTGCACATCATTTTGCTTAAAGTCGCAGTTTCCAAGAACCCATCGAAGAAGTTAAGTGAGGACTTACTATATACACTTCTTGCAGTTACTGTGAGGATGAAATAACACATGTAAAACACTGAGCACAGTATCTGGTACGTACTAGGTGCTCAAAACAAGTGCTAGCATGTTAGTAGTACTATTACATTAAAATGATAATCTTGGTAGAGTAATTAGATGATCCAGGACAGAGGAGATGGAGAGATTTTGCTAAAATTCATTCTCTCTTTTCCCCTCCTTGCCTGCATTTCCAGTGCCCTCACGCCCCGCTGAAACAGAAATAGACCTGTTGTGCTAACTTATTTCCGGAAGATGGCGCCAGCAGATAACGCTGCGGACGAGTCCCTTTGGTTTTCTTTTTCTTTTTCTTTTTCTTTTTCTTTTTTTTTGAGATGGAGTCTCGCTCTGTCGCCCAGGCTGGAGTGCAATGGCACGATCTCGGCTCACTGCAACCTCCGTCTCCCAGGTTTGAGGGATTCTCCTGCCTCAGCCCCCCAAGTAGCTGGGATTACAGTCATGTGCCACCACGCCTGGCTCATTTTTGTATTTTTAATAGGGGGGGGGTTCACCATGTTGGCCAGGCTGGTCTTGAACTCCTGGCCTCAAGTGATCCGCCTACCTCGGCCTCCCAAAGTGCTGGGATTACAGGTGTGAGCCACTACGCCTGGCCAGGAACAATTTTCACTATTCACAGATTACATATCAATTTCACATGTGTTATCTCATTTGATTCTCCTTCACCAACCATTTACCAAATGCTGATTATTCCATCTTTACTGTTTTATCCCTTCGCCAACAAATGCTTACTGAGCACTTACTCTAGCCAAAGAGCATCTTTAAATGCCTTCTCAAGCGCAATGACTAAGAAACAAAAAAGGAAATAGAATTCTAAGCCTCTGCTGGAGAGCTGGACTTTCCAGAGATGAATAAGACAAGTTCCAGCCACTGATTTCTTTCTGGTTCTGGGTTGATGTCAACTTGTGCTCTGGAAGGAGGCTGCTTTCATAAAGCAGAAGAAGCTTAATTCAAGTGAAACTGAGTCAGAAAGAAAGCAATTCCTTTGCAGGAGCAGCTAGGGTGCATCTCAGAGACTGTCTGCAGTACTTCCCAAGGGCTATTGATCTGAGAGCAGAGCATTCGGTCCTTGGACTGGTGAAAATTGCTGAGCAGGCAAAAGAAGAATAAAACCCGTAAAGGGAATGGAGAAAAGATGTTGAAGGGCTTCCGGGTAGGGAAGGTTAGCTGGACTGCATTCAGGAGCTCCAGACAGAAGTGACTCTGCAGTTCCTTGAGCTTCGCAGGCAGGCCTGCAAGCAAACCTGGAAACCACGAGACCAGGGCCTGGCGATCCATTTCTTTGGTGGGGACAGAGGTGCTCACCCTCAGCCTTCTCACGCTCACTCCAGAACTGTGACGGGGTGAGCTCACGTGACAATCACCTCAGCAGTGCAATTTTAGGGGTGTCAAGAAGGGCTCCTTCTATGGCTGAAATCTCTTTCAACAGTTACTGTCTGGTGCCCCAAATGCCACCACTGGTGTCCTTTATTTCTTTTCTTTTCTTTTCTTTTCTTTTCTTTTCTTTTTTTTTTTTTTTTTGAGGCAGGGTCCCACTCTGTCATCTAGACTGGAGTGCAGTGGCGCGATCTGGGCTCACTGCAACCTCTGCCTCCTGGGTTCAATCAATTCTCCAGCATCAGCCTCCTGAGCAGCTGGGACCACAGGTGCATGCCACCGTGCCAGGCTAAGTTTTATATATTTTTGTAGAGATGAGACTTCACCATGTTGGCCAGACTGGTCTCGAACTCCTGACCTCAAATGATCCTCCCGTCTCGGCCTCCCAAAGTGCTGAGATTACAGGCACGAGCCACTGCGCACAGCCCATTAGTGTCCTTTAATATGAATATTGCAAGAGTTAAAAACAGGACTTCTATAAAGAAATGTATAATTATATTGGCTTGGAGAAAATTCTGCAAGTGTACACATCAGTTGTTAACAGGGGTTATCGTGAGCCAGAAAGTGTGGAGTAAGTAAGGGAGATTAATGGAGGTCAGAAAAGGAAGAAGAAAAGGATAGATAAGAAAAAAAAATCACACTTAAAAAGGGTGCTCTTGATTAAAAGAATGTGTATTATTTGTTATGATTTATGAAAAAGGTTACTTCTATTGCCCATACGCGTTAAGACAGGCATGAAAGATGCCCAGTAAAATATTAACAGTAGTTATTATATGCTGATGAGATTTCAAAGAATGTTACTTTCTTCCTTATAACTTTATATATTTAAATTTTTATAGGGAGCATTTAAATCAGGAAAGTGGGAAAAAGCAAAATTAAGAACATTATTGCAAGCCAAATGAGAAAAGCAATAACAAAAAAATAACAAAAGTAAAACAAAATTTGAGCCATTCAAATTCTAACTTCTCTATTCCGTGGCTGTGGGACTCTAAAGAAATTACTTAACTTCTTTGATCCTCAGTTTCTTCCTCTTTAATTTTTAATTTATTTTATGAGATAGTGTATTAGGGTTCTCTAGAGGGACAGAACTAATAGGATAGATGTATATATGTAAGGGAGTTTATTATGGAATATTGACTCACACGAGTTTTGTTGAATGCATATGGAGTAGATTATAGAATCACAGGGGAACCAAACTCAGAGGTTGAGAAGCCAGGCATGGTGTCTCCATTCACATCAACAGAATTGGCCTGGGGACACTACTGGCCCTCTGGTTCCAGACAGCCAGTGCTGCCCGTAACCCCACTGGATTGTCATCTCTGGAACTGGATCTTACTCTCTCATCACACCTGCCAGAGAACAGTCTCTATATGAGTTTGAAAATCGAAGTCCATGGCAGATGCACCTGATGGGCAACGCCTAAGTCACAACACTGATGTCCTCCATGCAGGGAGGACATGGCATTTTCTGCTTCCTCTGCAGAATTGAACTCTGGGTTCCAAGGAGTTGAATGAAGTAGGTAATTCCCTTACACACAGAAAGTGGGTTCAGATGTAAAATTGTGAACTCTCAGTACTCAAGTTTCCCTGTCTGCAAAATGGAAATTATATTAGTACCTTTCTTAAAATATTATTCACAGGATTAAAAGAATTAATACATGTAAAATTCTTAGAATTATGTCATCCACATAATGATTTCATGAATACTAGATCTGATTTTTCAGTTATATGAACCTTTTGGCTTAAACCATTTGAGAGTTGGTTGTTACTTTTTTTCTACTTGCAACTTACAGTCCTGACTAATATGAAGACTAATGATACACAGGGTTGTAAAGCTGGAGTGAGGAAATCTATGTAAAGTTCTTGGTACATGGTGATATGGCTTGGCTGTGTCCCCACCCAAATCTCATCTTGAATTGTAGCTCCCGTAATTCCCACATGTTGTGGGAGGGACCCAGTGGGAAGTAATTGAATCATGCGGGTGGGTTTTTTCCATGCTGTTCTCATGATAGTGAATAAGTCTCATGAGATCTGATGGTTTTATAAAGGGGAGTTCCCTGCACATGCCCTCTTGCCTGCTACCATGTAAGACGTGACTTTGCTGCTCCTCATTTACCTTCTGCCATGATTGTGAGGCCTCCCTAGCCATGTGGAACTGTGAGTCAATTAAACCTCTTCCCTTTATAAATTATCCAGACTCTGGCATGTCTTTATTAGCATTGTGAGAACAAACTGATATACATGGGAAACTCTCAGTAAATAACATTAATATCTACTTATTACTGACATTAATACTCTCACTACTAATTAATGGTTTTTATGATCTTCTCTTATGTAATTGCTAACATCAAAGTTTTGCAAGAGGTACGTAAAAGGGCAATCTAAGGAGGGGTTTTGAGTATTTAGGGTTTACAAGAGGTACCAGGACATCAAAGAGAAAGAACACTGAGGAAGGAAAATAGGCTTATAGGTGAACTCAGAAAATCGTTGTTGAATTGTTGTGGAATCAGAAGGACCAGAGGGAGACCTTGGAGTGTATGCAGGAGGATATCTTTATTGAGTGCACTCAGACCCAGCCGACTTAACATCCAAAGACTGGGCCAAGAACAAAGACAGCACTTGGCTTTTATGCACACTTTAAAAAGGGGTGGGCTAACTTGAAGCAGGCTTACAGCAGTGTGAAAGCAGGGATACAGAGGCAGGACAAAGACAGTTAATCAAATTGTAACAGGTTCATAACTCAGGGTTACACATGACCGTTGCTATGCAACCCAGATGTCCATTATCTAGGTTTGCCTAGTGCCTAGCATGGCTTATTCCATGGCCTGCACTATGGGCCCAGGTGGCCTGCTCAGACAGCTTGTGACCTTCACACCACTGCTTAGATAAAACAGAATACTTTAAGTCACCAGTTACAGAGAACAAGAATCTATAAACTCATACCATAAAACAAAGGAAAATTTGTTTTTCTTCTCCCTGTGTTGAGGGAGTGCTGGGAGAGTCTCCAGAGCACATTCCTTTGTGTCCTGCCTTCTTAGATAGTATTATCAAGACTTTCCCTGGGTCTGGGCTATGCCCGTTGCTGCCTCTGGGACAAGTCAGCCTAATACAGGAAAGCTTATTTCTCTTTTTAATTTTATTTTTCTTTCTTTCTTTAATTTCCTGCCTTAGAATGGATGATGAAGAAGATGAAAGAATTTATAAAGAGGCTCTCTTCTTCTAGTAGCAAGAGTTATATTCATTACGAGAGACCTACTCTGAGCTATGCACTGTGCTGGCTGTTGGAGCTACAGAGATGTTACGAAGCACTGTATCTTTTTTCATTTTTTTTTTTTTTTTGATACAGGGTCTGGCTGTATCACCCAGGCTGGATGCAGAGGAGCGATCATGACTCACTGCAACCTCAACCTCCCTTACTCAAGCAATCCTCCTACCTCACCCTCCCAGGTAGCTGGGACCACAGGTGGGTGCCATGCCCAGCTAATTTTTTTTATTTATTTTTTTTATTTTTAGTAGAGATGAGGTCTCACTATGTTGCCCAGGGTGGTGTCGAACTCCTGGGCTCAAGTGATCTTCCACCTCAGTCTTTCTAAGTTCTGGGATTATAGGTGTGAGCCACTACACTTAGCCTGTATATGTTTTCAAGAAGTTTTCAGCCTGGTGCAAGGGTTGAAAGCCCAGGTACTTATGGGTTCCAGTCTGGTAACATAAACAAGGGAAGTGAGCCAGGTGTGAGGAAGGAACATGAGTAAAAGAAATACTTCACTTTCTTATTAATCCACTGTAAGAAAGAAATATTTTGCAAGAATAATGACAAATGGTTCCTGACATAAGGCTTTAATGTCAGGGAGACAGTAGGGCGTGGTAGGGACTGTGAAGAAACAGAAAAGGCATGGGTATCCAAAAGGGACCGCTGCTGGGAGGGCTGGACCCATGTTGCTGGATTTCCAGTTTATTGAGAGAAGCCAAAAATCTGGATTTTAATGTGAAATCTCTTAATTTTTAGTTTCTGGAGATGAACGCAAACAGCTCAAAAACACCATGTGGCCCCAAATGGAGCAGGCCAAAAAAAGCAGGATTCTGTCTGAATGCCAGACCTGAGTCTGAGGGTCCAGTATATGTTCTGCAGTCCACTGGGAGGGACAGATGGGTGTAGGGGCAATTGAGATGCAGCTTGGTAAGTGCAAAGACAGAAAGATGTGGTGTGATGTACACAGAAGAAGAGCTGGAGGGTTTTTGAGGAGGAGGCCTAGAGGAGGACTCAGGTAGGTCAAGAACAGTGCCTGAGTTGGCACTGGGGTCGGGCAGTGTAGTCAGAGGAACAGCATAGGGGAGTGCAGTGGGTCAGGACCCAGTGGGCTGGCAAAGCTCAGATGGGGGTGAGGAACCGGATCTGAGCTGGGGAGGCGGGCAGGGCAGCATGGAGCACAGCCTTGACAGAATTGTCAGTCTGTTTATAAACTGTGATTTTCCTAATTGTAATTTCTGCTCCTTTTGATAGAAAACTAGAGGTTGTTTCTGTGCCCCCAAACCAAACACTTCCTGTAATAAAAAGAAGCCCTTTCAGCTATTGAAGTTGGCAACAGCCCTCCCCCCCCTCCTTTCCTCCCCCTCACTCCCCCTCATCTGTGTCACATTCTCACTCCCATGATATTCAAGAAAATAAATACTTTTGACCTTTGTCAGAACACCTTGGACTTGCCAGCACAAAAAGAAACAATTTGCACAGGAGGAAATGTTTTCATTCTTCCCAAATTGCTCCCTTTTCTCCATGTCCAAAGCCAAATGTAGTCGATGATTCAGAGGTGGCAGGGGTGTCCAGCAGGGCTGGGTGTCAGGAGCCAGTTCTAGTCCTGGGTTTGCAGACTGATTCATTGTGTTGCTGTGGATAAGACTGGGCCCCATGTGCTCGATGGCCGAGAAAGCAGTAGGTTGGATGGTCTCCAAGAATCTGAGGTCTCTGCTCTTCCATCGGGACTTGGATCTGGACCTAACGTCAGTTTGGGCCTTGTCCCTCTAGCCAGTACATCTAGCCATGTGCCAGCTGCTCTGCCAAACTCTAGCCATGCATAATTTCACTTAATCCTCAGACAAGTCCAGGAAGTGGAGAGTGTCACCCTACCTTCCCACCTTATAGAAGAGGAGGCTGAAGTTCAGGGGAGTTAAGCAATGGCAATTTTTTTTTGAGATGGAATCTTGCTCTGTCACCCAGTCTGGAGTGCAATGGCATGGTCTTGGCCCACTGCAATCTTCACCTCCTGGATTCAAGCAATTCTCCTGCCTCAGCCTTCCGAGTAGCTGGAATTACAGGCGCCTGCCACCACACCCAGCTAATTTTTGTATTTTTAATAAAGATGGGTTTCACCATGTTGGTTAGGCTGGTCTCGAACTCCTGACCTCAGGTGATCCGCCGGCCTTGGCCTCCCAAAGCGCTGGGATTACAGGTGTGAGCCAGTGCGCCTGGCAATTTGCCCAATGTAAAAGCTTATATGTATGACCTCAGACTACACTATTTGAGGTCAGGCGCGGTAGCTCACTCCCATAATCCCAGCACTTTGGGAGGCCGAGGCAGAGGTCAGGAGTTTGAGACCAGCCTGACCAACATGTCGAAACCTCGTCTCTACTAAAAATACAAAATTAGCTGGGTGTGGTGGTGCATTCCTGTAAGCCCAGCTCCTGGGGAGGCTGAGGCAGGAAAATCGCTTGAGCCTGGGAGGTGGAGGTTGCAGTGAGCTGAGATCGTGCCACTGCACTCCAGCCTGGGCAAGAGAGTGAGACTGTCTCAAAAATAAATAAATAAATAAATAAAGACCACATTATTTTCCAACTTCAGTACCACTCCCTGGAGATCACCTCTTTTAATCATTTTCTCCCTAAATATAAACAACAGTGCCACGGTCTGAATGTTTGTGTCTCCTTAAAATTCATATGTTGAAATCCTAGCCTCCAAGGTGATGGTATTAGAAGGTGAGGCTTTTGGGAGGTGATAATGGGATCAGTGGCTTTATAAAAGAGGCCTGAGTGAGACCTCTTGACCTTTCACCATGTGAAGATATAGCAAGAAGGTGCTGTCTATGAACCAGAAAGAGACCCTCACCACACACCGAATCTGCAAGCATCTTGATCTTGGACTTCTCAGCCTCCAGAACTGTGAGAAATAAATTTCTATTGTTTAGAAGCCACCCAGTTTATGATATTTTGTTATAGCAGCCTGTCTTAGTCTGTCTGTGTTGCTGTAAAAGAATACTCGGAGCTGGGTTTATTTTGGCTCATGGTTCTGCAGGCTGCCCGAGAAGCATGGCACCAGTAACTGTTTCTGGTGAGGTCTTCAGGCTGCTTCCATTCATGGCAGAGGGCAAAGGGGAGCTGGTGTGTGCAGAGATCATATGGAGAGAAATGAACCAAGAGAGGGGGAGGTTCACAGGCTGTTTTTAACAACCAGGGAACTAATAGAGCAAGAACGCCCTCATTATCAATCACTAGGACAACACCAAGCCATTCATGAGAGATCCTACCCATAACCCAAACAACTTCCATTAGCATCCCTCCAACACTGGGGATTACATTTCAGCCTGAGATTTGGAGGAGTCAAAGAAACCATGTCCAAACTATAGCACAGCGTGAACAGACTAGGATGAATGTCTGGGCAAATGGACCATTCCCTGTAGTCTACTTGCAATCTCTGCTCTCTCCACCTCCAATTGTTTGACATTTATATGCTTATTTGCAGTTCTCTCATTTCTCCTCATAAATTCAATTAATATAACTCCTATTTTCTTATTTCGTCACATGGACAACACCTCTTAACATTCTGCTTTCTGGCCGCGCGCCTTGGCTCACGCCTGTAATCCCAGCACTTTGGGAGGCTGAGGCAGGTGGATCACTTGAGGTCAGGGGTTCGAGACCAGCCTGGCCAACATGGTGAAACCCTGTCTCTACTAAAAATACAAAAAATTAGCCAGGTGTGGTGGGGCAGGCCTATAGTCCCAGCTACTTGGGACGCTGAGGCAGGAGGATCGCCTGAACCTGGGAGGCAGAAGTTGTAGTGAGCCGAGATCACGCCACTGCACTCCAGCCTGGGCGACAGAACGAGACCCTGTCTCAAAACAAACAAACAAACAAATAAATAAATAAAATAAAATCCTGTTTTCTAAGATGGTTTACTTTTCTCTCCATCTTTCCTCTCTGCTTCCCGTTTCCATTTTTTTGTCAGCCTCACTTTTGTTTATAAATTGTCATTTTTTAATGGGGACGAGACCTCAAAGGTTTCTCCCTACCCCTACCCAGTTCTCATTTCCTTTGGATATACTGAGAATTACATTTCTCCACCCTTTTTAGTTGAGTGTAACCATGTGACTAGTTATGGCCAATGAGTTGTGAGAGGAAGTGATCTTTGTTACTTCTGGGCTGGAACATTTGATAGCTGGTGTGAGCACCACCACCACACACACACACACACATACACACACACACACACACATTTCCTTCTCCCCTGGTGTCATACCTTACAGCATTCCCTATGGTAGAGCCTCTGAGCCATCCTCAGGAGAACAGAGCCCCCTGCCACTGTATTGTCAATGTGTAGTATGTCAAAGACATAAACCTTTGTTGTCTTAAGCCTCTGACAGTTTGGATTTATTTACTACAACAGCATAATAAAGTTTATGGAACTCAACCAAGCATTATCCAAGTATCTTCTGACTGATATAGTTAACATTATGTTCTGTCCTACAACTATAACCAAGACTTTAGTGTTTTCTTCTTACTTTAAATAAACAGACTACAAAAACCCAAACTTCCTCTGTCCTGGCAAGTCTGAAAATGCCTTTACTTTGCCCTCACATTTGATTATGTTTGGCTGAGACTAGAATTCCAGCTTAAAAATCTCTTCCAAAACTTTCAAGATAATGCACTATTGATGTCTGGCTTTTGGCTTCTGATGAGAAATCTGATACTGGTCTGATTCTCTTTCCTTCATAGATGAATATTTTTTAAACATCAGTGGAAAACTTTTAGAATCTTTATAATAGATTATGTTTGACAGAATCTCTTTTTCCTCATATTTTCTCTGTCTTTTCCATTTTTGTTTATTATTTAAGTATTTATTTTTTAGAGACAAGGTCTCACTTTGTTGCCCAGGCTGGAGTGCAGTGGTGCCATCATAGCTCACTGAAGCCTTGAACTCCTGGGTTTAACCAATCCTCCTGCCTCAGCCTCCCAAGTAGCTGGGATTACAGGCGTGCAGCGCCACACCCAGCTAATTTCATTTCTGTCTTTTTTTTTTTTTTTGAGATGGAGTTTCGCTCTTGTTGCCCAGGCCGGAGTGCAGTGGCGCGATCTCAGCTCACTGCAACCTCTGCCTCCCGGGTTCAAGCGATTCTCCTGCCTCAACCTCCCGAGTAGCTGGGATTACAGGCATGCGCCACCACGCCCGGCTAATTTTATATTTTTAGTAGAGACGGTGTTTCTCCATGTTGGTCAGGCTGGTCTCAAACTCCCTACCTCAGGTGATCTGCCCGTCTCAGCCTCCCAAAGTGCTGGGATTACAGGCATGAGCCACCGGCCTGGCCCATTTCTGTCTTTTTCTCATACACTCAGATAAACACCACCCATGTCCAGAAACACATTATTACCAACAACTGGTTGGCCCCCTGTGCTTCTTCCCAGTCACTACACATTCCTTCTCCCCAAAGATTACTCAGCCTTGTTTTAACACTGTCAATTAGTTTCACCTGTTTTTAAAACTTTATATAAATGGAATCATATAGCAAGTCATTTATCCTCTTGAGGCCCCAGTTTCAGCAGCTGTAAATTGGGAGCAAAACTATAGCTGAAAGTTCATGGCAGATTGTAGGTGCTTAGTACATGTTTATTAGCTGTGTATAGCTCATAGTACCCTCAAATCACTTTCACGTATTTATTTTACTTCTGGTGGATTTGTGGCATAAAAACGGAGAATATAATAATTATCAGAGAACCTATAGTCATAGGATCTGATATGGGACGGATTGGGAGATAGAGAAACATTTTCTCCAGACATTGTATTTGACAAGATCAATTCTGCCAATTCACAAGCAACTCCCTAGGAATCTTATGGGGGTGGTGAACGTTGTGGAGCCATCCCCACGGTGAGCCTTACCCAGGAAACACTTGTGCACAGAATGATGGCTAAAGCCCGACTGCCTGGGTTCTAAACATGGCTCTGCCACCTTCTCTCTGTGGGACCTCAACGCAATTTACTTATTCACTCGAAGTCTCAGTTTTCATGTCTATGATAGGGGGACAATAACGTTACTGAAACAAACTAGGTTGGTTTGCCCCTGCACAACGGGAAGCCAAACTCTGAAGCACTGGGTTTTTGCAGTGAGAAAGGTTTATTGTGAGCCAAGTGACAAGGAGACAGGAGGAAATGCTCAAATCTGTCTCCCTGAGCTGGGAGCTGGATCGGGTTTTATAAGCACAGGGTAAAGAGAAGTGATCTGATTGGACCTTGCAATGAGGTGATGCAGTGAGGCCCAATCTGACTGGATCCTGTCATGGGGTGATGCCAGAGCACAGTCTGATTGGATCCTGCATTCACCTCAGAGCTGCTTCCTCTTCCTCTTCCTCTTCCCATTCCCCCTCCCCCTCCCCTTCTTCTTCTCCTCCTCCTCCTCCTTCTTCTTCTTCCTCTTCTTCTTCTTCTTCTTCTTCTTCTTCTTCTTCTTCTTCTTCTTCTTCTTCTTCTTCTTCTTCTTCTTTTCTTCTTCTTCCTCTTCTTCTCCTCCTCCTCCTCCTCTTCCTCTTCCTTCTTCTTCTTCAAAATATTTTTTGGTAGAGATGAAGTCTTATTCTGTTGCCCAGGCTGGTCAAGAACTCCCGAGCTTCTTAATTCAGTCACTGTTCCTTGGTCCCAGGGCTTATGGTCCCCCTGTGGTTGCATGTTTGGTTCATCTGGGCATGCTCAGGTTATGTGACCTTCAACCTGGAAATCCATGGTAACAGAAAAACAATTCCCAACTTTGTTACATAAAAGTTAAACCACATTCCTCTAGTGCAGCTACAATAATATCTACCTTAGTGTTGTTAAAAGGATTAAGAGATAAGATGCAAATAAAGTGCTTAGAACAGTGCTGACATGTAAATATTCAACAAATATTAGCTAATATTCATTCCAAGCTGACGAGGAGGCTGGAAATAAAAAATTTCAGCAGGTATTAATGGGAACAGGGAATTTCTCCTAACAGCATATTTATTAATAATAATTGGAAGAGTAAAAATGCTAGATAGCTGATTCTTTTTCCTTGGTTTCTTTCACCAACTTTTCTATTTCCAAACAGTTCTTGTTTTTTAATGAAATTATGATGATGATAGTAAACAGTCTGTTTTTTTTCCCTGTCCTTATCTGACCATGTTGGGTCAACCTCATTCCACTTATTCCTTTCTCCTTCTTTTTTCTTCTTTTCTCCCCACTCCTTCCCATCTCCTCCTTCCATATTTTTTGGGTCAAGTTTCTTCAGGTATAATGTACATGAAGTAAATTCATCCTTTTAAATAAACAGTTTTATGAGTTTTGATTAACATATGCAGTTTTGATAAACACATCTGCTCCACAATGAAGATATAGAACAGCCCCTATCACTCCAAAAGATTCCCAACTCTTTTTTTCCCAAACGCTTTTTTTTTTTTTTTTTTTTTTTTTTTTTTTTGAGACGGAGTCTCGCTCTGTCGCCCAGGCTGGAGTGCAGTGGCGGGATCTCGGCTCACTGCAAGCTCCGCCTCCCGGGTTCACGCCATTCTCCTGCCTCAGCCTCCCAAGTAGCTGGGACTACAGGCGCCCGCCACTACGCCCGGCTAATTTTTTTGTATTTTTAGTAGAGACAGGGTTTCACCGTTTTAGCCGGGATGGTCTCGATCTCCTGACCTCGTGATCCGCCCGCCTCGGCCTCCCAAAGTGCTGGGATTACAGGCGTGAGCCCAAACGCTTTTAAGAATTTCTTTTTATTACTTGTTTTCAATGACTTTGATTATATATGCGTTGGCGTACTTTTCTTTATGCTTTTTTCCACTTGGAGTTCTTTCAGGTTCTTGGATTTGTGGGTTTATATTTTTCATCAAAATTGGGAAAATTTCAGCCATTATTTCTTAAAATATTTTTGTGGTCCCTTCCCTTTCTCTCTTCTACTTTTTTGGGACCTTTGGATTACATGTATTTTACGCCACTTGATATCATCCCATAGATGACTGAGGCTCTTTCATCTTTTCCTCTTTTTTTCTCTGTGCTTCATTTTAGATCTCTTCTATTACTATGCCTTGAAGTTTTTAATCTTTTATTTGGCAGTGTCTAATCTTCTGTTAATCTTATCTAGTGTATCTTTCTTTTCAGGTCTTATATTTTTCATCTCTACAAATTTCATTTTGTTCTCTTATATCTTCCATGTCTTTCCTCACTATGTTGATGGTTTCCTCTACATCATTTTGTATAAGAAGCCTATTTGTAATAGCTGCGTTAACACCCTTGTTGGCTAATTCCATCATTTCTGTGATTTCTGGGTCTATTTGTGTTAATTGATAGTAAAAATTTTCATGCTTGATAATGTTTTATAGGATGCTAAATGTTTTTTGTGGGGTTTTCTTGAGACAAGTCTCGCTCTGTTGCCCAGGCTGGAGTGCATTGGCACAATCTCGGCTCACTGCAACCTCTGCCTCCTGGATTCAAGCGATTCTTCTGCCTCAGCCTCCCAAGTAGCTGGGATTACAGGTGCCCACCACCATGCCCAGGTATTTCTTTTGTATTTTTAGTAGAGAGGAGATTTCACTATGTTGGCCAGGCTGGTCTCAAACTCCTGGTCTCAAGTGATCCGCCTGCCTCAGCCTCCCAAAGTGCTGGAATTACAGGCTTGAGCCATCATGCCCGGCCAAGAATGCAAATGTTTGAGTCAGCTCAGGCTGCTATGACAAAATGTGATACTGCATATAGCTTAAAGAACAGACATTTATTTCTCACCATTTTAGAGCCTGGGAAGTCTACAATCAGGTGCCAGAATGGTTAGGTTCTGGTGAGAGCCTTCTTCCTGTCTTGCGGGTGGCTGCCTTTCTGTTGTATCCTCACATGGTGGCGGGCAGGGGGTTGGGGGTAGAGAGAGAGAGAGAGAAAGAAAGATCTCGTGCTTCTTCTTGTAAGGGCACTAATCCTGTCATGAGGTCTCTGCCCTCATGACTCAGTTACCCCCCAAAGACACCATCTCCAATTACCATCACATTGGTTTCAACATATGAATTTGAGGGAGAACAGTTCATTGAATAGCACTGGATATTGTAAATTTTGTAATTGGGTGCTGGATTTTATTGTGTTTCTTTAAGTAGTATTGAACTTTGTTTTGGGACACTGTTAAATTACATGGGATCATCTAGGTTCATTTTAGCCTTGCTTTTAAGATTTTCAGAGGCAGGTTCTGAATAGCCTTTGGTCTACGGCTAATTTAGCCTCATGACTGAGATGAGTCTCCTTATGAGGGCTCTGCTTGATGCCCGATATATTAAGAAGTGTCTGCATTTTAACTGTTGGAATCACAAACAATTTCTCACCTTATATGAGCTCTTTAGCCTACTGCTTTCCAGCAGATTCCCCCCCGGCCTTGGGTACTTTTTCTCACATATGTGTAAATCAGTACACAGCCAAAGACTCAAGAGGGCCCCTTGGAGATCTCTGAGGTTGAGAACTCTGGACTCCTCTTCAACACTCTTACCTGTAAATTCTAGCCACTTTGGCCATTCTGCTTGAGTTTCCCTTCTATGAGCTGCATTGTGAAAACTGTCTCCACACAGGAAGGGGTGATCTTAAGGCTCATCTCATTTTTTTTCTCTCAGGAATCATAGTCTTCATTGTCTGTTGTCCAGTATATGGAAAGCATTGTTTCATATCATTTTGCCTGTTTTCCTAATTGTTTAAGGGAGGATCAATCTGGTCTCTATTACTCTATCATTACTGACAGCAGAAGTCTTTGCCCAACACTTTTGAGAAAAAAATTATACATCTGGAAGATCTGAAAGTCTGAAAAACACTGCTATAGACCTGTTAACTCTCTTCAAAACCGTCCCGGGAAAAAAATCCTTTATAATGTAGGATTTGACCAATCTAGATCAAAATTGCACAATTTCCCCTCCTTGAAATTAAGGACCAAGAAGGGTGGGGAAAGGAGAGAGAAAAAGGAGAAAGGAAACATGAAGGTGTTCTCTCCTTGCTATGGTTTGAGTGTGTGTGTCTCCCCTGAATTTATAAGTTGGAACCTAAGACCTGTTGTGATAGTATGAAGAGGTGGGGACTTTAGGAGGTGATTAAGACATAAGGGATCTACCTTCATGAATGGGCTTAGTGCCCTTATAAAAGAACTAGCTAGGCCCTTTTAGACCTTCCATCTCTTCTGTCATGTGAGGACACAGTATTCATCCTTTTTTGCCCCCTTCCACCATGTGAAGATGCAGCAAGAAGATGCTATCATGAGGCCGGACGCAGTGGCTCACACCTGTAATCCCAGCACTTTGGGAGGGTGAAGCGGGCGGATCACTTGAGGCCAGGAGTTCGAGACCAGTCTGGCCAACACAGCAAAGCCCCATCTCTACTAAAAATACAAAAATTAGCCAAGTGTGATGGCCTCTGCCTGTAATCCTAGCTACTTGAGAGGCTATGTCATGAGAATCACTTGAACCTGGGAGGCGGAGGTTGCAGTGAGCTGAGATCATGCCACTGCACTCCAGCCTGGGCAACAGGGTGAGAGTCCATCTCAAGCAACAAAGAAGGTGCCATCATGAGAGCAGAGAGCAGCCCTTACCAGACGCCAAATTTGCTAGTATCTGTATCTTGATCTTGGACTTCCCAGCCTCCAGAACTGTGAAAAAATAAATTTATCTTCTTTATAAATTACCCAGTCTCAGCTATTTTGCTATAGCAGCACCAATGAACTTGGATACCCCCCAGCACCAAGAAATTCATTCTGCCTGATTTGGAGGCAGCATAATTGTTGACAGCACAGGCACAGGTGCTAACTGCCTGGGTTCAAGTCCCAGCTCTGCCATTTGTAAGCTTTCCTTGGGCTGGTTACTTGACCACTCTGTGCTTCAACCTCCTCATTTGTAGAATATGATGATGGCACTATTAGTGCCTACCTCTTAGGTACTAATATTAGGTACCTTCTTAGGGTTGTTATGAGAGTTAAATAAATTAATGTTTTTTTGTTTGTTTGTTTTTGAGACGGAGTCCCGTACTGTCATCCAGACTGGAGTGCAGTGGTGTGATCTCGGCCCACTGCAACCTCTGTGTCCTGGGTTCAAGCGATTCTCCTGCTTCAGCCTCCCAAGTAGCTGGGATTACAGGCACACACCACCAGGCCCAGCTAATTTTTTTTCTATTTTTAGTAGCGACGGGGTTTCACCATGTTGGCTAGGCTGGTCTCAAATTCCTGACCTCATGTAATCCACCTTCCTTGGCCTCCCAAAGTGCTGGGATTACAGGTGTGAGCCACCATGCTTGGCCAGTAAATTAATGTTTATAAAATACTAAGGACAGTGAATGGTACATAGCAAGCACTATGTAAGTGATTGATTAAAAGTATGAGTTTTTTTTTCATTAAAGAAGTAATACATATTTAGTGCAGATATAGAAGTTCACCAGGGTGGAGAAGTGTGGCCTGCTGAAGCTGTCTGTCTTCCAAGATACCTCTTAGGTTGGATTTCCTTAATGCAGCATATTTGCTCAAGCCTAGCTCTCAATCTTGCAGGTGTGGGAGAAACAAAGCTTGCCATGGTGGCTGGATCAGATCTATCAAAGGCAACTTCCATCTCTATAGTACCAACCACTGGGAGGCCCCAGCACGACTGTGTATTCAGCAATGCTCTCTGCCCAGTGAAAAATTTACACCTTCTTTATTGGGCAAAAATAACCACACAAAACTGGTCGCCTCTGCTTTCTACAACTCAAGTGGCCATGTAAAGTTTTCTTTAACAAACATGTTTTATAACAACTAGTTAAACAGTTACGAGTTTTATGGTTTAAAGATTGTATTTACAATCTGTGTAGTCCTACAGCAGTATCTCTCAGAAAGCCACGTGTCTTCTCATTAAATATTGCTGAACATGAGGAAAAATGAACAACTGTAATATAATCAGGAAAAATTTATATATATATTATTTCTTACTTTTTAAAAATTATGGTAAAATACTCATAACATAAAACTTACCATCTTAACAATTTTCAAATGTACAGTTCAGTGGTATTAACTGCATTCGTACTATTGTGCCATCGCCACCATCCATCCAAAAACCTCTTTTAGTCTTGCAAAACTGAAACTCTGTACTTATTTGACAATATCTCCCCATTCTTCCCTCCACCCAGCCCCTGGCAACCCCCATTATACTTTCTGCCTCTGTGAATTTGACTAATCTAGGTACCTCATATAAGTGGAATCATAAGGTATTTGTCTTTTTGTGACTGGCTTATTTCACTTAGCATTGTGTCTGCAAGGTTCACTTACGTTGTAGCATGGGTCAGAATTTGCTTCCTTTCTAAGACTGAAGAATGTTCCATTGTATGCATGTATCACACTCTGTTCATTCATTTATTCATCAATGGACACTTGGGTTGCTTCCACTTTTGGCTATTATGAATAATGTTGCTGTGAACATTGGTGTACACATATCTCTTTAAAACTCTGTTTTCAATTCTTTTGAATATATACCCAGAAGGCAAATGGCTGCATCATATGGTAATTCTGTTTTTTTAATTTTTTGAGGAACTGCCATTCTGTTTTCCATAGTGGCCGCATCATTTCACATTCCCAAAAACAGTGCCCAAGGGATCCAATTTCTCTACATCCTATACAACACTTGTTTTTTTTTTTTTTTTGACTTATTGATAGTAGCCATCCTAAAGAGTGTGAGATGATATCTCATTGTGGTTTGATTTGCATTTCCCTCATGATTCCTTTCTTTTTTAAGAAACAAATAAGAAATAGCTTACATACAGTTATAAGATAAAGTGCCATATCTTACCAGCATGGCAGAATGAAATAGCACACATGCATATACCTGTGAAACCGCCACCAGATTAAAATATAGAACATTCCCAGCATTCCAGAAGGCTCCCTCATTCCCCTCCCAGTCAGTAAGCTCTAAGATAGCCACTCTTCTGGGGCACGTATAGTTTTCATCTATCCTGTGGCTTTTGCCCCACCAGACCAATTTCCAACAACGCCCTTGGCATATTGTTCTATTACAGTCACAGCAATGTTAACATTCTACATAACCTTCTCTTGCTTATCTTGCTGAGAGGGCAATTTCAGTGCAGTATTTAAAATTCTCCAGGTACTTATGTCCTCCAAATTATTTCCCGTCTCTTACAAGTCTTCTTATCAAATTCAATTGTGACTTCACACTTCTGTAACCAAGATTTGTTTGATTCTACACAAGTTTAGCAGCTGATGTCTTCCCTCAGAAGTGGAATTACATTTACCAAGCTCATGAGACTGAGATGGAAAATCGGAATGTCAATGTATTCATTGATAACATGAAATATAATTGTTAAGCAGACTGACATCTACTCAGCAAAACCAGCACATTCTTTCCTGAAGGCAGATCCAAGTGAAAAGCCAAATTACACAGAGGGTGGCTTGGTGAGCATTTAATCATTCAACATGATCTACTAAAAGACAATTACATGTCAGGGACTGTGCTGGACACTAGGTGGAGAATAGTGAATAAGAAAGACAGGGCTCTGTGCTTGTGGATCCTAAAGTGTAGGAAAAAGACAAGTCCTGAACATATAATCAGACTTGTAGGTTAAAGAAAAAAAAAAACTGTGTATCTTAGACTCTGCTTTCCCTAGATCCACTAAAATAACAGTACAGGGATTTTTTTAAAAGGCAGTACATTCAGACAGGGGTCAGCAAACTATGGTCCGCAGGCCAGATCCAGCCTGTTGGATCTGGCTAAGAAAATAGTCCACATATTGTCTGTGGCTGTTTTCATACTACAATGACAGAGTGGAGTGGATGCAATGGAGACCATATGGCATCCAAAGCCAGGAATGTTTACTACCTGGCTACTGAGAAAATTTGCCAATCCCGGTTCTTGAGCAGCACCGTTCAATGGAACTTTCTGCAGTGATGGAAATGTTCTGCACTGTCTGATGCAGTAGCCAGCCACTACCTTTGTGTGGCTATAGAGCACTTGAAACGTGACTAGTGCAATTGAGAAGCTGAAAGTTTATTTTATTTTAATTACATTTATTTATTTATTTATTTCTGAGACGGAGTCTTGCTCTGTCACCCAGGCTGGAGTGCCAAGTGGCATGATCTTGGCTCACTGCAAACTCTGCCTCCTGTGCTCAAGCAATTCCCCTGCCTCAGCGTCCCGAGTGGCAGGGATTACAGGCACTCGCCACCACACCTGGCTAATTTTTATATTTTTAGTAGAGATGGGGTTTCACCATATTGGCTAGGCTGGTCTCAAACTCCTGACCTCAAGTGATCCACCTACCTTGGCCTCCCAAAGTGCTGGGATCACAGGTATAAAATAGGCCTGGCCTATTTTAATTAAGTTTAAATAGCCACATGCGACTAGAGGGTACTTTATTGGATAGCAAGCTGCAGACTACAAGACAAGGGGTATCTGGCTTGAGAGACACCAAGCATAGTGAAAGATAGGGTCTTCGGACTGAAAGCAGAAGGATTAAGTGAAAGTTCACATAAGGGAGGTTGAGATGCTCTGCCCAGTTGCTTCTCGGGCTTCTTTCCCAGCCTACACTCTAGAATGCTGACTCTGAGCAAATAATGCTGATCCTAAACAAATAATGAGACTCCTAGGTTGAAAAAAAAGACTATTAGCAGGTATGGTGGTACGTGCCTGTAGTCCCAGCACCTCAGGAGGCTGAGGTGGGAGGATTGCTTGAATCTGGGAGGTCAAGGCTGCAGTGAGCCATGATCACTGCACTCCAGCCTGGGTGACAGAGTGAGACCACGTCTCAAAGAAAAAAAGAAAGAAAAGAAAAACTGCACTGCCCAGGACTATACTCTCTAAGGGAGGATTATCCTCTCCTAAAAAGAAGCTAGAAGAGTCTTTTCTGGAGAATTTGACCAGTTCAGAAGGAAAGATGTAAAGATCCTGATACTGATGACTAATGAATAGTCATCAAAGCTCATAGTTAATAAGCCCTGCTCACATGCACATAGCTTCCAATAACTTTTAGTCTAAGTCTCATCCTTCAATATAAGCAAACTGTCAAGGAGCATCATAGGTTTTTATTATTTTTTTACTTAGGCTAATACAATGTAAAGAATAGTAGATTTGAGGAGAGTCTGTAATAAATAAGAAAGAGACCAAACAGATAAACAGACTTCGGCAAAGACATATGGAAACCTGTTTTATTAAATTAGGACATCCATGAAGTTGGATTATGAGAAAAATTGTCTTTATTTTCACAAAGTTCAGCTCAAACTTAGCATTTTCTTCAATTATGAAAATAAAGAAGAGACTGTAGTAGTATTCGTGTTCCTGTGACTTCATCAGCAATAGAAATCAGGTATTTTCCCCATCACATTGCTGTTGTTGAAATTATTTCAAAATATCACTTACGTTCATCACAACTTTGAAATCATGGTCATTATTAGACATGTTCCAAATCTTGTAAAAGCACATATGTTATTCTATGACTGATTTACTTTTTAAACATTTTGATAAATGTACTTTAACACGAATGATTTCTTTTATAATCCTATATATATAATTTTATTAATAAAAAAATATTATGCTAAGAAGGCATCCTTGAGCTCCACCAGACTGCAAAGAACTTCATGTCACAAGAAGGGTTAAGAGCATCTATAATAATGTTATCTTTAGGACTATAAGTGGATGGGGGAAATGCAGATAATAATCATCAAGCACTATGTGCCAGATTTTAAAATTCACAATTCTGAGAGGTAGGCATTATTATTATTATTATTATTTTGTTAGTTTTCATTAGAATTTTGGAATGCTTGTGTTATCATTTCAATGGGATATTTGGAGAGAGAAGAGATGAACTGATGTGCTTAATCAGTCCTCTCAACCCATAAGTCCAGCTTCCTTTTGTGAAAATAGTATGTGTACATCATAAGCAAGTTAGAGAAGTGCAATAAGGACAGCAAAAATCACCCTTAACGCCCCTACCGGTTTGGTGAACATCGTTCCAGACAGCAATCTATGCATATAGACATAACTTTACACACCTAACTTATATAAAGATAAATGTATATGGGGACTTCAAAGAGTTTGGGGCAAAGTGAAATTAAAGATAAAAACAGAAAACATAAACTTTATTTCTCAACATAAGTTCTGTCAAGTTCAAGACACTTTTGTAAGTGATGATACTAGCCATTCAGTCCATCCCTAAAAAACTGAGGCCTGGGGATTTAGCCATGTCAATGTCATCTTTTTTTTACATTATTAACTAAAGAAAAATGGGTGTCCTTTAAAGATATTTTGAGATTAGGAAACAAAAAAGACATCAGAAGGAGCTGAATCAGGACTGTAAGGTGGATGCCTAATGATTTCCCATTGAAACTTTTGCAAAATTGACCTTGTTTGATGAGAGGAATGAACAGGAACATTGTCATGGTGGAGAAGGACTCTCTGGTGAGCTTTCCTGGGCTTTGTTTTGCTAAAGCTTTGGCTAACTTTCTCAAAATACTCTCATAATAAGCAGATGTTATTATCCTTTGGCTCTCTAGAAAGTCAGCAAGTAAAATGATCATCCCCCCAAAAACAGTTGCCATGATCTTTGCTCTTGACCAGCCTGCTTTTGCATTGACTGAACCACTTCCATCTCTTGGTAGCCATTGCTTTGATTGTGCTTTGTCTTCAGGATTATACTAGTAAATGTTTCATCCCTGTTACAGTTCTGTGGAGAATGCTTCAGGATTTTGATCTCATTTGTTTAAAATTTCTGTTCTTGTCTGCAGCTGATCTGGGTGCAAGACTTTTGGCACCCATCAAGTGTAAAGTTAACTTTAATTTTTCAGTTAAAAAAGGAGCAAAATAGGCCAGGCATGGTGGCTCACACCTGTAATCCCAGCACTTTGGGAGGCCGAGGCGGGCGAATCACGAGGTCAGGAGATCGAGACCATCCTGGCTAACGCGGTGAAACCCTGTCTCTACTAAAAATACAACAACAACAACAACAAAATTAGCCGGGCACGGTGGCGGGTGCCTGTAGTCCCAGCTACTCAGGAGGCTGAGGCAGGAGAATGGCGTGAACCCAGGAGGCGGAGCTTGCAGTGAGCCAAGATTGCACCACTGCACTCCAGCCTGGGCAACAGAGCGAGACTCTGTATCAAAAAAAAAAAAAAAAAAAGGAGCAAAATAAATGGACATAAATTGTCCCTGAGAAAGCCCAGACATTGGATTTACTAGCCAAAGACTTTAAATCAGCTACGTTCAATATGCTGAAAGAACTAAAGGAAATCTTGAATAAAAAACTCAAGGAAATCAGGAAAACAATGTATGGCGCTACATAGACATTCTGGAGCTGAGAAGTATAATAACGAAAATGAAAAATCTATTCCCTGGGCCTCATCCAGCCTAATTACATCAAAATCTTTGGAGGTGGTACTCCAACATCAGTATTTTCCAAAGCTCTGTCAAGGTTGAAAACCTTTGTCCCAGGGATTCTAGTTTAGGAGGTCCAGGGCTGTGAATGGCAACCACAGAGGCACATTAGCATCACCTGGAGAGCCTTAAAAAATGCTGATGTTCAGAACACTCTTCAGACCAATTCAATGAGAATCTTTGAGGGTAGGCACTGGGTATTGGTGTTTTAATCAAGCTTCCCTTACAATTTTTTTTTTTTTTCTGAGACACAGTCTGGCTCTGTCACCCAGGCTGGGGTGCAGTGGCATGATCTTGACTCACACTGCAGCCTCTGCTTCCTGGGCTCTAGCCATCTTCCCACCTCAGCCTCTTGAGTAGCTAGGACTACAGGCGTGCACCACCATACCTGGCTAATTTTTTGTATTTTTTTGTGGAGATGGGGTTTCACCATGTTGCCCAGGCTGGTCTTGAACGCCTGAGTTCAAGCCATCTGCCTGCCTTGGCCTCCCAAAGTCCTGGGGTTACAGGCCTGAGCCACTGTGCCTGGCCTTCCCTTAAAAGTTTCATGACCAGCCAAGGCTAGAAACTTGGAGAATCTCTTGCTGGTCCAGTCCTTCATATCTCCGAAAGCCTTTTTCAATTGAAATGCCAAGAGTCCCAGTATCTAATGTAGATACATTAATAACATTTGCTTATTCTCAAGTCCATTGATGAGAATATTGAGATTGGATTAAGTTATTATTGATTTCAGACTAAAAAATTATGGAGTGCCTGCTGGATGCCAGACCCTGGGAATGCAGCAGTGTACAAAACAGACACAGCCCCTGCTCTCATGAAGCATTTGTTCTAGCACAAAAAATTTACATAATTATGACAAGCAGTAAGAGAAGAGACAAGAGAATGGGGGTTGGGGCATGAGAGCTACTATTTTGGATAGGGTGGTCAGGGTATCGCTGAGTAGCTGACATTTGAGAAGAGGTCTGAAGGAAATGAGAGTAGTCCAGTACTGTGGGATACCTAAGGGAAGAGCTGTTGATTTTAGCAAAAGTATTTGAAATGCTCTTGTGGTTTGTTTTTTGTTTGTGTGTGTGTTTTTTGAGATGGAGTCTCGCTCTTTTGCCAGGCTGGGGTGCAATAGCGTGATCTTGGCTCACCGCAACATCTGCCTCCTGGGTTCAAGCGATTCTCCTGCCTCAGCCTCCCGAGTAGCTGGGATTACAGACACCTGCCATCATGCCTGGCTAATTTTGTATTTTTATTAGATATGGCGTTTCTCCATGTTGGTCAAGCTGGCCTCAAATTCCCCACCTCAGGTGACCCACCCACCTTGGCCTCCCAAATTGCTGAGATTATAGGCGTGAGCCACTGCGCCCAGCTGAAATGCTCTTGGTTTAAGGATGACAATCTCACTCTCACAGTAGCCAATGTCTTCCTTTCATTGTGGGTACCTCTGTCTCTCTCTCTCTCTCTCTCTGTTTTTGTTTTTTTTGTTTTTGTTTTTGTTGTTTTTTTGTTTTTTGAGACAAGGTCTTGCTCAGTTACCCAGGCTGGAGTGCAGTGCTGCAATTATAGTTCACTGCAGGCTTGACCTCCCAGGCTCAAGTAATCCTCCCACCCCAGCCTCCTGAGTAGCTGGGACTACAAGCGCACATCACCACGCCTGGCTATTTTTTAAAGTTTTCTGTGGAGACAGGTCTACCTATGTTGCCCAGG
The DNA here is from genome assembly GCF_000001405.40 of Homo sapiens. Taxonomy (NCBI): domain Eukaryota; kingdom Metazoa; phylum Chordata; class Mammalia; order Primates; family Hominidae; genus Homo; species Homo sapiens. Next base: position 44,844,303 of record NC_000020.11, on the reverse strand, counting down.
CTGGTCTCAAGCTCTAGAGTTCAAGTGATCCTCCCATCTTAGCCTCCCACAGTGCTGGGATTACAGGTGTGAGCCACCGTGCCTGGCTTTGGGTACATCTCTTATCTGAGTCCGACTAACCTGGTTCCTCTGCTTTCCACTACCTGTGTGAACTTTGGGCAAGCCACATCATCCCTGAGAGTCTTCATGTCTTCAACTGTAAACTGCACATAGCAGTCATAACCATACCTACCTCACAGTAGGGTTGCTGAGAAGGGAAAACGAGCTACGGAAGTGTAGTGCAATGATTAACAATGAGAGTGCTTGGGTCAGCACTCATTCAAAGTGCTGGGGTCAGCCTGCTTTTGAAGTCTGGCTCTACCGTTTTCTAGCCATATAACCTGTGGCAAATTATTTAGCCTCTCTGGGTCTTTGGCTTGTGTGGTAGGCACAATCATGGCCTCCCAAAAATGCCCATGTCCTAAAACCAAACCTATGAATATGTTAGGTTACATGGCAAAGGGAATTGAGGCTGCAGATGGAATTAAGACTGCTAATCTGCCGGGCGTGGTGGCTCACTCCTGTAATCCCAGTGCCTTGGGAGGTTAAGGCAGGAGGATCGCTTGAGCCCAGGAGTTCCAGACCAGCCTGGGAAACATGGTGAAAGCCCATCTCTACCAAAAAAAAAAAAAAAAAAAGTGGTGCCCACTTGTAGTCCCAGCTACTTGGGAGGCTGAGGTAGAAGGCTTGCTTGAGTCCTACAGGCGGATGGAGGTTGCAGTGAGCCAAGATCACGCCATTGTACCCCACCCTGGATGACAGAGCCAAACCCTGTCTCAAAAAACAAAAACAAAAACAAAACCCTCCTAATTGCCTGACTTTAAGGCAGGGAGAGTATTCTGTGTTACTCTCTGGGTGGACCCAATGTAATCACGAAGGTCTTTAAAAGTGGAAGAGGGAGGCAGGAGAGGACATTCAGAGGGAAGAAGATGCGACTACAGAAGAACAGTTGGAGTGATAAGAAAGACTTGATCATTGTTGCTGGGTAGATGAACAAGGTCACTAGCCAAGGAATGCAGGTAGTCCCGGGAAGGAACGCAGCCCAAGGTGCCCATGTAGACTTGTAACCAGCAGAACTGTAAGATGACACATTTGCATTGTTTAAGCCACTAAGTTTGTGGCAATTTGTTGTAGCAGCAATAGGAAACTAACATGGCTTGTCAATTGAAAATGGGCAAAATGATAGTATTGGTGATAGCTGTTGTGAAACCTCAGTTCTTATCTTCTTAGTTTAAAATAATTTAACCAGCCGGGTGCAGTGGCTCACACGGGAGGCCGAGGCAGGTGGATCACTTGAGGTCAGGAGTTTGAGATCAGCCTGGCCAACACAGTGAAACCCTGTCTCTACTAAAAATACAAAAACAGCTGGGCATGGTGGCCTGAAATCCCAGCTACTTGGGAGGCTGAGGCAGGAGAACTGCTTGAACCCAGGAGACAGAGGTTGCAGTGAGCCAAGATCGCACCACTGCACTCCAGCCTGGATGACAGAGCGAGACTCCATCTCAAAAAATATTAATAATAAAATAAAATGATTTAACCCATTTCCCGTTTGCCCTGAAAATACTTGTGCAGCTGCAGCATTTACCCTGAGATAACTCTCGGGCAGACATCATTCTACAGCATTCTCTTTTTAGTAGTGGTATTTCCATTTACAAAATACAGTGATTCTCAATCACTGAAAATGTCAAATCCTAGAAAACATAGCATTCCTATGCATGATGTTAATTCTGTGGTGAATTTATGGCACCAAAATGGTCTGACAAGGAGGTGACAATGTTTTCAACATTCCACAACGATACTGTTATTGAGGTAGACCACAGAAATGGAAATAAAACTAAGAGGCCATGTGTCATTGTGGAATATAACGAGAATATGGGAACAGTGGACTCAGTTGATCAGATGCTCTCTTCTTATCCAACTGAGCACAAAAGGCACAAGGTTTGGTATAAGAAACTCTTTCGCCACCTTCTAAACATGGCAGTGCGGAACTCCTACATCCTGCTAGAGAAGGACAATCCTGAGGACACGATTAGCCATGTAAATTTCAGACTGACACTGATTGGAAGAATGCTGGAAAAGCACCCCAAGCCAGGGTGGTAACGTCTTTGAGGTCGTCTGTGCTCTGATGATGTCACACCTCTTCACCTGTCTGGAAGACACTTCCCCAGGAGCATACCACCTACATCAGGGAAACAGAGTCCAATTGGTGGCTGCAAAGTCTGCTGCTCACACAACAGGAATGGCAAGAAGATCTGACGAGAAAGGTGAAATTTTTGTGTGGAATGTGATGTTCTGCTTTGTGTTGTTCTGGGCTTTGCAATTCACCACATGAAAAAAAATTAAATACTGATCATCATATACATTTCTGTTACATTAGGATTAGAGACAAGTTCTGTTTAGAAATAAATAACTCCGGGCATGGTGGCTCATGCCTGTATTCCCAGCACTTTGGGACGCTGAGGCCGGTGGATCACTTGAGGCCAGGATTTCGAAACCAGACTGGCCAACATGGTGAAACCCCATCTCTACTAAAAATACAAAATTAGCCAGGTGTGGTGGTGGGCACCTGTAATTCCAGCTAGTCGGGAAGCTGAAGCAGGAGAATCACTTGAACCCGGGAGGCAGAGTTTGCAGAGAGCTGAGATCACAACACCGCATTCCAGCCTGACAGGTGACAGAGCAAGACCTTGTCTCAGAAAAGAAAAGAAAAAAAAGAAAGAAAAAAGAAATAAATAACTCCAAGAAGAGATTTTATATTTTATTTTCACATTGAAAATCAGTCAGATTTGCTTCAGCCTCAAAGAGCATGATAATGTAAAGTTAAATGAGTGCTGGCAGCCAGCTGCACTTTTTTTTTTTTCCTAAATGGCAGTGGGTTAAACAAGAGACACACAGCAAAGGAGATGCAGCACAGAGCAATTTATTGCAAAGGAGAAAGAATATTCTGAAAGTTAGGTACAGAATAGACAGTCCACCCTGAGGGATGATTCCGCGCGGGGAAACTTCCTTTATGGGAGTCTTACCTAAGGGGATAGGAAGAGGTGTTACTAGCAAGCATGTTTTGGATGGTCCTCTGGGTGAACATGTGCGGGTAGCACATGCTTGTTCATGCACTGCATGTCTCAGTAGCATCTTAAATCTCCACCCAGGGGTGTGTTTTTTACTATTATAATGAACAAGGGTCAGTCTGAGGACAGGTAAAATCAAAATGCACATACTCTTCCTAGGAGAAATTCCCTACTGGAGATAGCTTTGCTTGCATGAGCTGGACTACAATGCAAATGCTGGGGCTTACTGTGTTGACAGTCACGGTCACAGCCACGGTTCCTGTGGCCTGCGGACATGTTACTTCCTTGCCTATCTATCCCGCCTCAGTATGTATTTCCTAGGTTTGTCTAGAGGGTTATATGAATTCACAGCAATTCCAGGTGCATAAAAGTTGTGGTAGCTAAACTAGTGGTCTACCAAAGATGTCCACATCCCAATCTCCAGAACCTGTGAATGTTACCTTACATGGCAAAAAGGATCTAGTAGGTGTGATTCAATTAAGGATTTTGAGATGGGGGCATTATCCTGGTGGACTCAATATAATTGAAAATGGAAGAGGGAGGTAGGAGGGTTAGAATCTGAGGAGACATGACAATGAAAGCAGAGGCGAGGGTGTTTGTGTGTGGTGGGGAGAGATTGATTTGAACATGCTACACTGCCAGCTTTGAAGACGAAAGAAGGGGCCACAAGCCAAGGAATGCAGGTGACTTTAGAATCTGAAAAAAGCAAGGGAACGAGCTCACTAAACACAGCCCTGCTGACACAGTGATCTCAGGAATTCTGACCGCCAGAACTGTAAGAGAATAAATTTGTGTTTTTGGCTGGGTGTGGTGGCTCACTCCTGTAATCCCAGCAGTTTTAGAGGTTGAGGTGGGAGGATGGCTTGAGCTCAGGAGTTCAAAACCAGCCTGGGAAACATGGACACCCTATCTCTGAAAAAAAAATTTTTTTTATTAGCTGGATATGGTGGTGCATGCCTGTAATTCCAGCTACTCAGGAGGCCAAGGCAGGAGGCTCGCTTGAGCCTGAGAGTTCGAGGCTGCAGTGAGCTATGATCATGCCACTGAATTCTAGCCTGGGCAACAGAGTGACAACCTGTCTCTGAAAAAAAAAAAAAAAAAAAAAAAAAAAAAAAAAAAAAAAGATGTGTTTTTAAGCCACTAAGTTTGTGGGATTTTGTTATAGCAGCCACAGGAAACTAACATAGTGTTCCATGAATGTTAGCTACTGCCATTAGGTAGACGCTTTAGCGTGATGTCAGGCACACGGCTGGTGCACTTAGTAAATGACAGTAACAATGAGTAGAATTCACCAGGAGGGGCACACCAGGATGCCTCTACCTTTTCTGCTTGACTTTTGGCATCTTCAGTGTCTGAAATTTGAGGTTTGTGTTTTTAAATAAAATTCTAAATCAGCGACTTTGTTCTACCATTCAGGCCTAATTTCACACTTTAATGAATGTTCATCATTTTGTTACAGAGACAGGCAGTGATGATAGGGAACACCCCTCAGAGTGGAAGTCAGATAGCCTGGGCCCGGTCGCAGCTCTGCCTCTATCTGGCTGTGTGACTTAGGTCATCTTGCTTCCCCTCTCTGGGTTCATTTTCACCATTTAGAAAAGGAGGGAATTAATGTAATAATAACGACCATTTTTGGGATAGCTACGATATACAATGTATACCTGAAGTTTTTTTGAGCCTCACAAAACATGTGCAAAGTATTACCCCCATTTTAGAGAGGTTAAGTGATTCACCCAAGGTCAGAGCATTGGTATTTGGCAGAGCTTGGATTTGAAATCAGAGCTGTTTGACTCTTTTTTGGTGAACCTCTTTACCTTTCCCACGTTTCTCTGACCTCAATGCCATCTTTAAAGGACAGCTTTGGCCAGGCTCAGTGGCTCATGCCTGTAATTCCAGCAATTTGGGATGCTGAAGCGGGCAGATCACCTGAGGTCAGGAGTTCAAGACCGGCCTGGCCAACATAATGAAACCCTGTCTCTACTAAAAATACAAAAATTAGCCAGGCATGGTGGCACATGTCTATAATCCCAGCTACTCAGGAGGCTGAGGCATGAGAATCGCTTGAACCCAGGAGGCGGAGGTTGCAGTGAGCCGAGATCGTGCCACTGCATTCCAGCCTGGGTGACAGAGTGAGACTCCATCTCTAAATAAATAAATAAAGGATAGATTCATGTGGCTCCTGGTTTTCTCTGTAGGTTACCATGAGAACGAGGGCGGGGCTGCGAACAGCCGTAAGACCTTCCTCCAGCCCTCTGCCTTTCCACATGGGGACCCTGGAAATGGGTCCAGTTTGTGTGCTCCTGAGAACCTGTGACTAAGCCCCTTGGAGGCCTCCCTCGATCATGACCCATTTCCCATCTTACCTTTTGTGACAGACACTACTAGTTACTTAACCAATGCCTTTACTCCCTTTCTTACTTAGTAACAGAATCCCAGTTTTGTTTGAATGACAATATGCCCAGTTAAAAATACCCTTGCAGCTGGTCCTCTGACCCAGTTCTGACCAATGAGATGTACAGGAAAATCTGGATGAGGCTTCCTTGGAATCTCTTGTCTTCCTCATACAAAGGGGTAGGGAAAACTCATCAGGAACATGCCTTCTCTTCTTTGCTTTTGCTTTTATTCCTACCTGGAATGTAGGTGAGACTTCTGGAAGTGGGGCAGCCATCTTGTGACTATGAGGGTGAGAGCCAGCTGCTAAGGATAGCAGATCAGGAAGATAAAAAGAGCTTCAATCCTTAAGGATTTCTCTGAGCCTCTATACCCGCCTGGACTGCCTACCACTGGACTTCTTGTTGGGTGAGGGGAAAAAAACGGTATCTGGTCAGACTTGTTACATAAAACTCAATGTAATTTTGACTGACAAGTTCCCCAAGACAAGTCTCTTGTCTGTCCTGTAGCCCTGATATGTGGTGTTAATAAGCATCTGTGGTGACCCAAAAATAGACTTGGGGATGGAGAGATTGGCTGTGGCTCTGATTCTGAACTTGCTGATCCATCACCTGTTCCATTTGTGCTCTGAACAAGAGTACTGTTAATTACCAGTCCCCTCCGCCAGCCAGAGCACAGGGGGCTGTGTCTGTGTGCTCTCAGAGAAGTTCAAATATAGCTCAGGCTCCTCCACTGCTTTTGCTGAGTGTGCAGCATCTGCAAGTCTGGCAGCCCCGGTGCAGAGCAGGGAAGCTTTTCCTGGAAGGCTAGGTCTGAACAAGGGGCCAGAAGCCAGGGATGTCGGCAGGCCTGGCTCAAGTAAACAAGATTTCTTTCCTGGGAGGTGGGTGCAATACTTTCTAGTTAGTAGATCACAAAACCTGCTTTGGGTCAAATTAAGACCTAGAGGGTGAAGGGACAATGTGTTAGTTTCATTCTTTGGTTATATGCAACAGAAGTGAACTCTGTATAACTGGATAAAAAAAGTGTATTGGAAAAATATGGGATGGCTTACAGAATCATAGGCAGAGCTGAAAAATCAACTTGAGAGCGAAAAGAGTCATACTTCCAGGAGGTCTTGACAGCAGAAAGCAGCATTGGAATGACATATTTGGGTTATGAACCCGTTCTTCAGTTGAAGGAGGACAGGATGCCTTTACTGGAGTTTTTCTAGATGATCTTGGAGACTGGAAGAGTGGTTTACCAGAAGTAATGGAGGTTTCTAGTACCCAAAGAATGGTGAAAAGATGTTGGGCAGTACAAATTTTTAAAAAATATTCACTGAAGATAACATAGAATTGGTCAGGGGCATGGGTTTGGGGATCAGTCTGATCTTACTTAAAATCTTAGCTCTGCCCTTTACTGTTTGTCCTCAGTTAAGTCAATTAACCTCAGTTTCCTCACCTGTGTGTGATGAGAATGAGACATGTTTAAACCCGCTAGAATGTCAGCTGTATAAGAGCAGGGATTTGTGGGTTCCTTCCTTCCACTCTTATACCCCCAGCACCTAGACGAGTGCATGGCTCATCACCGATATTAATTGAATGGATGAATAAGCTTTACATTTGTCCCAGAATATTTCTTAGGTAGAAAGCTATTTTGTTGAAAATATAACAAGGTAGGTGCTTGGAGTGAAATGTGAGCATTGCTCCTGCCTCACTGCTTCACTCTGGGGAGGGCGAAGGAGATTCGGGCAGACATTGAGAGAGAGGAACAGATGCACACGCTATAGTCTCTCTACCTGACGCACCCCCAGCAGCATGCCGGCCCGCTTACTCACAAGCACGGTCCCTGTGCCCTCATACTCACAAGCTTTAGCTGAAAACAACTAGCCCTCATTGATGCAGGATGAATCCATCCCAGAAGTCTTCACGACTTCCGGGCACAACGTTGGCAGGTTACACTCTGCTCATAGGTTTAATGTGTTGAGAAGTCTGAAGTCAACACGCTCCTGTGTTTCACAGTGAACCATGACATCATGGCAAGTAGAATAAATTGCAGCCCCAGGGAATGCAAGCATTGTTAAAAAATGTACACACAACAGGACTTAACTGGTGGAATGAATGCACATCAATTCTTCAGTCATGTTTTCATCTACCAGTCTTGACAAGATGAAATTCTAAGTCTTTTCACTCCCCAGGGCCATTGTAGAAATACAAAGCGTAAAAGAAAGAGACAAACCTTGAAGAAATAGGGATGCTGGTACCTGTGATCTTTAGCCCCTCCAATAACCAGCATCTCTGCCAAGGAATTTTGGTACCCATAATCGCTAGCCCCTCCAATAATCGTCACACTCACAACCACCATCGCACGTCACTACCACCACCACCAAGCCCCATGTTGCTGGCAGTGGCAGCAACAACAGTAACAGCACCAGCTGAAGGTGAACCGCTTCTCCACCTTATCATTTCACCATAAAAATCAGCAGTGACATGGTTACCACTAGATAGTAAATGATACTGGGGCCCCGCCCATGTGCCCACATTGGTTTCAAGTTACAGAAACCAAATTTGAACTAGCTTTAATAAAAAGGGGTTCCTCTTTGCTAAAATCCATCCTTAGGAGGGATTGGGAGCTGGCCTTAGGGCTAACTGGAAAAAGGAATTCAAAACTAAGCAGTTTCTCTCTCTCCCCTCCTTCTCTTTTTCCCTCCCCTCTCTCGCCATCTCTTTCTTTGTTTCTCCCTGCATCCTACGGTCTTGTCAACAGCAGGGATAGCGGAAGGCTGTTCCAGCTACCCCAAGCCCTTTCCCCCATCTGATTGCAGAGAACAGCTGTCCAAATCATTCAGAGGGTAGTAGGATCTTGACCTGGGGATTCATGGATCTCTCTGATCCATGAGACAGAGATTGTGAAGAATTTGAAAAATCTTGTGGATCGGAATAGTCTCAGAAGCTCATCTTCTTTCCCCATAATTGGGATTCCTGTACGTGTCTGCGGCCCTTCCTGGGAAGCAGGTGGTGTAAAGTGTGTGTATGTGGGGGGTGGGGGGAAGAGTGTGGCTTTAGTGTCACAGAGATCTAGATTCAAACAGTAGCTTTCCTGTGCCTGCCTGGTACATTGCCTGATAGACATTTGATGGTTAACTGGCCGAGTGGCTTTAGACAAGTTACTTCACTTCTCTGAGTCTCCATTTCCCCATAAAATGGAGATGACCAGCATACTTAGCAGGCAGGGTTGGGATGATTTAGTCAAGCACTTGGAACATACCTGGTGCTTAATTAACATTAGTTCCCATGCCCACTCGCTTTTGCAACAGAATCAGCTCTCTGCTGTTATGCCATTTCCAACTTGGCCAGTGGGGTAACCCCCACTCTCAACTAGGGCTATAGGCTAAAGGGAAATGTATCAATATTAAGAAATATTTGTATGAGGCCCTCACTCTTTGCTCTGCTAGCAGTTACATAATCTCAAAGTCATCTCCATTTTTCCCTGCCACCCTGGCTGGCCTCCAGGCAATTAACATTGATGTCGTAGCTATACTTATCTTCTCTTCCCTCTTTCAGCCAAGCCTTGGACATCAATCCTCTCTTTCAAATGAAAAATTTAACCCTCACATTTGTGGAGTTCTTCAGCATATGTAGCACTTCCAAGTTCCCTTTTATGACATACTCATTATAAGGAATTAAAGCAATATAAAAAAGTACAAAGAATAAAGTGAAAAAGTCAAATGATCAAGGTCAACATCACCAGTGAGAGGTCATGTAGAGATCACGTGCCCTTTCATGTAATGAATGGGATGACAAGACATCACTTCTGTGATTTTTCTTCCCCAAAGCCTAAAACCTTAGTCAAATCATGAGAAAACACCAGACAAGCCAAAATTGAGAAACATTCTGAAAGTATATGACCACCACTTTTCAAAAGTGTCAAGGCTATGAAAGGAAAGGAAAAACCAAGCAACTGTCATAGGCCAGAGGAGACGAAGGAGATGTGATATCTAAACACAATGTGGTATTCTGGTTTGGAAAGTGGAACATAAAAAAGACATCAGTGGAAAAATTAGAAAATCTGAATGAAGTATGTATTCTGGTTAACAGCATCATACTATAATAATTACCAAGTTAATGTCTTACTTTTTATACAGGTAGCATGATTGCATAAGATGTTGACATTAGAGGAAGTTGAGTGAGGAGGAAATCAGAACTTTCCCATCTTTACAACTTTTCTGTAAATCTACAATCATTTCAAAATTAAAAGTTTAAAAACAAAAATAAAAAGCCGGAAATGAGCATAATTCAAATGAGGTGAACATCACTCCAAACATCTTTCAATGCATCTATACAGATAGGTAATCAGAAATAATTTCTAAAAATTATTTCATATTATAATACTCTTCTTAAGTTTTGAAGGGTATTTCACTTATTTTACTTGAATTTATTGGAATTTTAGAAACAAATGTAAAGAAAGAATTTATGAACTTTAGATAACAATTTCTCCACCAAAAGAAATATATGAGCCCCTTAAAGATCCCTCCTGAAAACATTAAGAGGTTGCAGACATTGTTGTTTTTAGCCTTATATATCAATTTTAGATGGTGACTACATGTAATAAAACACTGGCACTGTTATACTCTTTCCATCTTTTCTCCCCAAACTTCCCGTTTTACTGTGTTGTTATTTTTACTTCAATGGAGTGAATCAGTTAAAGACTGCCAGGCATGGTGGCTCACGCCTGTAATCCCAGCACTTTGGGAGGCCGAGGTGAGCAGATCACCTGAGGTCAGGAGTTTGAGACCAGCCTGGCTAACATGGTGAAAGCCCATTTCTACTAAAAATACAAAAAATTAGTGGGGCCTGGTGGTGCGTACCTGTAATCCCCGCTACTCAGGAGGCTGAGGCAGGAGAATTGCTTGAATCCGGGAGGCATAGGTTGCAGTGAGCTGAGATCGCACCATTGCACTCCAGCTTGGGCAACAAAAGCGAAACTCCATCTAAAAAAAAAAAAAAAAAAAGATTGCTTTTAGCCATGAATTACAGAAAGCCTGAGTAGCCAGTGTCTTAAATAAACAAGTGGTGAAGAGTTAGGCAGTTGCCGTCACCATTTCACTGCTTCAAGGATGTCAGGGTTGAAGGGTCTGTGTAATTCTCCTGGGATTTTCCTTTTGATTGCAAAACAGCTGCTAAAGCTCCAGCCATCATGTTCTTATTCCACCCAGGAAAAAGGAGAGAATGACTAAATCAGAAAAGGAAAGTTTTCTGCAAATTCCTAGTCTGCATTTCATTGACCATAACTGTGTTATATGCCACCCCTAGCTGCAACAGAAGCTAGGAAATGAGGAATTTTTTTTTTAACTAGGCACATTTGATGGCCTCAATCAAATTAGTATTTCTTAGTAAGGAAGATGGAAATAACTGATAATTCTCAGTTATTTTTCTTCATTTTATATTTAAGCCTGTTTAGTATTTACCAGCAATTTTATATACCAAAGATTTTTAAAATATAATTTTTTTAGATCCACTAAAAACATTTAGTGAAATTTTTTATATCCACTGGATTTTAATTTTTTAGCTCCATCTTTATTTTGATCCATGTCTTGGTTAGCAAGATTTTATTGTCAGGAGTAAGCTGAAGCTGGGATCTTGAGAAACACCCACAGTAACCCACCTTGCTCTTCTTTAATATCTCCACTGCCCTGGAAATTAGACTTGAAATGGAAAGAAAGAATCAAGGTGGCCCAAACCTAGCTCCCTTGCCCAGGCAGAAGCTGCCCCTTTAAAAGAGAGAGGAGGCAGAGATGGCTCACTGCTGCCAGAAAAAGGCTTCTGATTGACAGCCAGTGTGCTCCCTGGAGACCTGATGTCATCACCAGTGAGCAACAAGGCATCCAACCAGCAGCTGAACAATGAATTGTTGCTGTGACCAGGATGGCTCCGTGGCCAGGATGGCTACATGCAGCCTTTGCCCAGCTGAATTTTAAAGTCGGAGGAACTTATCTTAAGGGTGTTGCTTCTAGTTCATCTAAGGCTACTCAGGGATTCTCACTCGCATATCCTCCAAACAGGCTGGCCACTGGACCTCACCATTCTCAGTATCCTTGGAACCACTGTGTTGTACCTGCAAGACTAGACTCAGGTTGGCGCCCAGCACTGGAGTCCTTGAAAAGCTCTGCCACCTCCAGGGTTCTAGGTCTGGACTACAGCCTGGCCGTCATGTGCATGTTCTCCCCCAGCCCCCAAGAATAAGATAATACAGGCTCATTGGAAGGGTGGGAAATGCAGGGGAAGGAAAGCACAGAAGGCCGGGCATGGTGGTACATGCCTGTAATCCTAGCTACTCAGGAGGCTGAGGCGGGAGGATTGCTTGAGCCCAGGAGTTCGAGTCCAGCCTAGGCAACATAGCAAGGCCCCATCTCTAAAGAAAACCCCCAAAACAAAAAAATGGAAAATAAAAAAAGCCCACACATACACAGAATAGTATAAAGAATAAAATGAAAATTATACTTAGCAACAATCACTGCTAACGTTGTTTTTTTGTTTTTGTTTTTGTTTTTCTGGCCAGGGCTTTTTCTATGCATTTATGTATTTTTAAAGTGAGATATAACTTACATAAACTTGTATAAAGCACACAAATGTTAACTGCACTACTGGCTTAATTTTTATGTATGTAAACATCCATGCAACCCAGCAGGCTTCCCAGTCGACGACCCCTTTCCCCTCCAACCTTGATCATTACACCCTGGTCTTTCCTATTTTTAAACTTCATAAAAATGGTACATATGCATTTTTAAAATTAAAATGGGACATAACTTATACATTATTTTACCCATTTGATATATCATGAACATTTCCTGGTGTCGTTGTTTTAGAACTTATTTTTAATGACTATGTATTTTATCATATGATCCTACATGATTTATTTAATGTTCCCTAATTCTTGCACATTTAGCTTATTTCAGAATTTTTGCCATTTTAAACGGTACTATGTAGAGCATCTTTTTTACACTTAGTGTTCCAGAGGATAGGATAACAAGGTGGTTCAGAGAATGGGTTTTGGAGTTAAAGAGATCAGGATTTGAGCATCCTGTCACTTACTAGCTACTTGAACTTAATCAACTTACACCACCTCCTTGGGACTCAGCTTCCCCACCTAAAAATGGACTTGACAATACTCCTCACATTGCATGTTGCTATAAGGGCTAAATGAGTTAAGTGTAAGTGCTTAGCATACTGCCTGCACAGAGTGAACACCCTGTAAATGTTAAGCTGCTATTATTCATCTTTGTATTCACTTCTAATTATTTCCTTAGGAGAAATCCCTAGAAGTAGAATTGCGGGATCAAAAACAGTGCGTGTCTTTAGAATTTTTAAATACAGTCTGCCAAATTGCCCTCCAGAAAAGCCGTGCCAGCTCACACAACTACCAGCTGTGCTTGAGAATACCCTTTCACCACTCCCTCAACAATGAGTATCGGAAGGAAGGAGGGAAGGAGGGAAGGAAGCAAGGAAGGAAGGAAGGAAGGAGGGAGGGAAGGAAATGAGGGAGGGAGGAAGGGAGGGAGGAAGAGAGGGAGGGAAGGAAGGAAGGAAAAGAAAAAAGAAACTTTGCCAATCAGACAAGGAAAAAAAATATCCTTTGTTGTTTTATTTTCTAATGAGGCTGAACACTTCTTTTTTTCATATGGGCTATTTGTTTTTCTTCATTTGGAAATTTGCCTAGACAGATATTTTACTGTTTTTTCTGTTGGGATGTGGGCTGGTGTTTCAATAACTGGACCACTACCCAATTCAAGAAGTCTGTTCCACAGTTCCTGTGACAGGGCTCTGACCTTGGTCCCTGCCCCAAGTTGTCACCTTGGTGTCTACCTGATTTTATGGCTCATCTAGGTTTGGGCTTCTGCCAAGACCCCTTGCCAACCTGAGATATGCAGATGCCCAGAGCAACTAAGAAATCAGTGTCACTTTTTCCTTTAAATAAACATTTGCTCAACATTTGTTCAGAAGAGAAGCTGGATCATGCATGAAGGAACAACTGGGAAGGAAGATCTCTTGTGACAATACTTTGCATCATCTATTACAAGCAATTCAGCTCTGGCCCCAAACTTGCATTACTGGCTTAAAGAAACTAGAGTCCTGTAGTAAAGCATAGCTGTCTTCCTAGAAGGCAGTTTAACATCATCTTCCCTTCTCCAACACTCCAAGTATTTATTTTAAAAGTATACTTAACCCCTGAACAACACAGGTTTGAACTGTGTAGGTCTATTTATGTGCAGATTTTTTTCAATAAATATATTGAAATGTCTTTGAAGATTTGTGACAATTTGAAAAAACCTGCAGATGAAACACACCTTAGAAATATCAAAAAAAGAAAAAGGAAATATGTCATCAACGTATGAAAATATGCAAATACTTACCTATTGTTATCATTTACCACCATAAAATATACACACATCTATTATAAAAAGTTAAAATTCATCAAAACTTACGCAAACAGATGGTGCATGGTGCCATTCACAGTTAAGAGAAATGTGAACAAATGTGAAGATGCAGTATTAACTCATAATTGCATAAAATTAACTATAGTTAAAAAAAATAGCCAAGTGTAGTGACATATGACTATCATCCTAGCTACTCAGGAGGCAGAGATGGGAGGATCACTAGAGCCCAGGAATTCAAGGCTGCAGTGAACTATGACCACACCACTGCACTCCAGCCTGTGCAACAGAGCAAGACCCTGTCTTGAAAAAAGCACAAACAAACAAAAAACCATAGCACATACGGTACTACTGTAATAATTTCGTAGCCACCTCCTGTTGCTATTGCTGTGAGCGCAAGGGTTGCAAGTTTCCACTTAAGACGCTGTGTGCTGCTAATCATCTCTTCATGAGCAGTTCATCTCTCCAGTAAATTGCCTGTGGCAGTAAAAAGTGATCTCACAAAGTTCTTAGGTATTTTTCGCTGTGTTTAGTGCAATGCCATAAACCTTGAATGACATCATGGGACCCATAACAAGTGCTACCAGTAATGCAGGAAGTACTCCCAAGAAGTGGAGAAAAATTGTGATATTATAAGAAAGAGTGGAATTGCTTGATATGTATCATAGGTTGAGGTCTGCAGCTGAGGTTGCTTGCCTTTTCAGGCAGACAATTCTTCTTGTAAATCAATAACATAAACTTATGGTTTCAATAAGTATAGTATGGTAAATATATTTTGTCTCTCTTACGGTTTTCTTTTTTCTCTCTTTTTTTTTTTTTTTGAGTCAGGGTTTCACTCTGTTGTCTAGACAGGAGTGCAGTGGCGTGATCTCTGCTCACTGCATCCTTGACCTCCCTGGGTTCAAGCAATCCTCCCACCTCAGCCTCCTATGTAGCTGGGACTACAGGCACCCGCCATCATGCTCAGCCAAGTTTTTGTATTTTTTTTTATAGAGACAGGGTTTTGTCATGTTGCCCAGGCTGGTTTCAAGCTCCTGGACTCAAGGGATCGGTCTGCCTCAGCCTCCCAAAGTGCTGGGATTGCAGGCATGAGCCTTGGCGCCCAGCTCATTTTCTTCTCTCTAGCTTACCGTAAGAATACAGTATGTGATACATATAACATATGAAATATGTGTTAATTGACTGTTTATGTTCTCAGTAAGGCTTGTGGTCAGCAGTAGGCTATTGGTAGTTAAGTTTAGGGGGAGTTAAGTTATCCTCGGGTTTTTGACTGCACAGGGGTTGGTGCCCCTAACCCTGACAAAGTACAAGAGTCAACTATATCACCTTCAAATACGTATAGTCATAGCCTTGAGAATAAGTCAGGTTAATATAATTTTCTCCATGTCATTTTATTTCTAAAATTCTTTTAGAGTCCCCAACATGCTTTAACAACTTCTATAGGTGCCCATCTGACTAGTGCCTTACTGGTTCTGTTTGGTTTGTGTAGGGTCTGGATTTCTGGGTTCATCTCTTACTAAAGAGGTGATCCAGGAGGCAGTGTCATGAAGGGAATGGTATTGAAAACTTGGCTGAGAGCCAGGCACTGTGGCTCACGTCTGTAATTCCAGCACTTTGGAAGGCTTAGGCAGGAGGATCACTTCAGCCCAGGAGTTCGAGACCAGCCACAGTAACATAATGAGACCCTCTCTCTAAAAAAAAAAAAAAATTTAAGTCAATTATCTAGGAGTGATGGCTCATGCCTATAGTCCCAGCTACTCGGGAGGCTGAGGTGGGAGAATCCTTTGAGTCATCCAGGAATTGAAGGCTGCAGTGAGCTATGATCACACGACTGCACTCCAGCTTGGGCAACAGAGCAAGATCCTGAGTTCTAAAAAAATAATAATAATTTGTTTGGCATGGTGGTTCACGCCCCAGCACTTTGGGAGGCTGAGGCAGGCGGATCACTTGAGGTCAGGAGTTCAAGACCAGCCTGGTCAACATGGTGAAACCCCCATCTCTACTAAAAAAAAAACAAACAAAAAAAAACAGACAAACAAACAAAAAAATAATAAAACTTGGCTGTTTGGGAAGAAGATACTATTCCCTTCTATGAAATTGGAGACTATTTTTTTAAAGGAGAAAAAAAGAAGATTAAGAAAATGAGTTATCTAGAATTAACCAAACATGTTAGAGAAAACCTATCAAAGGAGATAAAAGAAGACCTGCGTAAATGAAGAAATGTACTGTTTGTAGACGGTAAGAAATAGCAGTGTAATGGTGTCAATTCATGTAATTATTACCAAATATTTGGGGGAGAGGAATTAGAGAAGCAAATTATAAAGTTTGCATGGAAGAATAAAGTTCCATAAATAGCTAAAAGAACTATTTTCAAAATTAAGAGCAGAGATGGGGATCACCCTACCAGATGTGGACTAGTGGGACAAAAGAGAAGAATCCAGAAACAGAACTGTGTATGTGGATGTTTGGTATGTGATAGAATTGACAACAGAAATCAGTAAGGAAAAGATGGATTATTTTAATGGTGTTGGGGAAAATATCTGGTTGTATGGAAAAAATAAAAATAGATCCTATCTCACAGCATGTAAAACAAACTTCAGCTAGTTTAAGAAGCTAAAACGTTTATAGGCAAATCTTTATGACACTGGGTTAGGGAAACATTTCTTAAGTAAGAAACAAAAAGTCCAAACCATAAAGTAATTGGTGGTTTTCTGCTCTATAAATGACAACACAGACAAAGCTAACAAATGATCAACAGACTGGGAAAGGTATTTACAGTATATTTTCAATAACAATAAAAGGATTTAAAATCTAAATTATATAAGAAACTCAGCAGTAAATCAGCAAGAAGAAACCTGGCAACCCAATACAAAAAATAGGCAAACTCACTCTCTGAGAAACTCAATTAGTGAATAAACATATAAAGAGAAGCTCAACTTATTAGCATCAAAGAAAGAAAAATTAAAATAACAATGACATGCTGCTTTATACACATCAGACTGGCAAAAAGAAAAAAATATAAAATCAGGTGTTGGTTAGGGTGTAGGGCAATGATAACCTGTCTTGTAAATTAGTGTATCTACCCTAAAGAGTAATTTTAAAGCATTTAGTGAAACCAAATATATTTTAATCCATCATTTTTCAAATTGTGGGCCATGACCCATTACTATGTTGTAAAATCAATTTGTGAGTTGTAATTGACATTTTAAAAAGGAAGTTGAATCAGAATACATTTCTAGTAATAAAGATAAGGGCTATTTCATGAAACTTTTGTTTTAACTTGTGTATGTGGAGATTGTGATGTAAAATGTGCTTATTATCATAGGTCACAATAAAAAAAGTTTGAAAAACAATGTTAACCTACCAACCAGCAAACCACTTCTGCATAGAAACCCTAGTAAAGATACAGGGATGAAGATGTTCATTAACTCATTGTTTATAATAGCACAAGGATAGCAACAAGTTACATTAGTCTGAAAACAAATTTTAAAAATGAAGATAAAATTTAACAGTAGTTAAAATGAATAGAGTTATATAATTTAACGCAAATCTCAAAAACAGTCTTGATCGAAGTAGAAGAATCACTTGAACCCAGGAGGCGGAGTTTGCGATGAGATCACGCCATTGCACTCCAGCCTGGGCAACAAGAGCAAAACTCCATTTCCAAAAAAAAAAAAAGAAAGAAATTATGGTATTGCTGATGGCAGACCATGAAAAACAGAATCACAAAGAAAATTGCTAGTTTTAGAGAATGAGGATGGGAAATAATGTCATATGCTCCTGGAGAGTGAATGTCATATGCTCCTGGAGAGTGAAGATTGGTACAATGTCATTAGAGGAAATTTGCCAAAACTTATTAAAAGCCTTCAAACCATGCAACATTTTGACCCAGCAGTTGTCCTGCTAGTGAAGTCATGGATGTGTTCAGCAATCTAATTGCAAAAGTATTTCTTTAAACTTTAACATGACAGCAAAAAACTGGTAACAATTTAAATGTCCAACATTAGAAATTAGTTAAATTATGTCAGCTGTTGTTCAGAAACTTAAAACGATGAGATGGAGGTATTTTTATTGCTGTGAGAAGATGTTTATGATAGAAAGCTAAGTGGAAAAATAAACAAAACACAGGCCATAAAAGCACTTATAGTATAATACCATTAGAAATATTCGTATATCATATATGGTCAAAAAAATACATCAGGTTTAAAAGTGGTTATTTCTGGGTGGTATGATTATGTGATTTTCAATTTTTTTCTTTGTGATTATTTTAATTTTTTCCCTAACTTTCCTAAAATGTGCAAAAATTATTTTTGTAATAAAATTAGTTTATTTTGATTTGCAAATTGGGCATCTGGGCAGCTGTCCAGATGATTTTTCAAATGGATGGAACTAGGCTAAGAAAAGAGAACCAGGCACAAAACCAACAGGGTGGGCAAGAAGGTTGGAAACAGGGAGAGTGAGAAGCAAGGCCTAGAGAACAGATGGCCTGTAATGGTGACTTATACGGGCTCTGCAGTTTGGGGCATGGCCAGGAGGGAGCAGTTAAAAGTGGAGAGTCCTGTCCCTGTCCCCAGACCAGAGGCTAGAGCCCTACTTCCTTTAGGCAGCTTGCCCAGTGGCCTGGACTCCAACATCTCCAGGCCTTAATTTCCCATCATTCTCCTGTTTGTTGGGCTTGGAGTGAAGATCCCCTCACGTAGGGATACTGAGCTCTGTCTACCAAGGGAAACCTGAGCTACTGTCCACCTCAGCTGGGGGCAGCCAGAATGAAATAGGGGAGGGTTCCTTGAGGGTCAGGTGTAGGAAGCTGAGCAATAGCCTCAAGACATCAGGGTCCATAAATGAGCCGTGCAAATAATCAGGACTTAGTGATATGGTTTTGCTGTGTCCCCACCCAAATCTCATCTTGAATTGTAGCTCCCATAATTCCCATATGTTGTGGGAGGGACCCAGTGAGAGATAATTAAATCATGGGGGCAGTTTCCCCCATGCTGTTCTCATGGTAGTGAATAAGTCTCACAAGATCTGATGGTTTAATAAGAGATTTCCTTTTTTGCTTGGCTCTCATATTCTCTCTTGCCTGCCACCATGTAAGACATGCCTTTCACCTTATGCCACAATTATGAGGCCTCCCCAGCCACGTGGAACTGTGAGTCCATTAAACCTCCTTTTCTTCATAAATTACCCAGTCCAGGCTGGGTGCAGTGGCTCATGCCTGTAATGCCAGTACTTTGGGAGGCTGAGGCAGGCAGATTACTTGAGGCCAGGAGTTCGAGTCCAGCCTGGCCAGTATGACGAAACCCTGTCTCTACTAAAAATGCAAAAATTAGCTGGGTGTAGTGGTGCGAACCTGTAATCCCAGCTACTCAGGAGACTGAGGCAGGAGAATAGCTTGAATCTGGGAGGTGGAGGTTGCAGTGAGCCAATATTGTGCCACCACTGCACTCCAGCCTGCGACACAGTGAGGCTCCATCTCAAAAAATATATATATTAATAATAAATAAATTACCCAGTCTCTGGTATGTCGTTATCAGTAGCATGAAAACGGACTAATATACCCAGAGAAGCAATAGTTTGGAAAGGGTGTTTTAGTATTAGTAATCCTGAGTATCAAATGGCCATAGACTTAAATGGCTTAAAACACACACACACGTTTATTATCTCACAGTTTCTGTGGATCAGAACTATGGGCAGACTTAGCTGGGCACTCTACTTTCGGATCTCTCACGAGGCTGCAATCAATGCATCAGTCAGGGCTTGGGTCTCAATCTGAAGGCTCGATGAGGGAAGCATCTGCTTCCAAGCTCACACAGTTGTTGGCAACAGTTGGTTCCTTAGAGGCCTTTGAACTAAGGGTCTTACTTCCTAGCTGGCTGCTCACCAGAGGTTGCCATTGGTGCCCCGCAGAACAGCTACTTGCTTCACCAAATCATGCAAGCTAGGAAGGCAATAGAGAGTTGCCAAGGTGAGAAGGCAATAAAGAGAGGAGTTAGCAATGTGGAAGTCACCATCTTATGTGGAATCTAATCATGGAAGTGACATCCCATCACTTTTGCCATATTTTATGGGTAAGAAGCAAGTTTCAGGTCCTACCTACATTCAAGGGGAGGGAATGACCCAGGTACACCAACTCCAGGAGGTAAGGATCACCTTAGAGTCAGCCACCACAAAGGGCAACGTAGAGAAGGGCAAGCTGAAGGCAGATGGTCTTAGACTACAGGGTGGGAGAGGGACTGCTGGTGATAGGAGGAACAGCCATCCTGGTTTTTCCAGGACTGACCCAGTTACAGCAGTAAAAGTACATCCCAGGAAACCCCTCAGTCCTGGGGAAACCACAACAATTTGGTCATCCTGCCTAGTGGGACGTGAGATGATTTTCTATAGTGTAACACTAAATACCATACCAGAGAAACTCCCAATTTGGTGCTAGTATGTTTTTTGCCCCTTGGCACATGAAGTAGGACCCGGGTGCTAGTATGCCTTGTCACTTCTCTAAGACTGTCAATCAGACTTAAGCCTCCTACAGGCCACCGCATCTTTCTATAATTTAATAATTGTTTCAGTGTTGTATTTATTTATTTGGTTACATTCTATTTGTTGCAAGTGATACTTGTCCTTCATTTATAGTAGTGATATAAAATTTTCATTTCAAATGTATCCGAACAAAAAGCAAACCAATTTAAGGAACAGTAACAAAATAATAATATTTATGGCATATGAATATTGCACAAATTGATGGCCAGGCATGGTGGCTTAAGCCTATAATCCCAGCACTTTACGAGGCTGAGGCAGGCAGGTTGCTTGTGCCCAGGAGTTGGAGACTAGCCTGGGCAACATGGCGAAACCCCATCTCTACAAAAAATTAAAAAATTAGCTGGGCATGGCGGTATGTGCCTGTAGTCCCAGCTACTCACAAGGATGAGGAGGATAACTTGGGCCCAGGATGTCAAGGCTGCAGTGAGCCAAGATCACGCCACTGCACTCTAGCCTGGGTGACAGAGTGAGACCCTGTCTCCAAAAAAGAAAAAAAAAAAAAAAAGAATATTGCACAAATCAAGAAGGACTATATCATTTTTCCACTCCTTTCCATCATTACTCTCTAACTTCTTGTATTCCCACCTGCCCTTCAGTCATCTACACTCACTGCCCTGGCCTGCTTTCCAATTCTCTGACATATGAGGGGCACTCCCACACCTCAGGGCCTTTGAACGTGTTGTTCCCTTTGCCTGTAATACTCTTTCTCCAGACATCTGCAGGAATCCTCCCCCATTCAGGTCTTTACTTGACTGTCACCATCTCATGACGCCTTTCTTGGCCATCCTGCACAGCATTATAGACACCTCCCAATTTTCCTCTACTTTATATACTTTTCCCAACAGCGCTTACATCTAAAACACTGTAATTTCTACTTGTTTCTCTTCTTAACCCATTTATGCCGGAGGTTGCAATTTTTTGTGTGTGTGAAAAATCAGATCTTGGTGATGACCTTGAGCAGTAGGATATAAATAACTCCCACAAGCTTAGCATTCCAATAATGGAACACTAGGCATAAATGGATTGTCTGTTTATCCTTACTAGGTAAGGATGCTTCATGAGGGCAGACATTTCTGTCTGTCTGGGTATTTTCTGAGTTCCTGGGCCTAGAACCATGCCTGGCTCAAGAACCATGCCTGGCTCAGAGATGCTCACTAACTATTACTATTGGCCAGGCGCAGTGACTCACACCTGTAATCCCAGCACTGTGGGAGCTCGAGGTGGGTGGATCACATGAGGCCTGGAGTTCAAGACCAGCCTGGCCAACATAGTGAAACCCCACCTCTATTAAAAATACAAAAATTAGCTGGGTGTGATGGCAGGTGCCTGTAATCCCAGCTACTTGTGAGGCTGAGGCAGGACAATCACTTGAACCTGGGAGGTGGAGGCTGCAGTGAGCCAAGATTGTGCCACTGCACTCCAGCCTGGGTGACAGAATGAGACTCTGTCTCAAAAAAAAAAAAAAAAAATACTATCCATGGGCTCCATGGTGTGTGTCAGCCTGATTTAGAGGCACAAGGCTGGAGAGATGCCACCACTACCTCACCTTTCTGCCCTATGTGTTTCGTCCACGATCCACAGCCTGCCCTACATTTCTTCCTAATGCCTGCTACTTTCTTCTCCAAATCAGAATCAAAGATGCCTGCCATGAAAATCTATACGCAGGGGTTGCTTGGAAAAGCTCTGGCTGGGTGTGGGGTTATTTGGTTTCAAGAAACAAAACGAGGAGGGGGTTTTATTGAAGGAATGCAGGAGAATGTCAAAGAGGTCATGGGCCAGAAGATAGTCAGGTGAGCAGGTGGGTCTAGTCATTAGGAGGCTTTTGGTGACAAAAAGCATTTAACAGATGTGTGCCTCTATGCCTGGCTAATTAAAAAAAGAAATTTGTAGGCCAGGAGTGGTGGCTCATGCCTGTAATCCTAGCACTTTGGGAGGCTGAGGCAGGTGGATAATTCGAGGTCAGGGGTTCAAGACCAGCCTGGCCAACTTGGCGAAACCCCATCCTGTCTCTACTAAAAATACAAAAATTAGCTGGGTGTAGTGACTCACACCTGTAGTCCCAGCTACTTGGGTGGCTGAAGCAGGAGGATCGCTTGAGCCCAGGAGGCAGATGTTGCAGTGAGCCGAGATTGTGCCACTGCACGCCAGCCTGGGCAACAGAGCAAGACTGTCAAAAACAACAACAACAAAAAACAAAACGAAAAAACCTGCCTCTTTTGTAAAGCTGGGGAATCTGAGGCCTAAGTTGACACTAAAGCCAGCATTAAAGATAGGTACCTGGCACAGCAAGGAGATTGAGCCCACTCCCTTGGTATTAAGTTGGGATGGGTCTGTGGGAGTGGAGACAGAGAAACGTGGAGGAACATCCAGCTTTTTCTACTGGGGACAATTCCATGTGGAGGTGATCGCAGTAACATAATTTATGCAGCATCAAAAGCTCTCTTTATGCACACCTTCCCTGAATCTTAAAGGCTTGTCACAGTACCTGGAGGGAATGTACCCCTCCTGGAAAAGATATTGCAAATGAAGCCCAGTTGAATTCCAAGAGGCCCCTGTCCCAAAATCCTTCCCACCCATTAGCCTTTCCTGACCATCCCAGAGGTTTAGTCTTTATTAATCAATTATAATATTCATGGGTGATTTGGATGGGGCCACACATTAACCTATGATTCCATATGAATTCATTTAATTAATTAATTAATTAATTTAGAGACAGTCTTGCTCTGTCACCCAGGCTGGAGTGCAGTGCCACGATCTCGGCTCACTGCAACCTTCGCCTCCCAGGTTCAAGTGATTCTCGTGTCTCAGCCGCCCATATGGCTGGAATTACAGGCATGTGACACCACACCCAGCTAATTTTTGTATTTTTAGTAGAGACAGGGTTTCACCATGTTGGCCAGGCTGCTCCTGAACTCCTGGCCTCATGTGATCCACCTGCCTTGGCCTCTCAAAGTGCTGGGATTATAGGCGTGAGCCACTGCACCCGCGTGATTCCATATGAATTCAGTAGCAAGGATAAGGTTTTATGCTTATTGATTCCTAGGTCAGAGCACATGGCCCTCCCAGGGCAGAAGAGCTGTTGGGTACAGGTTGGGAGATGAGTGGGAAAGGTCCTTAAACTAGGGCTACTTCTGAGGGGCCAGGTCCAAGTAAGACTCTGGATGATGATGATGGCTGCCATTTGTTGAGATGTTACTATGTGCTATGTACAATTTTAATGCTTTATATACTTTATCTCCCAATTACTCTATGAAGTATATTATTTTCTCTGTTTTATAGATGACCAAATTAAAGCTCAGAGAGGTGAAGTGGTTTGCCCAATGGTACACAGCTAGTGACTTTCAGAGGTCAGATTTGAACTCATGACTATCTAACTTAAGTTAAATGGGTCAGAGTTGGGAGGGCTTTCAGCAATCATCCTATCCCATCCCCCTTCTGACATGTGGGGAAGCTGAGGCCCAGAGGGAGAGAGTGGCTTCCCCAAGATCACAGTATAAACCTGTGGCAGAGCAGATTTTAATCTTGCACTAGGTTTCTAGACTCCAGCCATCTCCTTCCGGGCTGGGTGGCATCAAAGGACAGGTTTAGATGTCAGGGTTGCTTGGTCAGGGGGAGGAGGAGTGCGATAGAAAAAGGTTGTGGTTCCTGGAAAGACAAATCCACCTTTTCCACCCAACCAGAGCCTCCCTTGGCTCAGGAGAGAAAGTGACCAGCTTGGGAAATGGCAGGTGGTTATTTTGGGCAGCCTAGCCTACTTTCTCATTCCCAGGAGACTGGCGGCAAAGCGTGCTCCCACCCTGAGGGTGGTCCCAAGGGGGATTCTGGACCTAATCCATGTTACTGAAGTCATATATAACAGGAAGCTTGTAGGTAATCCTGGCCCAAGTAACACATTTACACTGTAATTATTTACTAACTATGGATACTAACTCCTTTTTTAGGTGAAAAAATGTACTTAAAATTATCTTATTCCAAACAATACATGCTCATGGTAAAAAAAAAAAATTCATATGCTAGAGAAGGGCATAAAGCAAAAGACACTGACTACTACCTAGAAGTTATCAGTCTTATGTACCTAAGGAAATCATCATTAATAGCTTCCTGTGTATGGCTCCTGAAATCTGTGTGCCCATTCAAAGATTTATATTTAAATACCTACATACATATGTATTTTGGACACAGATGGGAGTGCACTATACATACTGTTCAGACATCGCTTTCTTATTTCATTATATATCTAGGCTATCTGTCCCAAACCCATCTACCTCGTTCATTTTAATGACTATAGAATTTCCCTATATGGATGTATCATAGTTTATTTGATGAGTACCTGGCTTATTTTCAATCCCTTGCTATTATAAACAATGCTACAAAACATTCTTTATACATTATCTTCCTGCATATGTGCAAGTATATATGTAAAATGTAGAATAAATTCCTAGAAGTGGAATTGCTCTGTTCAAACGGTGAATTGTTAAGTTATGGTTTGTGAATTTAAATATTTTGATAGATACTAACAAATTAATCTCCAAAATTTTCATCAGTTAATATATACTCCCACTAACAATGTGTGACTGTGTCTATTTCTCCACTCCCTTCCCCATACAGTTTATTTTCAAGCAATTTCTTTGTTAGACTGATGGGTAAATAATTTGTTTTAATTGACATTCTGTTAATAGTGAGAAATACTGAATAACTTTTTGCTTTTAGATGTCATTTGTATTTTTTTTCCTGTGAATTGCCTGTTAAGAGCCTTTCTCCATTTCCTACAGGAGTGATGGCCTTTTTTGTACTGTTTTGTAAGTGCTCTTTATATATGAAGGGAATCCAACTTTTTTTGGCCTTTAAAAGAACTTACTGGGCCAGGCATGGTGGCTCATGCCTGTAATCCCAGCACCTTGGGAGGCCAAGGCTGGCGGATCATGAGGTCAAGAGATCGAGACCATCCTGGCCAACATGGTGAAACCCCGTCTCTACTAAAAATACAAAAATTTGCTGGGTGTGGTGGCATGCACCTGTAGTCCCAGCTACTCAGGAGGCTGAGGCAGCAGAACCACTTGAACCAGGGAGGCAGCAGTTGCAGTGAGCCAAGATCGCGTCACTGCACTCCAGCTGGCATTAGAGCAAGACACCGTCTAAAAAATAAAAAAAACAAAACAACAAAAAAAACCAACCAAACAAAAAAACTTACTGTAGTTTTAGAATGTTTTGGGATTTGATAGGGCTCCTGATCACTCATTATCCTTCCCCACTTTCCTCAACTGCACATTTTCCCAGCAATTTTCCATGTGAGCTGTATAATTAGCTTGCCTAGTTCCAAAGGTCCTTTTCCAGACTTTTCCATTATTTCTAAAACTTTTTTACATCCATTATCCCCTTTAGCTTTGAAACCACTGAGTGAGGTCTGCGGGCTTATTTTCCGAATGAGGAAACTGAGACTCAAATGGGATGTGGCTTGGCATTGCATAAGGTCACACAGGGGGTTCTTGATGACCAGAATCCACCCCTACTTTGAGGCCCCTGCCTCTTCCTCCATTTTGTGAGCATGCATATATGAGCATTGGAGGATGAGTGTGTTTAGGAGTGTGTGAATGTGTGTATGAGTGTGTATGAGTACATGTGTGTGTTGGATGAAGGTGGCCTGAGGAGAGTGGCAGTCCTTGCTACAGGGCTCTTACAGCTTTGTAAATTGGGGCAGCCCAAATCAGGTCTGCAAGAAAGCCCGACTTCATTCTGATCTCTTCCTGTCTCCAACCATCTCCCTCCCTCTCTCCTGTTTCTGCCTCTGACTCTTCCATTCCCTGTCTCTTTGTGTCTCTCTGTTAGTGTTCCATGTCTCTTTCTTAGTTTCTGTCTCTTTCTACCCTTTCTCTCCTTCTTTCTCTGTCTCTGTCTGTCTCTTGTCCACAGTAGTGGCTTATTGAGGTGGACATCACACCCCCTACCTAGTTCTCTTTTTTCTTTTTCTTTTAAAAATAAGGCCAGGCCCCTCACTAAATAGTAAGTGAGAGACAAATGGTGGAGAAGTGAAGAAGCTCTGCTCCATGGCTTCCCGATAGGTGCGTCCCCAGAGAGAGAACAAGGACTAGAAATGACAGGAAAGCCTGTCAGTGCCGGGGGTCTGGCTTTGGCCTGTCAGTGCCAGTGGGTCTGGCTTTGGCCTGAAGTGCCAGGGGGTCTGGCTTTGTCTCAGCTCTGCCTGACCCTCTTGATGACCCAGGACAGGCCTCTGCCATTTTAAGGCTTTGGAATGTCCCCTGACCTGCTACATAACTGCACAGCTCCTTGCAGGTTCAGAAGTGCAGATGCCCCCAGAATCTCTGTAAGAAGGTGGGGCAAGAGTGCTCTACCCACTCTATGGGTTCAGACAGGGCATAGGCTTTGTCCCAGGTCACACAAGAAGGTGAGGCAGAGGCACTTAATGGCCTCTGCTATGGATAGGGCCTCACCAGCTTCTAGCTCAGGGGTGGCCCTTAGTAAAGTGCTGATGAGAATTTGCTGAATCACAGTGACCACAATGATGTGACAATAATCGTTAATATAGTGAGCACCTACTATGTGTTAGGCAACACGTTAAGTATTTTATATGTGGTATCCCACTTCCATTTCTACCCCATATCCCCAGCCCTATCAGGTAGCTACATTATCATCTCCATTTTATAGATGAGAAAACTCACGCCTAAGAGAAATAACTACATAGTTACTAAATGCCAGTGAAATCAAGAGGGAGGGAGGGAGAAAGGGAGGGAGGGAGGGAGAGATGGATGGATGGATGGATGGGTAGATGAAAGAATAAATTAATGGTTAGGTAAGTAGTTAGGGGATTTGGAGTTTATAACAGATTTTAATATCTCTATCCCTATTAGCTCTAAGGCATGTGTTAGCCACTTAAAGACTGAGATTAATCCAAGAAAATATGAGTCCCCTCTCAAGCTACCAGTCAACATGGACAAGTTCACACAAAGCAACATTCACACACTGTCAGGGATGCATTCACACTGACCAGGATGCAAAGAGACACACACAAGCGTAGGCATTACAGAAACCTTACACCGACACTCGAATACGGCTAACTCAACTCAGTTACACATAGACACCAATACACTTAGAGATAAGGCAAACACACAGAAGGACACACCATCAACAGAAGACACAAACACATCACAGAACCACATGGAAACGGGAATACATGGATCATGTGCACACAGAGACAGGCACTGTCTTTCTCTGTCTTTGTGTGTGTCTGTTTATGTCTTTCACCCACATACATACCCACATATCAGTACATGCAAAGACCAGGATACATATCACATTCAAAGCTAGAGTGGACACATTTAACACGAGGACATGCACCTTGAAAGGATGCATTCAGAAACAAGGTTATTGCCTCAAAGACAATGACACAGATATGCAGAAATGCTTATCTATCAGAGGCATGCACATTAGCAGGGGAGTTTTACACACACACATGCACACACACACATACATACACACACACAGAGCAGGCAGAACACAGACAAGATCGGTCTTTCTCTCTTGGACAAAACTGCAAATAGGACCCCCTAGAGGTTTAACTAACTACATTCCAGCCACTTGTCACTTCTCTAGCTGAAAGCCACTCAGCTGGGTCTTGCAAAATATGTAAAATTTAAGGGGCACTCCCTTGAAGGCTTCAGCTTAGGGAAAGGTGTCTGAAGAGGAGGGCTCCATCTGTATGTGCTGTTTCTCTTGATGCTCAGAGCTTGGCAGTGTCTTTGTTCCTCCTTTTCCTTCCCAACCCTCACCCCATCCAGTCTGTCACCAAGTCCTGCTCAAGTGATCTCTGGAACTTTCAGGCCCAGCCCTCTCCTTAGCCGAGGCCTTGTTACCTCCCATCCATGTCTCAGCCTCCCCCAGCCATGGCCTCCTATCCGGCCATAGGACCCTTTGTCACTCAGACTCCTCCACTTCACCTTTCCACCGGGACATCCTTTCTCAGCCATCTTCCTTTGCTAGGAGGCAAAAAAACAAGCAATGGATTTTTGGTTCAAATCAGGACTTACCTGAAGAGAAGGGGCAAGGCACTCTCTGAATTCACTCAAATCCATCCCTCTCAGAGCAGCCCCGGAGTTATTTTATTTTATTTTTTTGGAGATAGAGTCTTGCTGTATCCCTCAGGCTGGAGTGCAGTGGCGCAATCTCGGCTCACTGCAACTTCCGCCTCCCGGGTTCAAGTGCTTCTCCTGCCTCAGCTCCCCCGAGGAGCTGGGATTACAGGCACCTGCCACCATGCCCAGCTAATTTTTGTAATTTTCGTATAGACAGGGTTTCTCCATGTTGGCCAAGCTGGTCTCAAACTCCTGACCTCAGGTGACCCACCCGCCTTGGCCTCTCAAAGTGTTGGGATTACAGGCATGAGCCACTGCGCCTGGCCCCAGAGTTATTTTCAAATGCAAATCTGAGGGCAGTGATTTGGTTTAGTTACCGATATAAATAAGTAAAATGTGTTCTAAGAACAAGTTTGACCAAGAACAGGACCAAGAAGAGTCCAGGCACATAGGAAGTGCCATTTTGAACATGACATCCTCAGGGAAGCTTTCTTCCCTCTCCTCATGCTGGGTCAGACTCTCCACCCACTTGAAGCTGCACATACATGTACACAAATGCACTGCAACGTATATGCATGCTGGGCTGGGCATGGGGGTGCACGCCTGTAATCCTACCCACTTCGGGAGGTCAAGGCGGGAGGACTGCTTGAGGCTAGGAGTTTAAGACCAGCCTGGGCAACATAGCAAGACCCCATCTCGCCCTATCTCACTCAAACACACACACACACACACACACACACACACAGTATATAGATATATATCTTTTATGGCACTTATCACAATTGCAATTAAAATTATTATTATGCAACTATTAGATAAGGTAGTAATTAAATAATTTAAATAATTATTAGCATAATTATTTGTTTAATGTTACCAAACTATAAACTCCATGAAGGCAGAGACCAGGTCTGTTTTATTCATCCCTGTATTTGTAGAGCTGGGTACAATAGTGAGCACTTGGAATTTACATGCAATAAATTTATCTATCAAGTACTTATTACATGCGATGCACTCTGTATATGTCCAATCTCCAATCTTCATCACAATTGTGCAAAGAGGTGTTAATTATTCTCTCCCTTTTTTTTTTTTTTTTTTTTTTTTTGGAGACAGAGTCTCGCTCCGTCACCCAGGCTAAAATGCAGTGGTGTGCTCTCTGCTCACTGCAACCTCTACCTCCCAGATTCAAGCAATTCTTGTGCCTCAGCTTTCCAGGTAGCTGGGGTTACAGGCGTGCGCCACCATGCCCGGGTAATTTTTTTAATTTTTAGTAGAGACAGGGTTTTGCCACGTTGGCCAGGCTGGTCTCGAATTCCTGACCTCAAGTAATCCTCCTGCCTCAGCCTCCCAAAGTATTGGAATTACAGGCGTGAGCCTCCGCGCCCAGCCCATTACTCTCATTTTTTGATGAGAACCTTGAGGGAACATACCCAAGGTCACATAAATAAAATAAGGACAGGCGTTTAAACCCAAGTCAGGCAATGCTTCTTCCGCTCCACTCCACTGAGCTGCCTGGTTCTTGGCATCCTCCATCTCACTGGACTGTGAACTCCAACCTGGAAGTTCATTTCTGACTTCCCATCCCTTCCTTCTCTGGATCCACATCCACCACTTCCCTCATTCATTTTCTTAAGCATCCCTCTCCACCCCCCAAACTTGTTCTTAGAATGCATTATTCATACCCAGGTGTAAGTGGCTGACCACTTAAATTTCCCATGGGGAAACATTACATATTTACAAAGGGTAAATGATTTAAGTGTACAGGCCCAAACCCTATGGATGGAATTTTAGGCATGAGCTAACCAAGAAAGGAGAAATCACACCAAGAAGTCCAGGCACATAGGAGGTGCTATTTTCAGCTCCAACATCACATCCTCAGGGAAGCCTTCTTCGATCTCCTTATGTTGGGTTAGATTCCCCACCCACTTTTTTTTTTTTTTTTTTTTGAGATGGAGTTTTTGCTCTGTTGCCCAGGCTGGAGTGCAGTGGCGAGATCTCGGCTCACTGCAACCTCCACCTCCTGGGTTCAAGCAATTCTCCTGCCTCAGCCTCCCAAGTAGCTGGGATTACAGGTTCCTGCTACCACGCCCGGCTAATTTTTGTATTTTTAGTAGAGATGAGGTTTCGGCATGTTGGCCAGGTTGGTCTCGAACTCCTGACCTCAGGTGATCCACCCGCCTTGCCCTCCCAAAGTGCTAGGATTACTGGCATGAGCTACTGCACCTGGCCCCCACCCACCATTTTTGACAAGAGGCCTACTCACTATGACCTTGAGTAAGTCCATTCCCCTTCGTAAGCCTCAGTTCTTTATCTGTAAGATGGGGAGAGGATGCAAAGGATACCTATCTCCTTCCTATGGCTGGTGTGAGAATTTATTCATTCAATCAACAACTATTTACAGAACACGAACTTTTTGCCAGGCATCTTTCTGGGCTCTGGGAAGGGGAAAAAGAGACGATAAACAAATAAACAAGAATAAAAATGTGTGTGTTGTGTATGTGTGTGTATATATATATATATATGCAAACACATACACATATACATGCATATACACATGTATGTGTGTTTGCACATACATACACGCATATACACATGTACATAAATATGTGTGTATCTGTATATATACATGTACCCCCCCACATATATATGAAACATGTCAGATGGTGATGAGGGCTACAGAGAAAAATAAAGCAGGGTAGAGAGGATCTGGCATTTCAGGGAGGGGTTTTTGCTACTTCATAAAGAGTGGTGAGGGAAGACTTCAGAGGGAAAGTGACATTTGAGCAGAGATCTGTGAGTGAGCTACACAGCCCTTTGCAAGGGAGAGGGCTTCAGGCAGAGGGAACAGCAGTACAGATGTTCTGAAGCCGAGTGAGCCACCGGGGTGTCCTGGGTATGAAGACAGAGGGGTGGCAGAGCCAAAGAAGTTAGGACCTTGTAGAACATGGACTTTGACTGTGAGATGGGAGGGTTTGGGGCAGAGAAGTGGTCAGTTTCTGGTTACATTTTGTGTATAGAAATGACAGGAGTTGCTGATGGATTGAATGTGGTGTGTGTGAGACTGGAGTCAAGTATCCAACATTTCTGATCCAAACAAGTGGAAAAATGGAGCTGCCATTGACCAAGATGGGGATGATTATACCAGCACTCTTAACCATGACACCAGGCTGCCTCAAAGTCTAGATCTGGTCCCTGGGAAGGGGCTAGGGCTCAGGAGCACCTGCCGAAGGCCAGCACTGTGCTAGGTGTTTTGCACACTGTGATGGGCAGATGTGTCAGAATAACTCCAGTGATCCTTGCCCTTATGTAATACCTTGTGTGATCCCGCCCTTGTGTGAGCATGGGTGGAAACTGCGACCCTGATCAGGAATCGCTACCGTGATTATATTACATTATATGTCAAAGGGACATCATGCGAGTGGACCTGATCTAATCACACGAGACCTTTAAAAGCAGAATCTCTCAGGCCAGTAAGCAGAAGCCAAGGTAGAAAGATTCTACTGAAGGATGAGAAGGGCTTGACATCCTGAAACTGGCCTTGAAGGTGGAAGGGGCCAGGTGAAAGGACCAGAAAGCCACTTCTAGGAGCTGAGGTTGACTTCTGGCTGACAGCCAGCAAGGAAACAGGAACCTCAGTCCTGCAACCACAAGGAACTGAATCCTGCCAACAACCTGAATGATCTTGGAAGCGGATTCTTCTCCAGAGCCTGCAGAGAAGAGCCCAGTCTGGCCAATACTTTGTGAGGCCCTAAGCAGAGAACCCAGCTCAGGCTGCCCAGACTTCTGACCTACAGGATTGTAAATCACTAGATTGGTGTTTTTAAGCTGCTTCATTTGTTATGCAGCAATAGAAAACAAACACCTGTGTTATCTTACAGGCAGTTCACAACCATCCAAAATGGAAGGCTCCTGTCCCCATTGTACAGATGAGGAACAGGACCCATGGGATAAAGAGTTTTGCCATAGGCCACCCAGAAAGACAGCACCACAGCTGAGATTCAAACTCTGGGCTGTCTCTTTCTGAGGCCTGAACTGTTTCCATGTCGCCAGATGGCTTCATAAAGAGGTGTGCGAGCAGCTGAGAAGGTTGTTTGACATCTGGGGCCTGATTAGGTGGGCAGGGACCCTCACGTCCCAGGTCACATGCAGGGAATGGAACACGGGTTTCCGATTCGCTCGTCTCTGTCCTGGGGCTGTGAGTGTCTGAGCCCGTGTGTGTCTGAGGACTGCGGGTCGCCGAGGGTGATAATGGGAGAGTCTGTGAGTGTGAGCCTGCCAAGTGTGTCTCAGTGTACCTGAGTCTGAGGGTGTCAGTCAATCCGTCGGGATGCACCCACACTGGGAGGGATGGAGTCTGTGTGGCTGTGTCTTGGCGTGTGTGTGCTACTCTAGTGTGTCTGAGGGTGAAGGTGTGTGCATCTGGCCGTGTCAGTCAGAGTGTTTGACAGTGCTGAGATGATCACAGGGGGAGGCGACACAGAGTGTGTGCTGGGTCTGGGCTTGTGTGTTCATCTGAGTGTATGAATGTGTGTATGAATTCTGGGGTGTCTTTGGTAAGTGTGAATGCATGAGACTGTGTATGCCTACCTGAACTTCGTGGGGTTTTGTGGCATCTGAGAGTCTCCCCGTGAGGGAGGCCGGGCACCAGGGATGTCCTGCCTACCTCCCTGAGTGTGTTTGCAGGTCTCTGCGTGAGTCTGCGTGTGTCCGTGGACGTGTCTGTCCCCGCATCTGTGAGGGGGTGGGTCTGTGGGTGTATCTGTCCGGGTGTCTGCGGGGCATGTTGCAGAGTGAATGTGTAGGTGTGGGTGCCTGTTTGAGCTTCTCTGTGGGTGCAGGTGTGAAGCCGAGGGTCTCTGTGTGGGAGGCCGAGTGCCGACCCGCCTGGGCGGGACCCTTTGAGCGCATCCCCTCCGAGCGCGCCAGTGTCTCTGGGAGAGGCCTGTCTGGGTGAGGGACTGGACGCCGGCCTCTCCGCAAGTCGGCCGGCTGAGGGTGGGGGCCGAGGCGGGGTCGGGAACAGCCCTCGGACCAGGGCCCAGACAACCTCGCCCGGCGCCTGCCTCCCCGCGCGCACCTGCCGGGCCCGGGGGCTGCTAGAAGAGGCCGCAGCCCGCGCCCTCCGGGCTCCCACGCCCCGCAGCGGCGCCCCCTCCCCCGGCGGCACGGATTGGCTGCGGCGCCGCTCCAAGCCCGCCTCGCGCTGCCGGCGGGGGGCGCCGCGGACCAGAGCGCGCTGCGCCGCCACCGCCGCCGCCACCGCCGCCGCCGCCGCCGCCGCCAGCAGCACAGCGCGCCTCGGGCTCCGCGCGCCGCCAGCTCCTGGCCCGCCCGCCGGCCCCGCCGCGCCCGCCAGCCCCGCAGCGGAGCCTCGGCCCGGCCCCGGGCCGCCGCCACCACGCCGCGCGCCGTACTCCGCGTCAAGAATGGGGCGGCCAAGCTGCCCAAGCCGCCCGCCGCCGCCGCCGCCGCCGCGGCCGAGGCGCCCGGCGCCGGCGCGGGCATGGAGCGCTCGCAGAGCCGCCTCAGTCTGTCCGCCTCCTTCGAGGCGCTCGCCATCTACTTCCCGTGCATGAACTCCTTCGACGACGAGGACGCAGGTAAGCGCGC
Organism: Homo sapiens; assembly: GCF_000001405.40. Taxonomy (NCBI): domain Eukaryota; kingdom Metazoa; phylum Chordata; class Mammalia; order Primates; family Hominidae; genus Homo; species Homo sapiens. The sequence goes on along the minus strand of NC_000020.11, from coordinate 44,810,164 downwards.
GGCCCGCCCCCCAGACCCCCGGGGTGTCCCGGGATCCAGGTCCGGTAGCCCCCTCCCCGACCCGTGCGCCCTCCTCCCCACCCCCAATCCCCTGGGAAGGCGCCCCCAGGGTCTCCTTCCGCACCCACGGGACCCCAGGGTCTCCAGGATGCGCTACCTTCTGGCCTTCTCCCCCAGGGACCCCGAGATTGTCTGCATTCACCTTTCCCGCAGGTGGGCCCTTTGGGTCGCCAGGACCCATCTCCCTCCTCACCCGCGCCTATTGGAGGCCCCTTGCCTCGTCCCTGGAGCCGACCTGCCACCCTCCCTGAGTCTCCTGAATGTGCCCACTCTTCAAGCCCTGGGCTTTGGCCGTCCCACCCCTGGGGCTCCGACGCGCCCCCCGCCATTGGAGGTGGCGCGCAGACCTTACCTCTCCATCTTTGTCTTGGCCACATCCAGAGGATCCCTGCCCAAGACCCCTGCCCGGCGCCCCAGGCCTTGAGCGCCCCCATTTATCTCTCCTCTCCTTCCCTCATGGGCTGGGGCTCCAGACTCCTGCTTCTTATACGCCTGGGGCAGACGGAGGGGAACCGGCCAGGTGACGGCCTTTCCTCCCCTCTCTTCCCGGAGAGAGGTGTAGGGCGGCGCCAACTCTACACTTGTCCGCCCGCTGGTGTGTGCCCCTGACCTCAGGTGCTCTTGTCCCTGGAGTCGCCTTTCTTGGTGGGCTGAAGCCGGCCACCAGCCAGCGGCTTGAACCTCCTCCTCCCAGGCCTGCGCACAACCTCAGCCAGAGCGAGGGGTGGGGAGCTGTAGGGAAACCTACTCTTTAGGGCCCTGGGACCCGGCAGAAGGAACATGAGAGCTCCGGATTTGGTTCTGGGGTGAGGAAGGGAATCCACCAACAGGTGGGGTAGCTAGAGGGCTTGGGTGAGAGTTCCCCAAAGAATGCCAGATTGGGAATCGGAATCAGGTTCCAGTCTTCATTCTCTACTTCTTAGCTGTGACCTTGGGCAAGTCATGCCACCTCTGAGCCTGGATTTCCTCATCTCTGAAATGGGGATCATCGTATCGATGCAAAGCTCTGTATGGTGTGAGGGTGGAGTTCAGTGTTTTATAAGGTGAAAATCCGAGAGTCTTTGAATTCAATGGGGGAACAAAACAGAGGAGTGTATGTGCTGGAGGAGTGTATGTGCTTGAGGAGCAAAATGGTTTCATGGGCACTTTCAAGTCTCTGAGGAAAACATGGACTATCTCTCCCGAAGTGCATATATGCACCATCCACAAAATGTAGCCTACGGTTTTAGGAAGTTCCTGGGCCCAGGTTTAGACTTAGTCTTTGGGGACCCTTGTCTGATCAACCTGGCCACCAAGGTTCCATCATGGGATGAAGTGGTGGGCATGTCTTCCTGCCCTTTCTCCAGAAGAATTTGTTGACTGGTGAATGAATGGGGATAGGTGAGGCAGATCCCCAATAGACCTGTCTTTCTATTGACCTGGAGGTGGGGATGGGGGTAAGGGTAAAGATGATTACTGCAGAGACATTTTACCATTTTTATAATCACCATTTTACAGAAAAAAACAACTGAGGCTCAGAGGTTTAACTTCTGCCTTCATGTAGCTGAGGGAGGTTGTATTATTATTCTGGACAAGGCAAGGTGGGAAGAAGTAGGGGGCTCCCCAACACAGTAGAGTGGTCAGCAGTCCACTTGGATCTCAAGAGCCAGGCTGGGCAGGAGCATGGGTTTGTAGGAGCATCAGAGGCAGGAGCGGTTTAGTTTTTCTTCAAAGTCATGCTGTGTGTCATGGGTCAAACACCTTGGTTATTGCAGGCTGCAGGCAACTTGCTCTGGTTTCACTTAAGTCAGAACAGATAACTTCAAGTAGTATTAATGATATTTTTAAAGGTCCACTCATGTTTGTTTTTTCCAGCAGCCTTCTTGAAATTCTTTAGTATTTCACTTGGAAGAGACCTAGAAATCATCTTGTCTATCCCCTTTTTGCCCGCAAATGGATGGGGGTGTGTGTGTATTTGTGTGAGTGTTTGTGTGTGTGTGACTGAAGCCCTGGAATGGGTGTGTGTGTATATATATATATATACACACACACATATATATGCCAAGGTCATCTAGTGAGGCAGCCACAGAGCTGAGACTAAAATCAGGTTTATGGTTCTCTTTCCATTAAACCAGTAGCCCTCCCTCTGAAAGAGGATTTTTAAGAAATCCAGACCTTACTGTGTAGAAAATGTTTCCCAGGTGAGGAGGCCTGGGGGTGCGGCTGGCGACCAAGAGTTTGGTTTGGGCATCTTGTGCTCACTGTCTGTTCTTGAGGGATGCTTCAAATTTGGGAGGGGGAGGGAGAAAGTCAACTTTCATTTCCGGAAAAATAATGAATGTCTGGTGAAAGTCAGAAGTAGGCAGCGTTGTCTTGGTGCTTAATTTCTCCTGTTCTCCTTAAAGTCATTAATTTTCTCCTAAAAGAAGCCTTTTTGGATTTATTCTTTTAGAACAGCACTGCACTGAACTGATTTCTAAAAGCAATGGAATGGTCTCTCCCATACTGGACACAGGCGTGGCTCTACCTGCCTCTTCTCCCCTCCCTCCCCTGGCCTTCTTAATACCTGTCTGTCTCTGCTGGCTCCGTCTCAGAAGTGTGTCCCTGACAGGCCTCCGGCTCATCTAGGAGCCTCCCCTTTGTTGCTGCTTCCAACTCATGTTGAAATGCATCTTTTTCCAACTAGACTGAGCCAGAGCCATCTTCAGAGTTTAGTTGCCATCCTTTTGCTAGTTTCCTGAGAAATGGTGTGAGAAGGAGCCTTTTTCTCATTAGCCTTAACTGGGGCAGAGCACATTCCTGATTTGGACTTGGGATCCTTGGCCATTGGGGTGGGCACAGGAAGCTGAGCCTTCTTCACACCTCTTTCTAGCCCGCCGTGGGCCCAGGATGCTGGTCATTACTGGTTCCCAGAATTCCTCTCAAGGGGCATCTTCCCTCGTGCACTTTGAACTTACTTCTTGAGATGCTCCTTTTGCCCTCTTTCACAAGGATGCTGGGGCTTTAGGGAAACATGTGCTTGGAGGCGTTTTTTTGTGTGTGTGTTTTGTTGCCCAGCCTTGTTGGCACTGGGTTTGTAATCGGGGAGGAGTTAGACACGTGGCCTCGGTTTCGTATCTGTAAGGAAGAAGAAAAATAATAACATGGACTGCATAGGGTTAACATTTTACAAATGATTACCTTTGTGCGAGACATATTCCCAGGCATTTTAAAAATATTAACTCATTCCTCATAGCAAGCCTATAAAACTGCTATCCTGTTAACATCCCCATTTTCAGATGAGAAAACTGAGGCACAGACATATTAATTCATCCAAGGTCACTCAGCCAGGAAGTGAGGGAATGAAGCCTTGAACTTGGGCAATCTGACTTAAGCATCTATGCTTTTAATCAACCATTATGCTGTTTGTGCTGTGCAGAAGTCTTAGTACAGTACCTGGCATGAGGTAGGCTCTCACTACATGTTAGCTGTTATCTATCTTATTACTGAGAAAGAGTTGTTTCTGAACATGACTGTAGAAAAGAATCTGTGGGTTTGGGGAGGGGAGAAGGCTGATTCTCAAAATGCTAGCTTTATAATTTTAATAGGCTAATCTTATTGCATCATTACAGTTATTAAGGTAGAGCTGGGCCCTCCTTCTTTGAAGTGGCTTAAACATAGGGATTTGGGAGACTCGCCTGCCAGTCAAGAGGGTGGGGAGGATTTCAGCCACTGGTTCCCTGCTCTTCCTGACCACTTCATTTGCACCAATCACATCTACAGTCCCAGCCCTGACACTCTGCCTTGGGGCCTAGCTGGGGAGCTGGGGTGTCTCAAGTTTCCAACAGATGCCAAAGGGGGTTGTTACATCAGGGTCTGGAATTGAGCCTGGTGTTCTTGAGCCTGACCAAGTGGTTTCAGCGTCCAGTTCTCCCCCTCCCGCCTGGGAGAAGGGCGGAGAAGCTGGAGCAGCCAGCTCTGATTTGCCCATAGGATGGAAGCTTCGATCCAGCGCAGGGAGGAGGTTGCCATGGCAACACCAGCCAGCTACCAGTCCCTCTCCTAGCGGTTTGGGCCACATCTCTGGGCTGGAAAGCCCTTCCTGGCACCACCCTCTTCCGCTCAGACCAAATCTGTTGGGCTGGGGGCGGGGTGGGATAGTGGATGGGATCCAAAAACTAGTACCACAGCGCCCCGCTCCCCATTTTTGGACAGAGGGGAAATGTAGGGGGTGGTCTGAGTACTTCTGGGTGATGAGGCGGCGATACCCATATCCTGCCGGACAGATCCTGGCAGGGAGAATCAGAGTTCCGATTTCTCTCCACACCCCCAGGCACCTGGAATGACCTCACTGGAGTTCTCCCCCTCCCCCTTTATTCCATTTGGCAGAGTTTTCTTTCCCAGACCAAGTGCTAACTTTTGTCCTTGAAATTTGACCTGAGCTTTTTCTGGGAAACAAAATGTCCTGCTGTCTCACCCCTTCCCTCTAAGATGGTGGGAATGAATCCTTCAGCCCTAGAAGGAGGCTGGCAGGGTGGATGAGGGAGGAGGCCTTAAAATATCCTTCATGGTCAGGACCACGTGGAGGCATGAAGTTGCGGCTTTGAAGCCTCCACTCCCACCCTCACCCTCCAGGGCAGGACACTTCCTCTCTCACTTCTTCCTGACCACACCCCCCTTCCCATTTTCTTAATGTTTTCAGAGCTGGGCAGAACTCTTGTAGATTTGGATAAGTGAAGCATGATGGAGAATTGAACCAGTTGTTCCCATAGTTCAAGTAGAGGGGTGGGGTGAGAGTGTGGACGCAAACCACTTTATTTATTTATTTATTTATTTACTTTGAGGCAGGGTCTCCCTCTGTCGCCCAAGGTGGGGTGCAGTGGTGCGATCTCAGCTCGCTGCCATCTCTACCTCCCGGGCTCAAGTGATCCTCTCACTTCAGCCTCCCAAGTGGCTGGGACTACAGGCATGCACCACCACCCCTGGCTAATTTTCTTTTTTTTTTCTTTTTGTAGAGATGGGGTTTCACTATGTCACCCAGACTGGTCTCAAACTCCTGAACTCAACGATCCTCCCGTCTTGGACTCCCAAAGTGCTAAGATTACAGGCATGCGCCACCATGCCCAGCCCAGACCACTTTATTTTAATCAAATTATCCTGAAAGAATGATCTTAGAAAATCAGGTGCATGAGGATTCACGCCTTACCCCATTGTACAGATCACTGGTCTGCAGGTCTGCTGTGGTGCAATCAGTGCTCTTTCCTTATTTTCTGTCTCCCTTAGGCACCCCCTTCCCCATCCCCAATCCCCTAGACTCCTGGCTCCAGCTTCCTCGGTTTGCAGCTGCCATAGGCCCACCTAGTTCTGTTTGGTGGGAAGGGGGAGAGAGGTCCATCTACCTTGTTTCCCTTTCAGGATGTGGCTCTGCATCCCTCCCCACTCCCTGCTAGAACCAGAGGCAGAGCAAGTTCCAACTGAAGGCTGAGTGGGGGTGAAGGGAGAGATGCGGAGGAGAGCGAGAATGGAAGGAAGCCTTCACCCTCAGCCGACCCTCTTGTCTGTCTGAGGGACTTTTTTCTACTTTGCCTCCTCTGTGTCTTTTCTTTATGGCCGTAGCAACCATCATTTCATCATGTCTTTTAAAAATTGCTGGAAAGGTGCCACTTTTGGTGAATGTGCTCAAAAGGGTGAAGTATCTCCCCCACTATAAACCTTCTCCCATTCTGCATTCCTCGTCAGTTCCACTGCCTTTTTGTATTGGAAAGATACCTGGGCTTGGATTTGAATCCGCTCTGGCTCTGACCTCAAGCAAGTCTCTTAACCTTCCTGAGCCTCATCTGGAAAAAAAGGGTTAATTATTTTTGTTCAAGCATCTCTCAGGATTATAAAAATAAAATGATTGATGGGCTTGCTTGGCCATGCTCATTGCTTTCTGTGATCGCACTGAATTCTATGGCAACCTGAAGGGGTAGCTGCTGTTGCAGATGTACCCATTTTGCAGATGAGGAAAGCCAGGCAGCTTAGAGCAGTTGAATTCATGACTTTCTCAGGTTATAGGGTGGTGATTCAAACCCAGGTGTGTTTGACTCTAGGCCATCTTCTGCTTCTGGGCATGAAATGAGATCCTGGGTGGGACAGGACTATGTAAGCTCCTGGGGCTGTGCTTGTGCTGTCAGAACAGCAGGTGACAAAGGCCTGGGTGTGATGTGTCCCACCAGGGTCCACCACCCTGCTACAATCCACCCACCCATTGGAGTGCCTTCCCTGCCACTGGTTCCTGGTTGATCCCTATCACAGTTGGCCCTCAGCTGCCGTGGCTGCCTGGCCTCCTTGAAGAATCCAGTTGTCTGCCCTGGCCCTGGGGGCCAAGCCATCACCTGCCTCTCCAGACTGATGTAGGCCAGTGCTGGATTATATTTAACGCTGTGCTATTTCCACTTGACAGCTCCAGAGCGCCATCCCCCCTCCCCTTTTTTCCTTCCTCCCCCCTCCCCTTCTGATTCACTCGGAAACTGAGGAGGCTGATGTCAGCGCCTTATTCTTAGCCCCCGTAATTGTAACTGCATTTAGCAGTGCGCACTTCATTAACAGTTTCTGCAACGGGGGAGTGAGATGACTGTGTGGCTGGGCAGGGATGTGGATGGGGGTGGCGAGAGGGCAGCTGCTGCCAGGACCCTGGCCAGCTGCCTTCTCTGGATGGACCAGCTGGGCTGCTTCCAGGTCTGGCTTTCCAAGACTGGAAGTCTTGGAAGGACCCTTGGAGAGCATCTAGCCCATTTCCTCATTAAGCAAGTAGGGAAACAGGCTCAAAGAGGCGAAGTGGCTTGCCAAGGTCACATATTAAGGATCCAGAGCTCTGACCTCTGAGTCCAGGTTTTCTTTTCTGGTATTTGTTCATTCAGTTAGTAGTTAATGAGCTGCTCAGTGTTAATGTTCTAGGTGCTAGGGTGCTAGGGATATATCAAGGAACAAGTCAGACATGGTTTCTGCTCTCAGGGAGTTATATTCTGGGGTGGGGGAAACAGACAATAAATAGGTAACCAATTCAATAAAGAATTTCAGGTTCTGCTAAGTGGAATGAAAATGGAACGATGATGGGCTAGGAGATAATGTTAAGTAAGGTAGTCAGGGAAGGCTAAGGAGGTGATATCTGAGATAAAGCCTAACTGACAAAGAGCCAGCAATGGGAATATGAGGAGGAAGAGTGTTCCAGGCAGAGGGAATAACTGTGCAAAGGCCCTGAGGTCAGTGCGAGTTTGAGTTTTAGGGAATAGAAAGCAGACCAGTGTGGCTAGAGATGACAGACCAGTGTGGTTAGAGAGACAAGATCAGAGAAGGGGGCAAATTATCTCAGCCTTGTAGAGGATAAAGATTATCTGGTGCGGGAACTGAGGTCCGAAGAAGGAAAAGAAAAGGCCCCCAGCTGGGTGAAGTTAGAGAGAGGCCAAGAACTCATGCCCCCTGAATCCCTGTTTTTTATGTTCCTTAGGCGCAGATGGCTGTGCCTTTACATGCATAACGCAGCTTCCTTTCACGCTGTAGCTGGAAGGCACTGTGGAGTCCAGGCTGGGTTCTTTCTGCTCACCCTGCCTGCCTCCACCCCTCTTCGAATCTCACCTGACCCAGACTGATGATGTAGGTGTGAGAGACCCTGGGGAACTTCCATGGACGGACAGAAAGAACATAGCTTTGGAATCCGGCAGATCTGAATTTTCATCTTGACTGCCACTTCTAAATTGTATGACTGTAGGCAAGTTGCTTCAACCCTCTGGGGTTCAATGTCCGCATCTGTAAAATGGGGCATAATAATAGTAAATACTCAAGAGGGTTATAGTAAGGAGTAAATGACATCATGCACACAACACACCTAACCCAGAGCTGGACGTATGGAATAAGGTGTCCTTTGCTATGAGGATTAATGGATGAGAGTGCATGTTTAACCCTCGGCACATAGTAGGTTCCCAGTCATTGGTAGCAGCTGCAGTTGTCACAGTGGCTGTTGTCAGTTTAAATGGGTTAGAGCAGGGCCGCCAAACTTGAGTGAGCCTCAGAATCCTCTGGAGGGCTTCTTAATGCAGACTGCTGGGCCCACCCAGAGTCTTTTATTTAGTTTGGGGGCAGGAGGGACTTGAGGATTTCATTGCTAACAAGTTCCCACGTGATGCAGATTCGGATGGTACTGATCCAGGGACCCTACCTTGAGAACCACTGGGTTGGAGGAAAAGGCTGGAGAGAACTGAAGGGGTCTTGCCAACGTGGGATATCTCCTGGCTCCTGATGTCTTAGATGCTGGGACACTGGGTACCAAATTCAGTCCTGGGTATGGTCTTCAGGCCCTCTTGTTTCTGTCACAGAGTCTATGATCCAAATGAGTCTCAGCTGCTGCCTGCGTTGTGCCAGGTTTAACACGTAGGCCCTCATAAAGCCTCTAGGAAGTCATTTGTACAAAGGATAAGTGAGTCAAAATGAGCAATGCATCAGGCCATGAGACCATTGCATGGGATATTGGACCCAGACAGCTCTGGGAATTCTGAGGATTCAGGTCTAGCTCCTTTTTCGTCCAGAGAGAACAGGACATGGTCCCTTTTCTGCATTGGGAAAAGGGAGGGCTATGTGTTAAAACCAGGAAGTTCATTTGAGGACAAACCTCTACTGGGAAGAAGTAAATCAAAGGAATCATCGATGTAAAGGGGGCAAAGTGCTGGGAAATGCTCCCGGGGGAGTTTACTGAGTCAGTTTATTCAGATGTTTCTAAGAAAGGGGTCGCTGATAATTTTCTAGGGAAGATTGGGGTCTAGCTCAGGTTGGAGGCAGGGGACCAACCTTGATGTGATGAGATTCTCACCCAGCCCCATACAACTCAGAATCTGAAGACAAAGGCACTTAAAAATAGTTTCCGGGTGGGACTTGTCCTAAACTGATGGGAAATACCCTCTGTGAGGGGTGGCTTGGGATAGTAAAAATGAGCGGACTTGGGAGGCCCAAAGACCTGGGTTTGCATCTCTGGCCCTTTCTAGCTGTGCATCATGACTGTGGTATGTAACTGATCTAGGCCTCAGCCTGTCCTTTGCAAAATGGAATTAGAGATACCTTGTGAGAATTCCAGAGGATGTATGTACAACACATAGAAGACATCCAAGCTATGGAAGCTGCCGCCTTTCCTTTTCCTGTAGACTTCATAAAAATGATGTGATGTGCACATCTGGGTGGAGGAAGGGTGGGATGGGGCAGCACACAGCTGGCGTCAGGCCTCCTCGCTCTGGTCTAGGTATGTGGTGTTTACTGTGTGCACAGTGGAGCCTGAAAGGCTGCATGAGGAGTGAAGAGAGAAGGACTTTGTTCATCGCCGAGTCTCAGTGTCTCCTACACCCACTTTTTGACTCTTTGGGCCTCAGTATCCCTGCCTGCAGAGTGAGAGGCTGGTGGGCTTGGTTTAGATATACCCAGAGTCTCCCAGAGAAGGTAGGACACTTGTACAGGCCCTCCAGTTCCTCCTTTGTCTCCCCCTGACTCTGCGGTAGCCCCTAGATGGTTATTTTTCATCCCCAGAGCGCCCCCTCCTGCCAGTTTCTCTCTAGCTGATCTTTGCTTGATTGGTCTTGGATAATTTTTAAAGTATTTTTTTGGATTAGGTAATATATGCAGATGCTACAACATTTTAAACACATGAAAAATATCCGGGGGAAGTGTCCTGGGCACCCCTGTCTTCTGATCCTCATGTCCCATCCCTGGTACAAGCACTGTTATCAGCTTTTATAATGCTTTATGCTGTTATTACTGCTGATAATGTAGATACATCGTAAAAAAGCCGAACAGCACCAGAGGACATCCAAAGAAATGGCATCTCCCTTCTACTCAGCTATCCAGTCCCACTCCCACAAGCCACCATCACACTCTTTCAGGCTACCAGTTTTTTCTTATTTTCCTGTTTTTAAATTCTTATTAAGCACTTATGGTGGTGCCCATCCCTGTGCCAGGCACTGTGAGAGTTCCAGAGAAGTTGGGTTGCACTAGGCAGTATAGCATGGTGAAAGTAACGAGCTCCACAGCCAGATAACCTGGATTTGAATCTTGGCTCTGCCGCTTATTGGCTGTGTGACTCTGAGCAAGTCACTTAACCTCCCTGAGCCTGTTTCCTCATCGCAAAACGGGCTTATCATAGCCCCATCCTGCCTCGAAGGTGTCAAGAGGATTAGATGAATAAATATTGGTAGAGAGCCTGGTACACAGTGAAAGTGTCTTAAGAGTGTTAGCTGTCATTATTTTAGTTGAAAGTCCCTCTGAGGTCATCTACTGTGGCTATCTTAGTTGAGGCCCAGAGAGCAATCTCAATTGGCCTGAAGCCTCACAGGAGGTCTGTGGCAATGATGTTTCTGGATACACAGCTCAGGATCTCTCCCTGTCCCCTGAGGCACCCCAAGTAGCCATCATGGACCCTGCGGCACCTGAGGCCTCAAGTTTGCTGCCTTTATCTCCAGCACTCAGTGTCCCTAGTGAACGCCACCTGGAGTCACCCTGAGAGTGGGTGGAAAGATATTCCACCACACTCACTGCACTCACTAATTGGGTCCTCTAATGA